>NC_000023.11:18198094-18501124 GCF_000001405.40 Homo sapiens
AACCCTAGAAGAAAACCTAGGCATTACCATTCAGGACATAGGCATGGGCAAGGACTTCATGTCTAAAACACCAAAAGCAATGGCAACAAAAGACAAAATTGACAAATGGGATCTAATCAAACTAAAGAGCTTCTGCACAGCAAAAGAAACTACCATCAGAGTGAACAGGCAACCTACAGAATGGGAGAAAATTTTCGCAACCTACTCATCTGACAAAGGGCTAATATCCAGAATCTACAATGAACTCAAACAAATTTACAAGAAAAAAACAAACAACCCCATCAAAAAGTAGGCAAAGGATATGAACAGACACTTCTCAAAAGAAGACATTTATGCAGCCAACAGACAACATGAAAAAATGCTCATCATCACTGGCCATCAGAGAAATGCAAATCAAAACCACAATGAGATACCATCTCACACCAGTTAGAATGGCAATCATTAAAAAGTCAGGAAACAACAGGTGCTGGAGAGGATGTGGAGAAATAAACACTTTTACACTGGTGGTGGGACTGGAAACTAGTTCAACCCTTGTGGAAGTCAGGGTGGCGATTCCTCAGGGATTTAGAACTAGAAATACCATTTGACCCAGCCATCCCATTACTGGGTATATACCCAAAGGACTATAAATCATGCTGCTATAAAGACACATGCACACTTATGTTTATCGTGGCACTATTCACAATAGCAAAGACTTGGAACCAACCCAAATGTCCAACAATGATAGACTGGATTAAGAAAATGTGGCACATATACACCATGGAATACTATGCAGCCATAAAAAATGATGAGTTCATGTCCTTTGTAGGGACATGGATGAAATTGGAAATCATCATTCTCAGTAAACTATCACAAGGACAAAAAACCAAACGCCGGATGTTCTCACTCATAGATGGGAATTGAACAATGAGAACACATGGACACAGGAAGGGGAACATCACACTCTGGGGACTGTTGTGGGGTGGGGGGAGGGGGGAGGGATAGCATCAGGAGATATACCTAATGCTAAATGACGAGTTAATGGGTGCAGCACACCAGCATGGCACATGTATACATATGTAACTAACCTGCACATTGTGCACATGTACCCTAAAACTTAAAGTATAATAATAATAAATAAATAAAAAGGTTACACAGCATTTAGTTGCATTTAAGTAATGATACTCAAATAATGAAATTCTGGCAAACAAAGTGAGATTGCTGACTATCAGTAGTTAAGACAGGGCAAGATGAGAGGCAAGGGAGATTGGGGGAGGTGGCTATGGTTTTAAAAGAACAATATGAAGGATCTTTGTAGTGATGATGGAAATGTTCTGTATTGTAACTAATAGTGGACATGTAAACTGACTCATGATTAAATTTCATAGAACTAAATACACACACAGAGATGTGGATTTAATCAATGCCAATATCCTGGATGCAGGATATAGTTCTTTAAGATGTTATCATTGAGGAAAATGGGTAAAGTATAAATGGGATCTCTGTACAATTTCTTACAATTACATGTGAATTCAAAATTATCTCAAAATAAAAAGCCTAGTTTTTTTTTTTGTTTTTAAAGAGCTACCACTGACTTGCATTCAGGATATTGATGGAAAATAAACTCTCAGCCACAAATTCTATGCCCAGCAAAACTATGTTCCTTGAAGAACATAAGGAAAATAAAGACATTTTCACATGCAGGAACACTAAAGAAACCTGAAAGAAAGGCTGAAGAAAAGTATTCAAACAGAAAGGAATGGATGAAAAAAGAAAATATAGAGCATCCAGAAGGAAGAACAATAGAAATAACAGAAATATGAATGTGGAGAAACTGGATCACTCATGCATTGCTGGTGGAAATGGAAGATAATACAGACTCTCTGGAAAACTATTTGGCAGTTTCTTATAAAACTAAACATGCTAGTACCATAAGGCTCAGCAATTACACTCTTGGCATTCATGACAGAGAAATGAAAACTTATATTTACAGAAAAACCTGTTCATGACTGTTCATAGTGGCTTCACTCCTAATATCCAAAAACTGGAAAAAAAAACAATTTGATGCCTTTTCAATGGGTGAATGGCTAAACAAACTGTGGCATAGCCATACTATGAAATATAAATCAAAAATAAAAAGGAGGGTAGGCTGGGTGTGGTGGCTCATGCCTGTAGTCTCAGCACTTTGGGAGGCCGTGGCAGGCAGGCCACCTGAGGTCAGGAGTTTGAGACCAGCCTGGCCAACATGGTGAAACCCTGTCTCTACCAAAAATACAAAAATTAGCTGGGCGTGGTGGCACACACTTGTAATCCTAGCTATTCAGGAGGCTGAGGCATGAGAATTGCTTGAACCCGGGAGGCAGAAGTTGCAGTAAGCCAAGATCGCGCCACTGCATTCCAGCCTGGGCAACAGAGTAAGACTCTGTCTCAAAAAAAAAAAAAAAAAAAAGAAGAAAAGAAAGGAGGGAACTCTTGATACATGCAACAAGCTGGGTGAGTTTTCAGATAACTATACTGAGTGAAAAACACCAATACCCCAAAATTACATACTGTAACATTCCCTTAATATAACATTCTTGAAGTGACAAAATTATAAACAGAGAACAGATCAGTAGTTACCAGGTGTTAGGGATGGGGCAGGTTGGAAGGAAAGGATGACATGAGGAAAGTGAATGTGATTATCAAAGGGCAAGATGAGGCATCATTGCAGTGATAGAAACGTTCTATGTCTTCACTGGAGGTAGACATTAAAACTACTTGTGATAAAACTGCAAAGAACTAAATACACACACACAAATTAATTACAAGTAAACCTGGGAACATCTCAGTAAGATCTGTGGAGTGTATCAATGCCACTACCTTGGATGTGATATTTTACTATAGTTTTAAAGATGTCATCCTTTGGGGGAAATGGCTAAAGCATAAACAGTTCTCTGCATTATTTCTTACAACTGTGTGTGAATCTAAAATTATCTCAAACCGAAAAGTTTAGTTTGAAAAGAGTCACACTAGCTGACATTAAAAATACTGGTGAATCAGGCTGGGCGCAGTGGCTCACGCCTATAATCCCAGCACTTTGGGAGGCAGAGGCGGACAGATCACCCGAGGTTGAGAGTTGGAGACCAGCCTGACCAACATGGAGAAACCTCGTCTCTACTAAAAATACAAAAAAATTAGCCAGGCGTGGTGGTGCATGCCTATAATCCCAGCTACTTGGGAGGCTGAGGTAGGAGAATCACTTGAACCCAGGAGGCGGAGGTTGCAGTGAGCCGAGATCGCACCATTGTACTCCAGCCTGGGCAACAAGAGCAAAACTCCATCTCAAAAAAAAAAAAAAAAAAAAACAAAAAAAAAAAAACTGGTGGATCAAGGTTAAATAATGCTATTTGCAATATGTATCATTTCTTTTTTATGTATTTATGTATTTATTTATTTTGAGATGGAGTTTCGCTCTTGTTGCCCAGGCTGGAGTTAAGTGGCATGATCCCAGCTCACTGCAACCTCTGCCTCTGGGTTCAAGTGATTCTCCTGCCTCGGCCTCCGGAGTAGCTGGGATTACAGGTGCCCGCCACCACACCCGGCTAATTTTTTGTATTTTTAGTAGAGACGGGTTTTCACCATGTTGGTCAGGCTGGTCTCAAACTTCTGATGTCAGGTGATGCACCCGCCTCACCCTCCCAAAGTGCTGGGATTACAAGTGTGAGCCACCACGCCCAGCATTATGTATCATTTCAAACTCACCAAAATAGGGAGGGATGAAGACAGATAAAGAGGCAGTATTTTGGCCATTGTAATTTCCCATTAAAGTTGGATAATTCGCTGTCTCAGTGCTGTTTTTACTGCTGTTTGCTGGTCTTTCTGGCATTTCTGTAAATAAAAAGTTTTCAAGAGCTGTAATACAAGAACTTCACCCACAAATTCTATACAAAGCAAAATTATCCTTCAAGAAAGAAAGAGAAACAGACATTCACACACAAAGGAAAACAAAAAGAATTTGTCCCCAGCAGACTTACCCTTAAAGAAAGGTTAAAGAAAACTCCTCAATCAAAAAAAGAAGATGATGAAAGAAGGAATCTTGGAGCATCAGGAAGAAAGAACAAAAGAAAGAGCAGAAATATGCATTTAGAGAAAGTAGATCACCCATATATAGCTGGCAAGAATGTCAGATGATACAGCGCCCCTGGAAAATAGTTAGGCAGTTTCTCATAAAACTAAACATGCATATGTCCAAACTCATTACATTGGGTATAATAAATATGTGCAGTTTTTTACTTATCAATTACTATGGTTTGAAGGTATCCTTTCCAAAATTCAGGTGTTGCCAATGTGATCGTATTAAGAAATGGGACCTTTAAGATGATTAAGCTATGAGGGCTCCTCCCTCATGAATGGGATGGAGGCCCTTATAAAAGAGGCTTCACACGGCATTTTGAAATCTTGTCCTTCTACCTTCTGCCATGTGAGGACACAGTGCTCCTCTCTTGCAGAGGATGCAGCCCTCACCACACAAACCGGCTGGCACCTTGCTTTTGAACTTCCCAGCCTCTGGAGCTGTGAGAAACTACATTTCTGTTCTTTTTCAATCACCCAGTCTATGGTATTTTGTTATAGTAACACAAACAGACCAAGACATTAATATCTCAATAAAGATTTGTTTTTTTAAAAAAACCTAAACATGCAATTAATATATAACCAGCAGTTGCACTCTTGGGTAATCATGTCAGAGAAATGAAAACTTCCATTTACACAAAAACTTGTATATGAATTTTCATAGCAGCCTTACTACTAATAGTCAAAAACTGGAAAAATAATTTCCTTCAATAGATGAATGGTTAAACCATGGCACACCTATACCATGGAATAGTACTTGGCAATAAAGGAACTACTGAAACACACAACTTGGTTGAGTCTCCAGGGGATTATGTTGAGTAAAAAAAAGCCAGTACCAAAAGGTTACATACTATATGCATCCAATTATATAACAATATTGAAGTGACAAAATTATAGAGATGGAGAAGAGATCACACTTGCCAAAGGTTAGGAATAGGTAAGTGGGGGAAGGAAAAGGAGGATGGGTTTGGTTATAGAAAGGCAAGACAAGCAAACTTTCTGGTGATAGAACGGTTCTGTATCTTGACTATGGTAGGAACATACAAACTTTCTCATCTGATAAAATTGTTTTAAAAAAAAAAGCCGAAAGTCAGACACACAAATGAATACAAACTACAGTCTTATGAGATGTTACCACTGGGGAAAATTGGGGAAAGGGTATCTCTCTGTATTATTTCTTACAACTACATATGAATCTATAATGGCTTCAAGATAAAACTTTTAATTTAAAAAATAACTAACACTAATTTGCATGAAGGGTGTTTTAAAATCTAGATTGAAGAATGCTATCTGTAATATGTGTCATTTCAAACTCACCCAAATTGGGATGGAAGCAGAAAGATGACAAGGCTCTACCTGGGCCCACATTTTCATTTTCTGGTAGAGCAGAGTAATTCACCACACCAGGGTTATTTGCCAGACTGGATTCTCTTCGTGACAGAACTGCCATAGGTACTGCTGTAGTAGCATTGGCAAATGAGATGACAGCATTGGTACTTTCAGCACCTCCACTGATAAAGTTCCATGGCATACCGAAACAAGGAAATGAGCCACCTTGTGCGACATACTGCTGTAATGAACTTGAGGAGACAATTCTGGGATATGATAAACTCTCACTGAGGTCTGCTTCCTGCAGTTCATGACATGCTGCTGACTCAAGAGATGTTACAGCAGGGCTGGCCCAGGCATGGGTTTCCTGCCTTTCCGCTGGTGGTGATATGCTAGACTGTACCTATCCAGGGTAAGAGAACAGAATGAGTAAAGTTATTTTCTTCGGTTCCTAGACTTCAATTTCTCCATGAGACATACAATCAAAACTTTTTTGTGTAAATCCAGACGACCTCTAAAATGACACCAACCCAGTATAAGTCAACTGTAACTTAAAATGAGGCTTAAAAAGTTTATTTAAAAAAATAAGCATTCCTATGTATTTTCCTTGCAACATCATTTTCCATTGTTAAGGATAAATGCTGTACTTTGATTATATGATTTTTATTCTTCTTCAACCCTACATTTTATACATGATATCTACTAACATAAAAATACTCAGTGTTGTAATCTGTCAGACCTAAACTTCAGCATTCTTCCAAGGGAATTGTAGTCCCCCATCTGCTATTAAAGTAAGTAGAGAAAAGCCTTGCTAATCTCAGAGTTACTAGTTCTCTATCAATTCTAACTGATTTGTGTCTTTAGGAGCTAGAGGTTTATCAAAGTTGTAAAAATGTTTTTGTAACACACATTTCATCAAAGGTGGTTGCTCCCAAGAACATTGCACTTCTGAAACAGCTCCACAAAGACGGTCAACCTGCATAGTGGTATTTTCAATAAGATCTTCTAAATTCTATTATATTTAAAAAATAGTAGCTCATATTTCAAAAGAAAAATAACATATGTGAAAATGCCATTAAGTCAAATGTTAACTGCTAGACACAACAAAAGTTCTCAAGCCATCAGAAATGTCTTGCTCCTATTCGAGGCCTGGCTGTAGGTGACACAGAGCCAAGAGGCTGAGCTCAGGAGCCCCAACATCCCCTCTGCTGCTCTACCCCGTGCAGGCACTGAGGATGCTCTAATGCCAGCAAATGAAAGCGCCACAATGCCTCTACACCAGCACATTGATGATGAAGACGCTGCACATCAAGGAAGGTGCTATTTTAGGAAAGAAATCCTCAAATCTGCTAAAAGACCAAATACTCACTTTATAATGTTCATATGTAACATATATGTTCATATATGTACAAATATGAAGTCTATATTATATACAGACAGTGAGTGTTCCACTCCAGAAAGAACATTGAGCCAAATATAACAGATGTGACTTTTGGCTTCAAACATTTTAAAATCATGCAGTCAACAACTAATCTTACAAAACCATTGAGTACACATCCCCTACGTGCCAATCAAGCATATATGACTGATAAAAATCTGAGAATTCTTCTTGAAATACACAGAAACTTTGGGCAAAAAAAAAATACGCTTAAACAAAGGGCCAGAAACATTTCCTCATTCATTCATTCAACTAAACCTTTATTGACGGCCTTCCACCTGGCAGAACTACTTTGCTATGTGTTGGAAACATGGACTGAAAGAAAGCTCCTAGCCAGGCACGGTGGCTCATGCCTGTAATCCCAGCACTTTGGGAGGCCGAGGCAGGCGGATCACTTGAGCTCAGAAGTTCGAGACCAGCCTGAGCAATACAGCAGGACTCCATCTCTAACAAAAAACAACAACAACAACAAAAACTCCGTCTCTAGAAAAAAAAAATACAAAAATGTAGCCAGGCATGGTGGCATGCACCTGTAGTCCCAGATACTTGGGAGCCTGAGGTGGGAGAATCACCTGAGCCTGAGAAGTTGAGGCTACAGTGAGCCATGATTGTGCCACTGCACTCCAGCCTGGGCAATGGAATGAGACCCTGTCTCAAAAAAAAAAAAAAAAAAAAAAAAAAAAAGCTCCTGTCCTAGAGGAACTGCCATCTCAGCTGGGAGAGAGACAAGTAAAGAGAGGATTCCAATAGACAAAGTGATTAGCAGCCTGGAACAGTGGTTTGCAAAGTGGTCCACAAACTGGCAGTATCAACAACACCTGCAAGAAATTAGAAATGCCAAATTTCAGGCCGTACCCCAGACCTCTGGAGTCGGAAACTCTGAGAGTAGGAGCAGTGGTCTATGTTTTCACAAGCCCTCCAGGTGATTCTGATGCTCCCAGTGAGAACCACTGGGCTATGGCACTGAGGTAAACAGTGCAGGCTCTAGGGGAACATGGTTGGGGTCAAATACTAGAGTCCAGCCACTTATTGGCTGTGTGACCCTGAGCAAGTTACTTAACCTCTCTGTGCTTCAATGTCCTCATGTAGGGAATCGGGATGAAAATCTCTCTCAGGGTTCTCTTGAGGACAAGAACCTTGCCATAGTATTAGGTTACTACTAACGGTAACAACACTACACTATGCCCAGTCCAACAGTGCTCAGTGGTCTCTTCATGTTACTATTGTTATTACCAGCGCCATGACACAGGCAGGAACAGGAGGCTAAGCATGCACAGAAGAGTGGGCCTAACCCAGGCTGGCAGTCATGGAGAGCTTTTCAGAGGAGGTGAGGTCTGAGGTGAGAATTAAAACATGAGAAGGAGCTCACCAGGTGAGGATGCATGGAAGGGTTTACAGGATAGAAGAAACAGCAGGTTCAAAAATACCCAGAGAAAAACAGGAAGCCAGATGTGGAGACAGCGAGTATCAATGACATTCCAGGAGCGAGGCTGTCATGGGAAGGAGAGAGTGAGGATGACAGCAAAGGAGGGATGGGAGGCAAGAGAAGTGGCTTCTCCAAGCTGTGGGAGAACACGTAGAGGGGAAGGAGGGTCAGGAGCTAGAGCCAGAGGAGAGACAGAGGGACGCCCGATTGGGGGCAGCTCTGAGTTCGGGGAGGGGACTAGATGCAGAAAGCAGCAAGGATGTCAGCCCAGGCCACTAGAATAGTCGGGAAGGGGTCAGAAGAAGGGCGGGGATGGGGGCAGTTGGTTGGCTGTGGGGACAGATATGAGGAGTTGGAGGAGAGGACTGCCCTAGGCGCTCCACTGTCTCCAGGAGTGAAGAGGCAGGACTAGAGGGCTGAGGTAGGCCGGGGACTGCCAACTGAGGGCGTCCTCCTCTGCTCCCAGCTAAGCAGGACGGAGGTGGACTCAAGAGGGAACTGGTATGAAAGAACAAGGCAAGCTGCAGCGCCACCCCTGTGATCTAGAACGGGCAGGGAAGGAAAAAGCCAGCCCCTTAGGAGCAATGGAGAGGAGCCATTGGGGCCATTTCAGGCTGACCATGGCCCTAGGCACCTCCCCCCACAGATGCTGCCTCCCACCCCAGTGTGCAGGCTTGCTGAGGGGGACCCTGGCCTAGCAGTGCAGGGGGAGGTAGGCTAGGGAGAACCTGCTCCCTCCCTTCCCAGCTCGCCTCTGCACCCACTTCCCCCCAAGACTGCATGTGTCCCTTGGAAGCACTCCGCTTCTGTTCTCCCCCATGATCATGATAAACGCCCAAACAATTTTACTTTCCAAAATATTTTAGCTCATTCCATTCAAGAAACATTATATACGGTAAGAAACATTTTTTTTAATAAACCTTCATTACCTCTGGCTTAGAACTCAGAAAATCCCCGGTAATCACATCTTTACCAACATGGTGATTCTTACAACACCCCCTCAAAACCACCTAAGGTATGGTTCTTTACAAAACCTTGATGGGCTGCCATTTTGTTTCCATTGAGACATCTTGATACACATTCAAGCACATACTAAATTTCATCCAAATCAGCCAATTTCCTTTAAGGATTATTTTGGAGAAATTAAATGTGAAACAATCTAGATGAAAGAGGCTTAACTACATTTGATCAGTTATGGGCTTTTTTGTGAAAAAAAAAGGGGCTATAGAAATTATTTTTACTTCAAATTTTTCACCTTGGGATACTGTTCTAACTAGAAATTTTTTGAAAAATGTATCACAATGAGATGATAATCATACAGAACTTGACACAGCAAAATTTCTATTAACAGTACAATGGTGGTCAGGCACAGTGGCTCACGCCTGTAAGCCCAGCACTTTGGGAGGCCGAGGTGGGCAGATCACCTGAGGTCAGGAGTTCGAGGCCAGCCTGGCCAACATGGCGAAACCCTGTCTCTACTAAAAATACAAAAAGTAGCCGGGTGTGGTGGCGCACGCCTGTAATCCCAGCTACTCGGGAGGCTGAGGCAGGAGAATCGCTTAAGCCCGGGAGGCAGAGGTTGCAGTGAGCTGAGATCACACCACTGCACTCCAGCCTGGGCAATAAGAGCGAAATTCTGTCTCAGAAAAAAAAAAAAAATAGTACAATGGTATTAAATGTGATTAAAAATTTTTTTGGCTCAGTATTTCAGAAAACTACATTTGAGAGACAGAACTTCATACTTTACAACAGTGTTGGAATCCAGAAAGATGGTTTCTATCATTTTCATCACAAGAAACTTCATTGTTCTATTAACATTCTAAAAAATAGGCCAGGTGCAGTGGCTCACACATATAATCCCAGCACTTTGGGAGGCCGGGGCGGGTGGATCACAAGGTCAGAAGATTGAGATCATCCTGGCTAACACGGCGAAACCTTGTCTCTACTAAAAATACAAAAAATTAGCCGGGCGTGGTGGCACGTGCCTGTAGTCCCAGCTACTCGGGAGGCTGAGGCAGGCTGAGGCTTGAATCCAGGAGTAGGAGGTTGCAGTGAGCCAAGATTGCGCCACTGCACTCCAGCCTGGGTGATAGAGCGAGATTCCATCTCAAATATATATATATAAAAAATAAGTAGTCAATGTCTTAATATCACTAGGAGCCAAAGTAAGCACTATAAAAAGAACAGTTTAAATATTTATATTTTTAAATTCTTTTTGTTTCTCCCCTATGTTCCAGAGGATTTCAGAAGTCTTATAAAGCCAAGAAAAAGAGAATATGAGAATAAAAGAGCTGATTAATAAAGGAGGTAGGCAAAGAAGTTATTATATAAGAACCTAGGTTTAAGAAAAGCTACTGAATATCAGTATGAACATATAGTTTTAATATATAGCGAGACTGAAATATAGATGTATGTGTGTGCATGGATTGGGATACCTACATTTATTTCCTAGTTCTGTCCACTGAGAAGGCCTAGGATCAATGACACAAGAGGAGCAATGAACACACCTAGTGTCCAGATCTCGGTTTCTAAATACCAGTCTCCAACTAAAGGAACCGGGGCTCCTTAGAGAACAGTTTAATTCCAGAGCTAAGACAGGGAAAGTACAGATGAGCCTAGACTATCTTGTGATGTCAGAAAACAAGTGAGTATACAAAAAAGGCAGGGACAAGTCAAAAGGCCATGGGAATCAACTGAAGGAGCTCCCAATAGCCAAAGCTGGAAAATTTGATCAATGAAGAAATAATTACAATACTGGATTATAACTCATACAATGCAATAAATGTCCATGAGTCAATATTAATATGAATATACATAATTGAATAAATAAATAGGAGATAAAGGACAGCTCTCCCTTGCAAATGCATTCCAATTAATAAATCCAGAAGGAATGAGGGAGACAGAGAATCAACATAAGGCACACACCACAATAATGGCTGCTGCAGGTAAAATCCATGCATGGATACTAACTTGTCTTGGTGAGTTGAAGAGAAACAGGATATTAGCAGAGTCTCAAAATCCCCTGCCACCCAAAATCTTTATCGTGGGCAATGGGGAAAAATAGTAACTTTACTGTGGAAAAATCTGGAAAACATCATGTTAACCAAGTGATCAATGTTAACATCACCAATAAAAAAAATATCAACACCACCTATCCCCCAATATGATTCAATGAGGAGATAACATCACTCATGTGTTACTCTCTTGCCAAAAATGCATAATCTCGATCTATTCAAGAGAAAGTATCAGACACACCAAGATCGAGACATTTTATAAAATAACTGAGCAGTGGTCATCAATAGTGTCAAAGTCATGAAAGACAAGGAAAGAATAAGGAGCTGTCACAGACTAGAAGAGGCTAAGGAGACACAACTAAATTCAATGTGGGATACTAGATTTTATCCTGGAACAGAAAAAGGACATGGGATTGGGTAGGAATGGCAAAATTCAAACAAGGACCACAGTTTAGCTAATAGTACTACACCAATGTTCATTTCCTGGTTCTGATAACTGTGCTGTGATTATTACAATTACCATAATTTTAAGTTATACATGTAAGTTAACATTAAGGGAAGCTGTGTCAAGCATATATATGAGAATTCCCTGAAATATTTTTGCAACTCTTCTGTAAATCTATAATTCTTTTAAAAATTAGAAAAGCTAATGAAACTGGGTACAAAAATGCTGTGAATTTCCTACTAGATAAGGAAAAGAAGGAAACAAAATGCTTCAGAGCTCATTGTCTAATGAAAAGAAGCATACAGATTCAGGAGAGAGAGATATTTCCTTCAGCCTGAGTTCAGAGTAATTCTGTAGTATATATGAAGACTGAAAAAGAATTCAAATTGCTTTCTTGGAATATATTTGGCAATGAGCATTTAATATTATATAAAGATTCAAAGTCTGGTATACATTCATTAATGATACTTCCACCTTCTTCACAATCAAGTATTCATGTTATTGTCTAAGGAAAAATTATTAATAAACCAAAAGAACATATGAAAGAAAGAAAAGTTCAGAACTTCCATTTCATTTTCAAGAAGCACCTAAGGCCTATTTGTGATATCAAAGGACCTTTGCCCATCACAAATCCTACAACTACAGGAAAAGATATATTTGCAGAATTGTGTTCTCATTAACCCAGCTACACTTAAGACACCATTTTCATCAAGCTTAACCATTTATATACTTCGTGGTAGATAAACGAGTCTTCTAGCACCAGAACTGCTTTAAAAGCAAGTATTTCTAACCATGAACAAAGAACCAAATCTTAAATGGCTTTTGATTTTCAAATAAACCAACAGTGACACTCTGTGGACAAGACAAGAAACACTTAACCATCTATTTTTCTTGATAAATTAATCTGTAAATCATCTTAAAATATTTTTTGGAGTAAGGCAGGGTATAAATAAGTAAACAGACAGTAAATAACCATTATATTTCTGTATAATTATTCTAAAGATGAATTGTGGGCCATAAAAATAATTTTAATATAAACATACCAAGGAGTTACCTACTTCTTTGTTTCAAAATACATGATAAAAAATTAATCGAATTAGCCCAGCATTACAAACTTATTAGATGGCAAAATTATATCAAATTATAATAGATATTAATAATTGTAAACAAAATATTACCATCTTACCCTTGTATAGTGCTTCATGCTTTCCAAAGTGCTTTCAGATAATTATGTACAAAACCATGACACTGGGCAGATAATTAGCATTATCCCCAAAAATGAAAATATTGAGGCTGATAGAAGTTAAGAATTGCCTACACTACTTATGTGGCACTGATATCCACATCCTCATGTAAGTAAACAAATACATTTTCTGTTAAGCCAAATTATATATAGTTTAATAATCTATTTTATTCAACTTCAGAGGTCAAAAAGCACAGGAGAATATAGTGGTAATGTAAAACAGTATGACCACTTAGAAAAACTGGCAATTTCTCATAAACTTTCACCTACCCCATTACCTAAAACTTCCACTCTCAGGTATTTACCCAAATTAAATGCAAACATAGGTTCACAAAGAGACTGCCATAAGCATGTTCATAGTCACTTTACTCCTAATAGCCCAAAACTGCAAACAACCCAAATGTCCATCAAAAGAATGGACAGGCCGGATGCGGTGGCTCACGCCTGTAATCCCAGGACTTTGGGAAGCCGAGGCAGGCAGATCACCTGAGGTCAGGAGTTTGACATCATCCTGGCCAACATGGTGAAACACTGTCTCTACTAAAAATCCAAAAATTAGCCGAATGTGGTGGCGGGCTCCTGTAATTCCAACTACTCAGGAGGCTGAGGTAGGAGAATCGCTTGAACCCGGGAGGTGGAGGTTGCGGTGAGCCGAGATCGTGCCATTGCACTCCAGCCTGGATGACAGAGCAAGACTCCATCTCAGAAAAAAAAAAAAATGGGTAAGCAAATTATGAGTATTCATATGACAGAATACCACTCAGCAATGAACAGGAATGAAATATTAATACTATGAAACAAATCTCCAAAACATTCTTCTCAGGAAAAAAGACTATGACCCAAAACAGTACATACTGTACAGTTCTATTTATGTGAAGTTCTAGAACAGGCAAAACTCATCTAGGATGGAAAAAAAAATCAAAATATATTTCCCCCAAAGTTAAGGGAGATGGGGACTTACTGGGAAGAGGTCCCAGGCCACTTTCTAGGGTGATGAAAATGTTTATTACTGTCTTTTTTTTTTTTTTTTTTTTGAGACAGAGTATTGTTCTGTCACCCAGGCTGGAGTGCAGTGGCGCAATCTCGGCTCACTGCAACCTCCGCCTCCGGGGTTCAAGCGATTCTCCTGCCTCAGCCTCCCGAGTAGCTAGGATTGCAGGCATGCACCACCACGCCAAGCTAATTTTTTTTTTTATTTTTAGAAGAGATGGGGTTTCACCACGTTGGCCAGGCTGGTCTCAAACTCCTGACCTCAGGTGATCTACCCGCCTTGGCCTCCCAAAGTGCTGGGATTACAGGCATGAGCCACTGCGCCCAGCCAAAATGTTCATTATCTTCATGGGGTGTAAGTATACACATTTATCAAAACTCACTGATTTGTGCATTTTACTGCATGAAATTCAACTCCATTTTTTAAAAAGAAATACAGCAGAATGAAAAGAACAAAGAGAGATTTTCACTTTAATAAACAAACCATAATATCTACCTCTGGAGTATAGAATCTTCCTCTTTTTGGAAAATCCACTTCCTCTGAGTTGTAACTGTATCTTCTTAAATGTACTGGGTGGTTTATCTGTGAAACTATTTGGTCACCATGGGCTACTGTGAAGCAATGCATTAAAAAGTTATTTCATACACTACTCTCTTAATAACCTTAATACGGATATGCTCTCAGAATGCTAACTCAAATTGAATTGGACTTTGGGTTGAATTTTAGAGTGACAAAACAAGAATTCTTCCATGACCAATTTAGAGTAACTATTTTAAAACTGAAGGGCTATATTACTTATGACTAGGAATAAGAATCAAATCAAACACAATTACAAACTGTGAAGTGACTGCTTAATAACTTAAAGCCTACATAGTAAATGCTGGAAACAAATGAACAAGAGAACGCAAGGGCTAACTGCTTTTGTAAAGGAGCCCCCAAAAGGCCCTTGACTAAGGAGATGGCATTGTGTCCAAAATGTAAGCCAGGAATCTATTCTAGATCGGACCCCCACTGCTATGTGAGCTGGGCAGACCACTAGAGACACCACCTCCTCATCTGCCAGGTTAACATCAGTTGAGATGATCTCTAAGGTCCATTTCAGCTTTCAAGTTAGGATTGCCTTATTAAATTTTATATTAATCCTAAATAAATGGATGTGAAATGTAAGCCAAACAATCTAGAATTAGGAAGATCTGGTTATGGCTCTGAGTCACCTAACTACGGAACTAGAAGAAGACATTGGCTGCAACAGTATTGGATTGTATCTTGTACTAGAGATTTGCTTTAAAAGCCTGCATCACAGTTACTGGGAGTGACACTTTAATGAAAGAGCTACTTCACTTAAACCTTCCTGAGCCAGGGCAGTAATGAGAGGCACAATTAAGGGATTCAAGTTTCATCTCTTTCCTGTTTCCTTTCATTCTATAGTGGAGATCCTAATGACCAAGGACCCAAAAGAGAGAAATCAAAAGGGGATAAAGAAAATGGGAGAACTAACTCTCAAGTTAGATAAATGCAGACTAATGTTATATAGAAATATCAAGTTATAAAATCCCTCCAGGCTAGACCCGGTGGCTCACACCTGTAATCTCAACATTTTAGGAGGCTGAGGCAGGAGGATCACTTGAGCTCAAGAGTTGGAGACCAGCCTGGGCAACATAGCAAGATATCATCTCTACTAAAAATAAAAATAAAAATAAATACCTGGGCATGGTGGCGTGCGCCTGTCATCCCAGCTACTGGGAAGGCTGAGGTGGAAGAATTGCTTGAGTCCAAGAGGTTGAGGCTGCAGTGAGCTGTGATCATGCCACTGCACTCCAGCCTGGGTGACAGAGCCAGACCCTGACTCAAAAATAATAAGAAGAAGAAAATAAAAGATACAATAAGATACCTCCAAACTGAGCTGTAAATTCAACCAAATTCTATTTTTTAAGCTGTTTTTTTTTTCTGACTATAATGCAAGCTATAAGTAATTACATTCTGATGTATTCAAACAAAGGAACTATACAGCAGTGAGAATAAACCAACTATTGCAGCACATAGCAAGAAGTAAAAAAAGCCAGACACAAGCCAGGTGTGGTGGCACGTGCCTATAGTTCCAGCTACACAGGAGCTGAGCCAGGAGGATCAATTGAGCCCCGGAGTTCAAGTACAGCATGGGCAACACAGTGGGACCCTGTCTCTGAAAAAAATGCCAGATATAAAAGAGAGTATAGCATATGATTCAATTGGTATAAAACTCAAAAACAGAAAAAAGTAATCTATGGTGGGAGAAGTCAGGATAGTGGTTACCTTACAAAGAAGAGTAGTGACTGAAAGGGGGTGGATAGGATTCTAGGGAGCTCATAACCTTATATTTCTTGGGATGGGTGCTGGTTATATGCATGTATTACTTTGAAATTTATTTAAGCTGTATATTTATGATGTGTGCATATTTTGTATGTCATAGACTTCCATAAAAAGTTCACCTATGGCCGGGCGTGGTGGCTCATGCCTGTAATCCCAGCACTTTGGGGGGCTGAGGCGGGCGGATCACTTGAGGCCAGGAGTTCAAGACCAGCCTGGCCAACAATGTGAACTCCTCTCTCTATTAAAAATACAAAAATTAGCCAGGCGTGGTGGTGGCAGCTACTCAGGAAGCTGAGGCAGGAGAGTCACTTGAGCCCGGGAGGCAGAGATTGCAGTGAGCCGAGATCACACCACTGCACTCCAACCTGGGCGACAGAGAGAGACTCTGTCTCAAAAAAAAAAAAAAAAAAAAAAAAAGAAAGAAAAAAAAATTCACCTAAAAAATTCAGCTCATTACAAATAATTCAGAATCTAAATAAAAAGAGAAAGCAATCCATCAGCAATAAATATTGTAACCTTTAAATACATTTATTTATCTTACTCATATATTTTTAAGCAATTTTGTGTGTCATTTATAATTTTAAAAATATTTTTAAATGCCTGCATAATATTCCATTTTATGGATGTCCAGAGGTTCTGTTATCTGTTTTCCACTGTGGGACATTTATATGGCTTCTAATTTTTCACTATTTTGATATAATGATGTGTATACATTGAAAGGCAAACATTTATCATTTTAATCATTTGTAAGTATACAATTCAGTGGCATTAAATATATTCAGGTAGTTGTATAACTATCCTCACTATCTATACCCAAAATATTTCTATCATCCCCAACATACACTCTGTACCCATTACACAATAACTCCCCCTCACCTCAGTCCCTGGTAACCTCTATTCTACTTTCTGTCTCTATGATATCAGATGTTCTATAACACACTAAAGAAGTATCCTGCTAGCCCTGCATATAGTTTTAAAACCAAAACAGATAAGTGGTATCAAATGACTTTTTTGGTATCAGATCAGGGATCAGCAAACCACCACCTGTGGACCAAATCCACTTTGCCACCTGTTCTTGTATAGCTCATAAGCTAAGATATTATGGACTTTTTTTACATTTGTAAATGATGGGGGGGAGAATATTTCATGAAATGGAAAAATTATAGGAAATTCAAATTTCAATGACCATAAAGTTTTATTGAAACACAGCCACAACCATCTGTTTACATATCAGCTGCTTTCATGCTATAAAGGCAGAGTTAAATACTTAAAGCAGAGAACTTATGGCCTGCAAAGCCTAAAATATTTATTATCTGGCCCCTTACAGAAAAAATTTGCCAGTCTCCAACATAGGCAATAACATTTCCATGTTTTAAAGAGAAGAAAATCCAATTCTCTAAGCAAAGGGCAAAGAACAAATTGTCATACAGCTAAGGAAGAAATATTCCAAGGAGTTAACGTCTCATGGCTCTCTGTACAAGTGAGGATGTGGATGGTCTCACATTTCCTAGAGAGCCATTCAAAGGACCAGTGGCTATAGCAGTTCTGGTTGCAGGACTCCACTTTCCATGGGGTCTTGGATGCTAATGTAAATTTCAAATTCCAATTGTTTACTGTTGGCATGTAGTAAAGTGATTAACTTTTGTATATTAACCTGTTTCCTGCAACCTTGCTATAATCACTTATGACTTCCAGGAGATTTTTGTTGCTTCTTTGAGACTTTCTACATAGATAATCATGCCACCTGCTCCATGGACTCTTGACTCAAGCTGTTATTCCTAGAAGTTCAGTTTTAGCTTTTTACTTTTGCATTGCCACCAAATTGTTACAATTATAGTTGCCAGATATAAATAATTGTTCAAAGACAGAGAATATATTCTCCCCAATGCTTCCTGGGACTGTCTCACACAGAACAAAGGAGACATGGCAAAGCTTAAGTGAAGGGAAAATGCAAGCAGAAGTAAACATTGTGGTATTACCATGAAGCTAAGCCCTCTGGTCATAACTAATTACTGTAAAGGTTACAGGAATATTTAAGCAATTTACTGGAAATGGGGACCAGAGAGTAAAATTTTGCCAAGGATGAAATTTAACAAAATTACCATATGACATTTGGAGTGGACGGTGATGGCCATCATTGCCGCCTGGAAAATTTGGTTGTGTGGCTGTGTCATCAGTGGGATTATCTGCTGTGACATAAGTGGAATCATCTGCTATGTCATTAGTGGAATTATCTGCTGTTTCAGAAACTTCCACCATCTCAATACTGCAATCATTGTTATCATCACTGTCGTCGACAGTTATAATAACAAAATCTAAGAATAAGCAAAGAGGAAGATTAGATTCAATATCACATTAAATAAACAGTTTCTTGAGGAAGCTACCTTATAAAGTTATAGATTGTTTAAAAAACATATTTTAGCTGAAAATTTGTATTACATATTTTTATATCTGTAATCATTACAAGTTAGTTAATGAACCAATAGTAGGAAGTTTTGAAGTATGTATATATGTATGTATGCATATACACACATAGACTACTATCTCTAGTACTTCCAATTTCGTAGAGCAATAAATTTCTTCTCATTTAAGAAATGTGGCCAGCTGGCCCATGCCACAGTGTTCAATGATATGCTTTTAACTTAAACGATGCAACTGGTGTTAAGTAGACATACTTGTGGTGACCATGAAGTTCTAAATTTGTTCTCTAAAAACTAATATTAATGTCTATGATGACTGATAATGCAGAAATAAAGTGCAAAAGTAAATGTTGTTATGAAATGAATTAAAACTGAATCTCACAAAATGTGAAATAGGTAATGACAAATATACCAGATGTGAAATATCAACTAGGTAAACCATTTTAATGAATATGAAAACACATTATGCAAAATGTCCAAGATCAAAATAAGCTTTATTTCTTAAAGCTGGCCTGAAAAAGAACACATTTAAGCTTGAAGTATTCACTCACAGACCACATTTAAACTACATCATAACTTGGATTTATTCTATTTATTTCAAATAGACTAATGCAGGAGAATAAAATAATTAGCTAGTGTGAGGGGCATGTGATGATTTGAAAATGGTACTAAATTAGGAATCACAGAATGAAGGTTCCAATTCAGGCTCTGTAATTATCCAGAGGTATGACCGTTGGGCCAGATAAATTGACTCTTTTGCCTCTGTTTTCTCACCCGTAAAAAGTGGGGTTTTTTTAAGAGTCACTCTGAAGTCTACTTAATAGTCTTCATGGAAAAAAAATAGAACATTAGAAACCACCTAATTATCTAAACCAAAGTATTAAATAAACAAAAGCTTAAATAAATTTTGGTATTTCCCTGAGCTGGAATGGTATATTGCCAATAAGAAGTGTGTTCTCAGGCAGGGCGCGGTAGCGAACGCCTGTAATCCCAGAACTTTGGGAGGCCAAGTGGGGCAGATCGCTTGAGCTCAGAAGTTCGAGACCAACCTGGGCAACATGGCGAAATCCTGTCTCTACCAAAAAATAATAATAATAATAATAATAATAATAGAAAAATTAGCCGGGAGTGGTGGCATGTGCCTGTAGTCCCAGCTACTTGGGAGGCTGAGGTAGGATGGCTTGCACCCGGGAGGCTGAGGTTGCAGTGAGCCAGGATCCCGCCACTGCACTCCAGCCTGGGCGACAAAACGAGACCCTGTCTCAAACAAAAAAGAAAGAAAGAACAAGAAGAAGAAGAAGCATGTTCCCAAAGAAAATGTACTAATACTAGATATGCTTGTGAAATAAAGTTAAATAAAGTTAAAGGGGAGAAAAGGATTCAAAACAGAAAAATACAGTATAATCCTAACTTTGAGAGCCAAAGGTAACATACCAATGGTTATCTAGGTGGCTATTACTGAATAGCAAATTTATTATCATTAGACTTTTCTGTCGATTCTGTACAAGGAACTTTAGATTCTGTCATCAGAAGAAAATAACCAAGGCAACTGAAAGTGTATTTTTAAGACAAGCTTTTGTATATCAACAGATCTTTCAAACTAGAGCTAGTAAAGCTATTGACAACACCGCTAAGGTTTCTCAGTAAATATGTAAAAGTCCAATCAGTTCTTTTAGGTGTACACATAACTTTCCCAATTAAATTTTAAAAGACATTTTAACACTTAGAAATTGTTTGAAGATGGCCGGGCGTGGTGGCTCTCACTCGTAATCCCCGCACTTTGGGACGCCGAGGCGGGCGGATCACTTGGGGTCAGGAGTTCGAGACCAGCCTGGCCAACACAGTGAAACCCTGTCTCTACCAATACAGAAATCAGCGGGGCGAGGTGGCGTGCGCCTGTAGTCCCAGCTACTCGGGAGGCTGAGGCCGGAGAATCGCTTGAACCTGGGAGGTGGAGGTTGCAGTGAGCCGAGATTGCGCCATTGCACTCCAGCCTGGGCGACAGAGAGAGACTCTGCCTCAAAAAAACAAAACAAAACAAACAAACAAAAACAAGAAATTGTTTGAACATTATACTACCAAGGCGCAAGGCTTTCAATTGCCATCAACTCATCAGATGAGGCACAGCTCACAATGAGTTCTGAAAACGGCTTTTCACGCCGGGACCACTTTGAGGAACACACAGCAAAACGGGGCCAATTACAACAGCCAGACCGCTCCGTTTGTTTTAAGAACAACCACTTTCTAAACCTTCCTGCGGGACTCTCAAAGGCAGCCCTTCCTTTGCCGCCAGAACCGTATCCCATCGCCCAGCACTTGCCACAGGCCGGACAAGTGAGGCTCAAAAAGGCACCCAGCCCACGCCTCGCTTTAGAAAGCAAGGCGCAGCAAAGCTGCTGGAAAAATCGCTTTTAGTCAACCTGAAGCCAGTTTGCCGCACTCGGGGAGAGCCGGGAGGGACGCGATCCGCCACCAGCCAAATCAGGGCCTTTCCTCTTAACGACCACGCGGCAAGGGGGCCGGGCCCTCGCACGCCTCGACGGCCTCCCCCACTCCAAAGGGACTCCGATTTCGCAGGATCTCCCAACTTCCGCCTCTGTTCCCAACACCCTACGTGTTTCTCTTCCTCCTCATTTACGTATTTACAATAAAACAGCGAAGCTGCACAGTCTGTCTCTAAATCAAACTCGGTTACCATCAAAGCCTCAGACTCTATGTCTCAACCGCAAAATGTCTGACAGGAAATCAACTCGGGAATTTGTCAATTCTTTAGACTCAAAGCTCTCACCCAGTGGGGTGGTTCACGCCAGTAATCCTAGCACTTTGGGAGACTGAGGCGGGAGCATTGCCTGAGCCCAGGAGTTCGAGACCAGTGTGGGCAACATGACGAAATCCCGTCTCAACAAAAAATACAAAAATTAGCCGGGCGTGGTGGTGCACGCCTGTAGTCTCCGCTCCTCAGGAGGCTGAGGTGAGAGGACCGCTTGAATCCAGGAAGCGGAGGCTGCAGTGAGCCGACATGGCGCCCCTGCACTCCCACCTGGGCACCAGAGCAAGACTCTGTCTGAAAACAAAACAAAACAAAACAAAACCAAGCAAAAACAAAAACAAAAAACAACAACAAAAAACCTCTGTGAAAGTCTGAGTCATTCCTCATTCCTCGCCCCCCCATACCCCGCCTCACCAAAAAGAGAACAGCTGAAAAAGGATAAGCTCGTCCCAGAAAGTCAGCATCAAGTATCTAATAAGCTTCGAAATCTCAAAATGTAACCCACGCGGGCACCCCGGGAGAGGCGGCGGGTACCACCCAAAGCACCCCCTCAGAACACCCGGAATTTGAGGCTGTGCCCCAGCCGCTATGCCAAAACGCTGAACAGGGCTGTGTTCCGCGGCTGCCCACCAGGGAAAACCAATAAATTCAAGAAAAAGTGCGGCCGCATAGATCTGTATCGCCGGAGCCCGGCGTCGCGAGCGCCGAGATTGTTTCCCAGCCACTCGAGGCTCCGGAAAGAACCGCGGGCCAGAGGGCAACCAGGCCCAGCCTCTTGACGCACTCTCGGCACAAGCCCAAGTCACCCCAACCCTGAGCCACCAAGAGCCACGGAGACGCCATGAGCCTCAGGATCACCTCACGTCTCCGGGACATCTTGAGCCCCTGAGACGACCTGAACCCTGGGCCATCTCGGTCCACCACGCCAAATTTCCCACCGGCGCGCTGAGCAATCGGCGGCAGATGGCCAATACCCAGAGGCCGCCCCCCGACACGCCCCGGTCAATGACTAGCCAATCCTGCCGCCCCTGAATGGCCACCTAAGTGGGTGCCATCCAGACTCTTGACAGAACTTGAGGCCCAAGCTAGCGGGCCAGTTGAGGCGAGGTCACTTTACCCTGTTCCTGGGTCCTCTCTGACATCGTGAGATGGCGGGGTCTGGCTCTGAGGCCCGAGACCTGAGGCCCGAGACCTGAGGCCTACGTCTGCGCCGCGGCTCTGAGGTAACTGCTTGGTAACTGTGTGGTAACTGCGTACACTCGTTGTCCGAGGCACAATGAGGCCCGGGCAGGAGCCTGGACCACGTCTCCGCGGCTGCGCAGTAGCGCTTGGCATGCGTGCGTGACTCCTGGGGGTCAAAGGGCCTCGCCCTCTCCCCCACTTTTGACCTACTTTCTTAAAGAGTCCCTTTTACAAAAATATACATATGTATGTATATATATATTTGTACTATATATGTGTGTGTGAATATATGTAGATATAGATACAGAAGTAGAGATAGAGATAGAGATAATGAACTGGAAGCCAACAGTGTAATTCTGCTCGTCCCAAAACGCACATCATAAAAAAAAAGTCCAATGTAAGAGACTTTCTAAATCTTCCTGCGGGACTCTCAAAGGCAGCCCTTCCTTTGCCGCACTCGGGGAGAGCCGGGAGGGAGGCGATCCGCCACCAGCCAAATCAGGGCCTTTCCTCTTAACGACCACGCGGCAAGGGGGCCGGGCCCTCGCACACCTCGATGGCCTCCCCCACTCCAAAGGGACTCCGATTTCGCAGGATCTCCCAACTTCCGCCTCTGTTCCCAACACCCTACGTGTTTCTCTTCCTCCTCGTTCAGACCCTCTAGTGTTTTCCAGGTTGCTTCCTCATATCCGATACCGGCTTTGGGAACAAATCCGAAAACAAGCCAACTTTGAAAATGTGCCCCTAATAAATACCTAGCAACCCCTCCCCTCCTTCCTGCCCCCTCTAGTAGTCTGCAGTGTATTGTTTCCATCTTTGTGTCCCTGTGTACCGGATCTTTAAGCTCCTGCTTACAAGTGAGAAGATTCGGTATGTGGTTTTCTGTTTCTGTGTTAATTCACTTATGAGAAAGGCCTCCAGCTGTGTACATGCTGCTGCAAAGGACATGGTTTTGTTCTTTGTTATGGCTGCATAGTATTCCATGGTGTATATGTACCACATTTTCTTTATTCAGTCCACCATTGATGGGCACCTAGATTGATTCCATGTCTTTACTATTGTCTTCACATCTTTCAAAACCTCTCTCGGTACTACATCTGTTCGAATAATACCTCCATCAAGACACTTTCCTATAGCCCCCTGGTAAGAAGGATCCCACAGCAGGTAATCTTCACGTCCCTATTAGTATTTAAATTACTTTGCCTGACATTATAAATCCTCGTCAACATGCCTCTCTCCTAAGTTCCTGGAGGACAGCACCATGTCTTATTTATATTTGAACACCACCTCCCTCACAAGATTCTAAGAATTAAATGTTATAAAATAGAAAGCACCCAGTGCCTGGAATTTGGGATCCATTTCTTCACTGTGTCAGTTACACAATGACTCTTGTGACTGTGTGTCTCCTCATTTGGGGGAAGGGTAAGAATTTCTTTACTTGTGAGAAGCAAAGGTGTATATTGTTAGGTAGAAACACAGACTTGTTTTGCTATCGTTCCAGAGTGTACATATGTGTAGGAGGATGCATAGAGAAACTGAGGGCTGAAATGGATACACTGTGCTGGTTACCAATGTGTTACCTCTCACCTCCAACTTCACCCACTTTTGCCGACTCTGTGAAAATGGATGTGGGCCCTTTAAATATTTTTCCCTTTGCCAGTGACACAATTTAAGCCTTTGGCAGTAGAAGGTGCTAAAAGGAGAATGTAGGAGGAAAGAGTTTTTTTGCCTCCTGGTTGACCTGTGCTCTCTGAGGACATTGATGCAAAGTGTAGCTTTCTCCTGCAGGAGAGGGCAGATTTCCAGTACTTTAAAGAGGGCATATTTGCAGCAAGTTCGTGAAGTTGCAAGGTTGGGTTTCCAGCAAATTCCAGAGAACAGATTTACAGCAAAGTCCACCAGTGCAGCCATTCAGTGAGTCTTAGACACTGTGTCTCAACCCTAAGGGTAGGGCCTGTTTCTTATACCTGTAATTTGTAAAGAATATTTTAGAGTTTTCTTATTAGCTAATCTCTCATTACTCCAGTCCTCTTTTATATTTAATATATTTTTCTTTTTTTTTTTCTGAGACAGGGTCTGGCTCTGTCATCCAGGCTGGAGTACAGTGACTCAATCATGGTTCACTGCAGCCTGGATCTCCCGGGTTCAAACGATCCTCCCACATCAGCCTCCCGAGTAGCTGGGACTACAGGCGTGCGCCACCATGCCCAGCTAATTTTAATTTTTTTTGTTGAGGTGGGGTCTCCCGATGTTGCCCAGGCTGGTCTCAAACTCCTGGGCTCAAGTGATCCTCCCACCTCGGCCTCCCAAAATGTTGGGATTACAGGCATGAGACACCACACCCAACCAATAATTCTTTACATTAAACTTTCCCTGTTCAAATTACTGCATGGTATTTCTCTTCATATTGGACCTGGAGGGATGCACCCACCTTTTGGGATTTCCTTTTAGCACACAGTACTCAACAGGTACACAAGTTTGTTCATGGACTGTAATTGAATAGCCAACAGATACTCAGTAATCCCCTTCAGTTTAATTTCTGGTCAGTCCTCTCCATTCATTTGCCTGACCTCTGTTCTCCATGGAAGGAGATGGGAGGGAGGGAAGAAACACTTTCCTACTGTCACACCTAAGACTGGTTTTCCATTTCCTGTCCTGCCTAAGCTACATTAACCTGAGCAGGGAAGAACCGCAGGCAAGGGAGGCTTCCCAGCGATGGGAGAAGTGAGAGGAGATGCTGCAAAGCTGTCTGTTCCCAGGTGCAAGCTGGACCACGGCAGCTACAGAGCAGGTATTTCTGTCAACAGCCAATACAGTCACGGCAATGTGGAGTTCCACAGACTGTAATTGTGGACTGGTGAACATCTTCTGAAAGACAACTTTTTAAAAAGCTGGATGCAATGTTTTTTAAATATTATAGCATTAGGCCGGGCGCGGTGGCTCACGCCTGTAGTCCCAGCACTTTGGGAGGCCGAGGCGGGTGGATCACGAGGTCAGGAGTTCAAGACCAGCCTGGCCAAGATGGTGAAACCTGGTCTCTACTAAAAATACAAAAATTAGCCAGGCGTGGTGGCAGGTGCCTATAGTCCCAGCTACTCGGGAGGCTGAAGCAGGGAATTGCTTGAACCTGGGAGATGGAGGTTGCAGTGAGCCGAGACCACGAAACTGCACTCCAGCCTGGGCGACAGAGCAAGACTCTGTCTTAAAAACAAAAGCATATATATATATATATATATATATATATATATATATATATATATACCATTAAAGAATATCATAAAGTTAACAATTACTGAGCTAAGATCTGAGAAAGACCCAAAACCTAGATAGGTGTGAGAAACTGAAAGCATTGCTTTTGTTCTTGGACATTTGCTGATGCAGAAGAGGCCAAAGGAGGCTGAGCTACACGTTGGGTGGTTTTGTGGGACTGAGGAACAAAAGTTGGAATCTGGGACCCACCAAAGGAGGAGAGTTTGCAAACCACCTCCCACCTCAAACTGGGATCACAAAGAGACAAATCTTCAGAGTAAAGGTAACCAAAAATTAACCACGTAGTCTCTAGATCAGCCTCATGTCACCTGCGAATTTAGCACTCCCAGGTGCCTGCATAAAGCAAGCAGATATTCTCTCTTGCAAAGATAATGGTAACTTATTTCTACAAAGAATTACTTATTTTATTTATTTATTTTCAAAGATATTCTTTTAAAAATTTTTTATTTCAATAGCTTTTGGGGTACAAGTAGTTTTTTGTTACAGGGATGAAATATATAGTGGTGAATTCTGAGATGTTACTGCATTCGTCACCCGAGTAGTGTACACTGTACCCAATCTGCAGAGTCTCACTCTGTTGCCCAGGCTGGAGTACAGTAGCACAGTCTCGGCTCACTGCAACCTCTGCCTCCCAGGTTCAAGTGATTCTCCTGCCTCAGCCTCCTGAGTAGCTGGGACTACAGGTGCGCGCCACCACGTTTGGCTTATTTTTGTATTTTTAGTAGAGACAGGGTTTCACTATGTTGGCCAGGCTGGTTTTGAACTCCTAACCTCTGGTGATCTGCCAGCTTCAGCATCCCAAAGTGCTGGGATTACAGGTGTGAGCCACTGCAGTTTTTTTAATTCCACACCGTCCTCCCACTCTCCTTTTTCTGAGTCTCCAATGTCCATTATACTACTCTGCATGCCTTTGTATACCCATAGCTTAGCTCCCACTTATAAGTGAGAACATGCAGTATTTGGTTTTCCATTCCTGAGTTACTTCACTTACAATAATAGCCTTCAGCTCTGTCCAAGTTGCTGCAAAAGACAGTATTTCTTTCCTTTTTATGGCTGAGTAGTATTCCATGGTGTATATATACCACATTTTCTTTATCCACTCATCGGTCAATGGGCACTTAGGTTGGTTCCACATCTCCGTAATTGTGAATTGGGCTGTAATAAATCTATGTGTGGCAGGTGAATCACTTGAGGTCAGGAGTTCAAGATCAGCCTGGCCAACATGGTGAAACTCCATCTCTACTAAAAATACAAAAAAACAAAAAAATTAGCCAGGCATGGTGGTGGGCACCTGTAATCCCAGCTACTCAGGAGGCTGAGGCAGGAGAATTGTTTGAACCCGGGAGGCAGAGGCTGCGGTGAGTCGAGATCACGCCTTTGCACTCTAGCCTGGGTGACAAGAGCAAAACTCCGTCTCGCAAATTAAATAAATAAACAAACAAATAAATAAATCTGCATGTACATGTGTCTTTTTCATATAATGACTTATTTTCCAGTAGTGGGATGGGTTTGCTGGGTCGAATGGTAATTCTACTTTTAGTTCTTTAAGGAATCTCCACTTTGTTTTCCATAGAGTTTGTACTAATTTACGTTCCCACCAGCAGTGTTTATAAGCGTTCCCCTGTCACCATGTGCATGCCAACGTTTATTGTTTTTTGAGTTTTTAATAATGGGCATTACAAAGAATTTTGAAATAGAATATCCAGCATAAAATGAAATAGAACCAGATATAGGAGGAGATAAGACAGCAGGAGAAAGAAGAAATGGAAACATCTATACTGGGGGACACGGGCCTTCTGCCGCCCCCTACCCCCCACTCCCCAACAACCACAGGTATCTTCCTGCCAGAGTGGTCCTGGCATGGGCGCTGGCCTAGCCATCTCAGTCCTCTGAAGGAAGCTAGCTCTGTGAGCCTCTTGGGACATCCCGGGGGAGGACCCAGACTGAAAACCCTGGAGGGTCCAAGTTTTCAGAAGGGAGCCTCCTCACCCTTCATTCATGGGAAACCTCCGTGTCCCAGCAAAGCTGGGAAGAGAGAAGCTCGCTGGCCTGGGAGTTGGCAGCTTCAGTGGCAGGCTAAAATGAAAGCTGGGGACACAGCGCACTGCAAGGTGTGGAGTTGAAGCAGAGGCCTTGACGTTTCTGGGGAGGAGAGGAACAGAGCAAGTGAAGGCTGGGGATCTTGGAATGCAACTCATGGAAGGAGGGAACGCATTCCCCAGGGGAGCTGGAGGAGGGAAGGGGTGGCAGGAGTGCAGGCCCAGACTGGCAGCCTCTGCCCTCGAGCAAGTGGGGAGGGAAAGCCAGGGCACTCCCACAACACAGCCTGTATTGGTCACTCTGCCAGACACCGGGTTCCCCACCCCGGCTGCACCCCAGGATCACCAGGGGAACTGTCAAGACCCCTGATGCCCAGCCTGAGCCCACAGATGCCCATGTGCCTGGTGGGGGCAGCCAACTCGGGGTTCAGAAGCTGCAGGCGCCTCTCATGGTGGCCAGGCCGGATCACCTACTTGCAGCTCCACGCACTGTCAGCAACAGGATCAGGACGTTGAAGCCTCACACCGACCAACGAGGCAGGTTCCTAGCATCAACCTAGTTGATGTGCAGTGGAAGCAAGCAGGCCTTGCCCTGCCTGCTGGGCCTGCAAGAAGAGGGGAAGAGTTGACTTAAATGCAGCCCACAGGACACGAGAGGGGACAATATGGCCAGAGAGCAGCATCCAGCTGGCCATGGCGCCACTCTCCACTTGTTTCCACTCCACTCCATTCAAACTCCTGCCACCCCGGGGGGTCCATCTCACCAGGCACAGTGGTCGTCACCCGTGGCCTGGAGCCCCGGACACAGCTCCAGTGGCCTGGCCAAGGTGTGCAACGCCATGCTTTCATGAGGCCCTGAGAGCCTGCTGCTTTGTTGACCCCAGTGTTTGCAGTGGGTTTTTGGCCCTAAGGGCAGCAGGTTTGACAAAGGAGTGTGTATTAGTCAGGGTTCTCCAGAGGGACAGAACTAATAGGATAGATGTATATATAAAGGGGAGTTTATTAAGGAGGATTGACTCACACGATCACAAGGTAAAGTCCCACAATAGACCATCTGCAAGCTGAGGAGCAAGGAAGCCAGTCTGAGTCCCAAAACCTCAAAAGTAGGGAAGCCAGCAGTGCAGCCTTCAGTCTGTGGTCGAAGGTCCAAGAGTCCAAAAGCTGAAGAACTTGGAGTCCGATGTTTGAGAGCAGGAAGCATCCAGCATGGTAGAAAGATGTAGGCCAGAACACTAAGCCAGTCTAGTCCTTCCATGCTCTTCTGCCTGCTTTTATCCTGGCCGTGCTGACAGCTGATTAGATGGTGCCCACCCAGATTGAGAGTAGGTCTGCCTCTCCCAGTCCACTAAGTCAAATGTTAATCTCCTTGGCAACACCCTCACAGACACACCCAGGGACAATACTTTGCATCCTTCAATCCAATCAGGTTGAAACTCAATATTAACCATCAGTGGGTATGTTCTTTGTAAGGACAGGGAAAGGCCCAGAGGAGCTGCAGAGCAGCACCGAGCTCCGGCCATCGGTTGTGAAAGCTGGATCCCATGTGTTCATGGGCACAGACACGTGTCTGTGTGTGAGTGTGTGCATGCGTGTGTCAGAGAGAAAAAGAGAGAGGAGGGAGGGAGGAAGATGGATGGGGTTGAGATGGCGATGAAAAGGGGAGACAGGCTGAGCATGGGACAGAGTGACAGGCTAGCACCTCACCATTTCTGTGTTACCTACAAAACGGTGACCTTAGTAGAGTAAAATTTGCCTGAGAACTTCACCCTGTCTCCCAGGCTGAGTCTAGCACTCAGCCTCCTGGGGGGCGGGTAGCAGAGTCTTAGGTGTGCCCCAGAGGTGGTGGAAGGTGGCAGCACCTCCAGCTGGAGGAGGCCTCCTAATTAGGCGCAACCTGAGCTGTCACCTCCTCCGACCCCATCAGCCCATGCTGATTGCCACCAGGTGCATGACTCTGGGGCACACCTCTCACTCACCTAGCTCCTGGTGGGGAAGCAAATCCCATGTGGCTTCCTCCCGCGCCTGCGTTTGGGTGGGGGAACCGGCCTGCACCATCCTACCCTTTCAGGGCCCCAGGAGACTGGGCCCCAGCGCACTTTGCCTTCCTGCTCGCCCAGTTCAACAGAGTCTGCAGCCTCGAATCCAGATCACAGAGGGCCAGGCTACAGTGACCTTTCTGGATTCTGTACCTTGACGTTTTCATGCCGAGAAAGCAAACAGGAAAGACGCCTTTTGAACGCTGTAGTCAAAGTTTCCGCTAAGACCACTGCAGAAAGCTCAGCTTCTCAGACCTCAGGCAAGCTTGAAAGTACTTTCCTCTACCATTTTAAAGAGAAAGGGAGTTGTGCTTCACTCGCGGTCATTAACCCAACAACTTGGGCTAGTCTCAGAGGGACACTTGCTCTTCTGAGCACAGCCCAGGAAAAGGCAGAAAGAAATTATTCGAGTGGACCCCAAGGAAAATACGCTGTTGGGATGCACATCCTAGGTAGTGCGCGGAGCAGATGGTCAGCTCCTGTTGGCTGAGAGCTCCAGAGCTCCCAGAATACCAATCTGATTGTGTGGCCTCCCGCCATTGATCACCCTTCAGTTGATTCCCACAGCTCCTGGGATCCCATTCAAAGCCGACCCAAGGTCCTTCCTGCTCCAGGCCCTGCTCAGCTGTCCAGAACCCAAGCTCAAAAGAATTTGGAGAAGGAATTTAAAGTCTTCCTTAATAGTAAGGTTTCCTGGGGCTGCAGTTCCACTGTGTGTGTGGCTGGGTGAGCTGTGGCCAGGCTGTAGAAAAGGGAGTAGCAGGGGAGTGGGGGTGGGAAAGGCAGGGAGACAGGCAGAGACAGAGTGGGCACCCTTTGGGATGAGGCACTTCCCCTTCTTGATCTCCCTGAACTGTCAGGGGAGGGGCGATCCTCATTGGACCAAGCAGAAAACAGACTCGGATTGCCTGAGCCCTGTGACAAAGCCACACAGGCAGAGGTGGCAGAGGAGGGGGGCCCAGCTCTGAGTGCCTTGGGCAGGTCTTTCCCTCTCCAACCCCTTTCTTAAAGGCTCTGAGGTTCTTGGACGGAGGAGGGGCCCTGAAAGGAGAGGCAAGGAAAGCGCCATGGAGGGGCCTCCGTGGACAGGGCCAAGCCAGCGGGAGCCAGCCCTGAGAACAGGCGGCGCCCATGGGCCCTCCGCAGGCCCCCAGCAGGAACTGGTAGACCGTCTGCGTGCACTGGAATTTCTGACTTGGTGTGGGTTTGGTGACCCGCGCACGTGTTGGTACGGGAGTCTGTGTGTTGCCTTCACCCAAGGGGCACCCTGTCCTGGACTCCCGCCTCCCTGGCTTCCAGTGCTGGGCCTCTGCTCTCTGTGGCCCCCTGACCCTGGCACCCCCCGTGGATGGCTTGAGAAGCCTCTGCACCTCCCCTCCAGGCTCCACGACTCCTCCCCCTGCAAAATGACGCCAACTGCTGTTGGACCCCGGCCCCGTGGCCCAAGGGCTATCTCTGATGGTCTCCATTTTCACTGCCCTCTCCAGCCCCGCCGCTGCACCAGGAGATCAAGCTCCCCAGCCCTCTCACTGAGCCCCCGGCCCTCACCCGCGAATCCCATCTGAGCAGTCCTCCTGCCTCTCAACCTGCCTCGGGGCACGGTGTCCTCTAAACAACCCCCTTCCAACCTGAGCTCTTCGCGCCTCTCTTACGTGTAGACAGCGGCTCCTGGTGCCTGAAGCCAAGCCCTGTCTACAGGCCAGGAGCCCCAGCTCCCTCCCCCGACGGCAACACGACAGCAGGACCAGCCCACCCCGAAGGACAGCCAAGCCCCTGGCCGGAGGCTTGCCTCACACGCTTGCGGCCGCGTGTTTTCTTCTCCAGCCACTCAAATTCTCACGTTTCTTTTCCTCCCTGAACCCACCCCCCAGTCCCTCCTTCCACCACCTTCCGCCTCGTGGGTCCTGCAAGCGCAGTTAGCCACAGCCGACCACCGGCTTTCTGCAGTCCAAATCCACTGGCTCCTCCCAGCTTTCCTCTGCCTTGGGGTCCCGTGAATTTCAGCGTGCATGGCCACTCCTGCTGAGCTGTGTCTTGACTCCTGGAATTCACTTCTTCATTGAACACATCCTCACTGAGCACCTCCAGGGCGCCATGCACAATCATGAGGCGGGGACAGAGAGAGGCGGGGACAGAGCGGGCAGCCGCACACACCAGGCCTTGACCTTGACCTTCTGGTCAGCAAGGGGAGGGAAAACAGAAATGAACAAAATTCTTTCCGAAGGCGTGTGAAAGGGGATGACAAGGAAGGGAGGACGTGCCAAGAAGGACAGTCACAGAAGACTTCTCTGAGAGGCCACATTGGAACTGAGACATGAATTGTTCAAAGAGGAAGAAGCCCCAACACCTGGGAACAGAGAAACCCAGGAAGAGCCACTGCAAGGCGAGGCCTGAATTCAGGAGGAAGCTGGACATGCGGAAGCCTTGGAGAAATGGCCAGGGCAGCTTCACAAGAGTGGCCGAGAAGAGAAGGATGGGTCCAATATTCAGTAAGGGTCAGAATCAAGTAAGACAACTAGAGAAGGGAAGGAAACACATCACGGGTAGATATGGACCCTACTAAAACAGAAAGACATGGACAGGAGCAGAAGAGGTGTGAGGATGGAGCACAGAAAGACAGAAGAGACGGGCGGGGGCAGATCCTGTGTGAGTACCAATGAAAGGAAGACAGGAAGAGATGGTCAGAGCCACATCATGTGTTGGCATTGAGTGTAATACAATAAGGCATAGGCTGGGCATGGTGGCTCATGCCTGTAATCCCAGCACTTTGGGAGGATGAGGCAGGCAGATCACTTGAGGTCAGGAGTTTGAGACCAGCCTGGCCAACATGGCAAAACTCCGTCTCTACTAAAAATACAAAAATTAGCCGGGCGTGGTGGTGCGCACGTGTAATCCCAGCTACTCGGGAGGCTGAGACAGGAGAACGGCTTGAACCTGGGAGGCAGAGGTTGCAGTGAGCCAAGATCTCGCCACTGCACTCCAGCCTGGGTGACAGAGCAAGACTTTGTCTGACAAAAAATAACATAAAAGAAACTTCAGTGCCTTTTGTTCATGTGACTTTAGCAATCTTTTGGAAATAAAGACAGTTTTAAAAATTATTGGTTAACGAGGTGTGGTGGCTCACGCCTGTAATCCCAACACTTTGGGAGGCAGAGGCCAGCAGATCATTTGAGGTCAGGAGTTTGAGACCAGCCTGACCAACATGGTGAAATCCCATCTCTACTGAAAATACAAAAAAATTAGCCGGGCGTGGTGGCACACACCTGGAATCTCAGCTGCTTGGGAGGCTGAGGCAGGAGAATCACTTGAACACAGGAGGCAGAGGTTGCAGTGAGCCGAGATCACAAAAAATAAAAGTTGCTAAGAGTTAACACTGTAATATGTAATTGACACTACTGGAGAAACAGTTTTACATACAAGGTGTGTAAGGAAAGTATAATGTTTCTTTAGTAAAAGATTAGAAGGAAGCATGGGAATATGGCTTTTGTTAAAGGGAATGTAATTTTGTCTAGTTCAGAGGGTTTTAAAGATTGTCTTCACCTAAAAGAGTAGAGGCAAAACTGAAGGTTTAAGCAAGGTGAAAAGGGTTTGTGAAGCAGCAGATGGCAAACCCACACTCATGACTCTTCCCTGAGGGCGCTATTGACACAGGCAGGACTAGAGAGGGGTAGAATGGCAAAAAGAGGAGGGGAAAAGACTCAGGGATGATGAGCAGGAGATGGCTGTGGCTTGGAGGTGGAGACATTAGCTGACGGTTGGATACACGGGCCAGGAACACAAGGAGAAAGTTCAGGAAAGAAGCTTTGCCTAGAAAGGTGGTGGTGGTGGTGATCGTTGATTTTGTTGTTAGTGCCTCAGAGGGTCTCATTAACTTCCAACTTTCTGCCGCAGACCATAGCCTGTACTGTGCTTTCTGACATTCAGAGGGTTCTTGGTAGCGTAGTAGGTACCCAATTTTGTGAACGTTCTATGGAGTCCTGAAAAGGCTGTGTTCCCTTTTTGAATTTGATGTCTATTAATAATGCCTTTACAATGATACCAATATCTGCCATTAATTTTGCATACATCTATCAAAAGCTGAGAACAAAGTCTTTCATTCCTGTTGCCTTTCTATTAAATTATCCATAAGGTTCATCTGGTCCTGCTTTCTGCTGTTGATTACGTGTAATTGATCATACACAAGTTCATAATCTGCACTTGAACCTCTTACCAGGTAGCCAGTCCTGAGGTACTGACTGCTTTTTGCCTCTAATTCTCCCTCACCTGGATCAGTAATATGATGGTGGCACTTTCTGTTTGCTTGCTGATGAGTTTCTGTCCAGTCCTTTATTTATTTAAGAGACAGGGGTCTCCCTATGTTGCCCAGGCTGGTCTCGAACTCCTGGGCTCAAGCAACCCTTCCGCCTCAGCCTGCCCAGTAGCTGGGATGACAGCAGGCACCACCATGCCCGGCTGGACCTTTTATTCTAATATTTAAGGTAAATGATGAGGTAGGTAAAAGCCTAAGATTGTTTTTAAAATAAATCCTGGAATCTTTTTAACGTGGGCGTTTAATCTGTTTCTATGTAATGTCATTACATTAAGTTGGTCTTCTGACATACGTTATGTTTTTTCCTTATGATTTGGCTGTTTCTGCTGCCTGCTAAATGGCAATGTTTTATTGCCTTTTGTCTTCTACAGTGATTTGGACATGATATAGCCTGTGTTCTTGAAATTGAACAATTATTATAACAGCAGTATACTGCAGAGAAATCAGAGAGTGAGGATAAGCAAAACGAAGAGAACATGGCTAGAATCCCACCTGCCCCTCCACACCCATTATAGACGGGTTGATGTGTATCTTCCAACATCTTCTAGACATATAAACAGATCTGAGTATGAACACATAATGGGATCCCCTGGAGAAGGAATGCTACAAATCTGCCTGTGACCTGCTTTGATCAACATATCGTGTATTTTTCCATGTGAATAAATGACTTTCCCCTGTATAATTTTTCATGACTGCAAATGTGTCCCATTGAATGAGTATAACATAATTTCAACAGTTCCCCTATTGTGGACTTGTTTATGAGCCCTTTGTCATTGCTAACAATATTGTGATGAACAGGCTTGCTAATACCTTACTCTTTGAGCACGTGGTTACTTCTGCAGGATACATTGGAAGTAGAGAAATTACTAAATCAATAGGTGTGTGCCTTTTTCAGGCTTTTTCTGTGACGCCTAACTGCCTTCTGGACATGTTACACCAAATTCACGTACCGTTAGCATGAGTATTTGACATTGCTTTGACCTTTGCTAAATTTTGTTTCAACTTTTCTTTTAGATTCAGGGAGTGCACGCGCAGGTTTGTTACCTGGGTATATTGTGTGACGCTGAGGCTTGGGGTACAAATGATCCCGTCACCCAGGTGGTGAGCATAGCACCCAACAGTGAGTGTTTCAGCCTTTGCTCTCTTCCCTCCCTCCCCCATCTAGTAGTCCCCACTCTTTTATTGCTGCCATCTTTATATCCATCAGTACCCAATGTTTAGCTCCCACTTACAAGTGAGAACATGCAGTATTTGGTTTTCTGTTCCTGCACTAATTCTCTTAGGATTATGGCCTCCATGACTTTGCTAAATTTATAAAAGGTGAAGAATCACACACACCCCGTTTTACTTCGTGTTTCTTTAGTCACTGGCAAAGCTCAACATTTTTCATGTGTGGTATCAGCCCACAAGTTGACCTGCAGTGATCCCCACCCCCTGGTAGTCCCGTTCCTGTGTAATCCACCCCACAGTGAATCAGGGATGGTCTGCGGGCCAACAGAAGACAGCAGAAGTCGTCACTTCTGACCCTAGGCTACAAAAGACAGTATTTGTTTCCTGTAATTCACATGTTCCTTGTTGCTGAACCTGTGCTCAATTTTGTGAAAGGTCTTCGGATGCCTCTGCCTCTCTCCTGAATCGCTTCTGCCTCCCATCCGCCACAGTCTTGGGAGCCTTGTACCGGAGGGAATAGGTGGCTGAGGTGGCAGCCCCATGAGAATGGAGGCCTTCTGCCAAAAGCCACAGTGGAGTCAAGGGCTCCAGTCAACGTGTGTGGGTGACCAACCATCCCAGGACTGCGGGGTGAGCCAGGGCACAAGCCTCTCAGCGCTAACTCCGGGGACAAGCTGGTCATCCTATACATGAGTGAGCCGTCTGGGAAGCAGAGGCCCGTCCTAGTCAAGCCTTGAGATGACTGCAGTTCCAGCCGACAGTGAGTATATGACCTGCAAGATCCTGGGGCAGAACCACGTGGCTGAGCGGCGCCCAGATTTCTGATCATCAGACCCTGCGTGAGATCATGAGTGTTTGTTGTTTTAAGCTGCTAAGTTTGGGGGTAATTTTGTTCCACACAAGTAATACATTATTTTTTTAAAACATTTTATAAGGATTTAATATGTGATAAAGGTGATCAATTTACCCTTTGGGAAAAGTGTAGGAACAATTGGTTTATCCTGGGGAAAAGATAAAGGTTTTCAATCAAATGATCACCAGAAGTACTGAGGATGTCTTGAAAAGAAAGCCACTGACCTACTGGAAGAGGGTGTATCTTGACAGAAGTTCACTCCTGCTCAGGGTCTTTGGCCTTCAACACACACCTCCCTTGACCCCTGCCCATCATCCTTCAGGTCTTGGCGGAAACAATGCTTTCTCCACAAGCCCTGTACAATCTTCTCAGCCAGGTAGAGGCTGCCTGGTGGATCTCTCATGGCTACGCCACCTGCCGCATTTTGCACACTCATGAGTTACGTAGGTGTTTGTATGTTTCATGCTGTCTTCCCAGATAGACTGTGAGCATCCTGAGGCTGGGGATGGTGCCTGTGCTGTGCACTCTCTCATGCCCAGCTGCCTGCCAGTCTGCAGTGCTTTATGGGGCATTTTCCTCCCTGACTTCCTGGTTCTTTGACACGGGGTTTGAAAACTCCACTTGGCAGTGTGTGCTCCCATCAGGGCTCTTCTGTTTCAGCTTCCACCTGCAGTGCTGTGCCTGTGGGGTCCACATGTGCTACCCACGCCCCAGCTCCAGGAGTTGCAGCCGCCTCCTTGGCTAGGGTTTGCTGAGTGTTTTGGAATTGACATAACCCGAAGGAACAACGCAAGGGGTGCAGCATGGCCACATCCCAAATGACCATACTACATGGCATCTGAAGACGCCATGGATTGTAAAACCCATCCAGATGTCAGACACGTTCATGCCTGGGAAAAAAAAGAACATCTTAGAATTGATGATGTACGTATTTTCTCAATCCAGCTTCAAGGGCCTGAGAGTTGTAGAAATATTTCCCAGATGGGCAAAAGCTTGCCTGCCCTTCTTAGTTTTCAGGGGTACCCTGTGTTCTGGTCATTTTCTTTTTCCAAAAGGTATTTAGTGAGAAGGCGAGAGTGAGTGACTCAATGGCTGCCAGCAAGATGTCATGTTAAACCAGTGGCTGGTTGGGGATTTTACAGTTTTTAATTCTCTTCAGAGCCACACCGTCCTCCAATAACTCCCTCTTTCTTCCTATAGTTTCAGTGCTTGACTGGCTGTATGTAAAACACAGAAGTGAAACCAATCAGAAAATAATCCGAAGGCCAAATGGCACCTTATGTCAGTCATTCACTGACACTTGTGGAATGGCTCTGTATGTGTTTGCTACTTAAAAACAGCCTCAATCTGATTCCCAGGATTACGATTCTATCAACAAGTAATTGATTCCTGATGGCAAGAGTCAAAACTGGTGAAACTCACTGCTCTCATGAAGAGTTCATTCTAGTGGGGAAAGACATCCAATATGCAAATAAATAAAAAAGTGAATGAATGAATGAACCGTGGCAGGAAATGTATCAGTTGCATCTCACCATATTTTTGAGCTATGGTAATGAATCCCCAAATCCACTAAAGACAAATTCACGTGGTGAATCCCCATCTCCACTAAAAATAGAAAAATTAGCCAGGTGTGGTGGTGCGCACTTGTAATCCTAGCTACTCAGGAGGCTGAGGCAGGAGAATCGCTTGAATCCAAGAGGCGGAGGTTGCAGTGAGCTGAGATCGCACAACTGCACTCCAGCCTGGGCAAGAGAGAGAGACTCTGCCTCAAAAAAAAAAATAAAAAAATAAATAATAAATAAAACCACCTGTTCAGCTTTTAAGAGCTAACATTTTATGTCTTAAGCCACCCATCTTTTCACATTAACATCTATGAAATCAGTTTGCATTTTTTTTTTTTGAGGCGGAGTCTCACTCTGTCACCTAGGCTGGAGTGCAGTGGCACAATCTCAGCTCACTGCAGCCTCTGCCTCCCGGGTTCAAGCGATTCTCCTGCCTCAGCCTTCAGAGTAGCTGAACTACAGGCGCGTGCCACCACACCCGGCTAATTTTTGTATTTTTAGTAGAGACGGGGTTTCACCATGTTGGCTAGGCTGGCCTAGAACCCCTGACCTCAAGTGACCCGCTCGCCTCGGCCTCCCAAAGTGCTGGGATTACAGGCGTGAGCCACCACGCCCAGCCCAGTTTGCATATTATAATCAATGGTGAGTGATTTAATAGGTAGCATTTTCCTTCACTATTTGGTAAACGATGCATCTTACAATCAACGGGGTCTTAGATTTGATGAAATATACTAGTTCATTTAAACTAGATAATATAAAGGCCACTTTCTGTGGGAGTTTTACTCTTCTTTCTGAACGGTGGGCCACCTCTACAGGACAGATACGCTGAAGAAGGTAGACAAGTCCAGGTCTGGTCAGGGACATATGAGCCATTCTGAATCTTCAGAATGGAAGTGGTTTAATACAGAATCAGAAGCTTATATGGCTCCTGGAAGGCAGGGGCTAAGGTGAGGGAGGAAGTTTCTAGAAACCTAGGACTGCAAGAGTCACAGGGAAGCTCCCCTGCCCCCAGTGGTCTCAGCTGCCTGCACGACTGAAGTGGGTGAGTCTCAAGGTGATATCCAGAGGCTGCTGGCAAACCCCACATCTGCCTCCTGCTGATGCTCGAAAGCCTGTCGTGTGCAGCCACCAGAAGGAAGCAGCTTCTCCTCACCTCCCTCCTCCCCAAATCAGGGCACAGGGTCTCTTGGGGCAGAATCTAAGAATCCAGGTCTACTGGCAAAGGAGTGTGGCAAGTGTCGCGTCCAGGCTTTATGCCTCTAAGGACAGGGAGGAACCAAGAAGGGCTGGGATGGTGGCAAGTACCAACAATGTTCAGCCCTTTGGAACACATCAGTGACTCCGTACATTAACTGCAGAGAAGCTTAATCTTTTTCGTCTTACATGAATATAAAAGGAAGTTGTAAGATATGTGTCCTGCTCCCAATGGACTGATTTCTGCCCCCGTGGAATATGTGCACCCACCTCGCCCCTGACATTAGTGGACTTGGGCCTCCAAGGCTAGCCAAAGCCAGGTGGAAGAGTGAGGCCAAAGGAGGAACAGGGCTTGGCAAGGCCAAAACCCTGCCCTGGCCGCCCCGTTGTCCCTGAGGAATTATTTCCACAAATGCATGTGCTTAAGTGCTTCAGTTCTATGGCAGGAGAACAGGACACACCACTACTGATACATAAGGACACGTCACTTATGGGCACTTGGCACTGACTCATATGCTCTGTCATAAGTGCCCTGATGTTCTCCTTTTCATGAACGCTGGTTTGTCTGTTATGTTCTAGGCAGCTCGAGGGGAGGAGCTAGGTCCCTTCTTTCTTAAAGATCTCCCCTCAATGCTGATAGTATCCCTAAAGGCAGAAAGGTGATCCCATAACACTAGAGTTGCCTCTGTTAGAGCAGGGGGAGTGGCCAAGCTCAATTTGAGCACGTGCTAACTATGGAGTGTCGTTCTTAAGGTTTAGTGGCATCAACCTGCTGACAAAATAGGGCAAACAGAAGAGAGGAAACAGAAGAGAGGAAAGACTGTCCGCCACGTATTCCAACGGTGGGCTCTCGTTTGCACATCCTCTCATACCTAAAGCTCTCCCACATTGCCTGGATCAGCCTCAGGAGACTTTGTGAGCAAGCCCCAGCATCCAGCTATAGCCCCAGAAATTTTAACCTACTTCATGTACTCAGCCAACTGCGAGGACAATCCCTTCTGCAGCTTGAAAAAGCAGTGCTTTTCCTCCCAATTACACTGCCACTACTCACAGTATTTACTTTTTACTTTTGAATATTACAGAAGGGCATGGTGTTTCTATGCCTACAGAGGGAGGCCTTGGTTTAAAAGTTCAGGAAATCCCACTCTAGAACATTTACTGTAAGACATTTCAACAATAAGAAATCACACAGACGAAAGACCAAAGCAAATGCTAGGTGTGCCTGGAAGGTCTTAGAGCTCAAGATGCAGAATTCTGCAGGCTACAAAGCATCAAAGGATGGAATGAGAGGCAAAGCTAGAGGAAGATCATTTCAAGTCTGGAAAATTCACAGGAAGGGTAATATGGCATGATAGTCTATAGACTAAAAGTCTACAAGCCAGATAGGAGAAAAAAGGGGGCCCCGAATCACTCAAGTCTCAGATCACTCAAATCGACACCCCCATTCCAGCCGCTGAGCATCACCCCCGGAGCCTCGGTCAGGGCCCCATTGTCTCCAGTGAATCACAGGACACGCTGCTGGGGAGCAAGAGTAGTGAGGGTTTCTGGGTTCCTCGGGTGGAGCCGCAACTCCTGGGGTGGGGGTAGGGGTTGGATAAGTGAGGCTATGCAACTGTAACCCCAGTCCTCCAAGGGCATCCCACCGGGGCAGCTGGGCCATCTGAAGGCAGAGGGCCAAGAGCAGGTGCATCCAGGAGGCGGCCTCTGGCCCCCAGTGGTAAAAGAGCAGCTGGAGTTGCCAGCCAGGCGTACAGGCTCAGATGGGATGAGATATCTCGGGGCACGGGCATTTTCTAGCACTCTCGCATCACTGATGATATCATAAATAACAAAGGCTCTGAGTACAGATACAGCTCATCGACTGAACTTCTTACAGCCCCCCTGGGGTCTCATTGAAGACCCCTGTAAGAAATCAGCCCTTGGCTCTTAGGCATCTGTTTAGCAGTAGAATCTGGGCAGGTTTTAAAACTCAAGTATTTGGACATGGAAAGCCATAAGCTTACTAGAGTGGCTCTGTTTCAGTTCCAACAAATAGACACTTTAATGTAATGCAGTTAATGATAAATAAAATCACATCTGAGGCTTTGAATGAATCGTTGCGATTAACTTTATTAATATTTTAAAATATGAAAACTGTAAAACATAGTATTTATGTAAACACCTGAGGACTGTTCAAGTGGGTACAGCATCTTCATACAAACAACTTGAAAGAAGACCAAGTTTAAGTAAGAATCTTATGACATGTAAGGAATAACATAAATGAAGCTATTCTTTAAATAGTTGCATTCATGTCTAAAGTACATTTGGTTTTCTAAAAAGAAAATGTACATTCTTGCCCCTGGTGAATATTTTATTGGCATTTACAACAAATGGCTAATACTTTTATAACTGATTCTCATAGCTTATAAACATTACATCAAAGTTACACAAAGTAATAACAATAAACATATAGCACCATTTCCTCTTCAAAGTTCTAACTTATAAAATAAAGCCCCAAACATGGCTGGGCATGGTGGCTCATGCCTGTAATCCCAGCATTTTGCAAGGCCGAGGTGGGCGGATCACCTGAGGTCAGGAGTTTGAGACCAGCCTGACCAACATGGAGAAACCCCATCTCTACAAAATTAGCTGGGCGTGGTGGTGCATTCCTGTAATCGCTGAGGCAGGAGAATTGCTTGAACCAGGGAGGCGAGGTTGCAGTGAGCCGAGATCGAGCTATTGCACTCCAGCCTGGGCAACAAGAGTGAAACTCCATCTCAAAAAAATAAAAATAAAATAAAGCCCCAAACAATAAGTCAGAACTAATATATCTTTCAAAGTGTAGCAGAATAAATGGCTCAGAACTAAGCAAATTAATTAGAAACATTGCATAGGACAGAGAACTTCCCTGTATGGAAACCAATCTACAGATTGTTTCATATCCCCTGAAGAGTAAGCTGAGAGGTACTGGTGATAGCAAACGATGGACATATATTTTTTACGAAATCAAAACATCTAACTATATACATAGTTCATCGTCACCTCTGTGGCAGTGCAAAGTGCCAGATTAAATTCAAGAAAAAAAAGATTTACTTGTGTGTAAACCTACAGGTATAAAACAATATATAAATATGGTAAAGTACCATATGAAGAATAAACACATACAATATATATCTTCAAAAATTTTGGACACAGGTATCTTCATATAGAGATGTAAGAAAAGAATGCCTAGTTAAATGTCCAAGCGTAGTGAAAATATGGAAAGTTTTAAAATAATAGGAATTTCACTGAAAAAATTTAATCTGACTCCATCCAAACAACCCTCGTAGTATAAATATCTCCTGCATAAAATGACAATTCTATCCTATAATTTAAAAAATTTATCAAAAACTGGTAAGAACACTTCATGAAAGCTTATAAGCTTGCTTTTTTCCTTTAAATATGATCAAATACAACATACAGAGAAATAATAAAAGGAAAATAATTTATATGGCTATTCCCTTTCTAGATATACTGATAGAACATGAACAGAACACCACAGAGTATCACACAAAATATCTGAGAAAAGATGATATCTACAGGTGCACCTTTAAATTCTCTAGTGAGGAAAAATTCTCATGGATTTAATTATAGAAGTTGTCAATCCCTGATATTTTCCCCTTTGGGATTTAGCTGTTTTGGTTCTAGATATAAAGGTTAACCAAAATCAAAGGTTTTTCTCTGTTAACTACATTAAGTATATTTGTAAACTGTACAATGAAAATTTAAAAAGACATAAAGAACTGCCAATTTGAATATGCCAATACTAACCTGTTAAATGCTTTTTAAAGAAGTAGACTGGGGGAGTGGCGGCTGTGTCTCCCAAAGCTGGTTGGTGACTCCAGGAAAAAAACAAAGTTGACTGAACTGTTACTACAGTTCTGCAATTCTGATAAAATATTTTTATGGGAACTGTCTACAAAACAAAAACTGCTAAGAGAAATACTTTTAAATTAAAATGTTAACAGTACACCTGAGAATTATGTCCAATCTAAACTTACACATTTTTTTAACTGTATTTTCCTTCTTTAAGCTTTTCAATGTAGTAACACAGCTTTAATGCTGGCCCCAGCTTCAGCCCCATATACTTCATCATCACATCACTCTTGAGTAGGAACAGAGCCTTCCCATCAATTTCCTACAGAGAGAAGGAAATCATAATCATTAATAATGCTTTCATATCAAATTATTTATACATAAGAACATGTAAAATACAGCAGCTGTATACTCCGGATATATATTCTCTGAATATGCTTTATTTCCTGAAAACTATTAAAAATATAATTTATACAGTGAAGCATCATTTGATAATTTATGAATTTAGTTCAAACTTTAAGAAAATTTAATCTTGTATCTTCAAAAAATGTCCCAAGTATCAAACAATCTGACTTTAAATACTGTGTGTTAAATAAAATACTAAATATATCTATGACAAAAGATCAAAAATTATGAATGGTAGAAATGAATTTCAGATGATCAATAACTTTCTGAGAAGGGCCAGGAATATGTCAATATCAATGCAAACTGTAAATGTGCTATACAGTGTTGTCATTATGTTGAAGGCTAATCAGTTAGTTGTCTGAAGCTGGTTAGATGCTAAAACTACTGATTTTCTTGCGATAGTGAAAAGGGTACCTCAGATAATAGATCACTCATTTGATTTGTTAGAAAACACTGAAAATATTACTTAATAGTCACAAGGCATCCTCCTAAAATTCTTTATTACCTTAATCAATTTATGTCATGGAAGCATATTATTTGGTATTTGTGAGTTCCTGTTTAAAAGGATGTACTTAATCTTATAAAGTTGCTGGATTCACTGGAGGAAGGCCACCCTGTAATAGCTTGTGGTCAACCCCTCCTACTCATGGTTCTGGCACTGAGCTGGGAGCAGGTCGGGGAGGATCCTTGTATCTGTCATCACAAAGGGAAGGTACACCTGAGAGTTGCAATGCTGAATCATCGTATCTTGAGAAGTTGAAGCAGTTTGTATTTTAGGCACCTGGATACTCACTTAAAGAACAGACCATTAATCTACCATTTAAGGAACTAATCTTGGGAAAAATAACCTCTCTCACATATGGAAAAATCAGTTGATAGGGTTCCCCCACCATCCACACAGCATCCAAATGAAGGGCCTGCACAGAGGTCATTCAAAGGCATTACGGCAGGAAAACCGGATCAAAAGATACATTACATGTTGCCTGAAGAGGTCGGCGAGGGGGCCTGATATCTGAGGATCTGTATGTTTCATAAACTGTATCACTTCATCCACAGACCAGGTTGAAGGGTCCTTAGAGAAGCCTTGTTTCAGGACACTGGGATCAGGTACAGCTATATAACTTGGAGCTTCAATGGGGGGGAAAAAAGACAAATCATACTTGACCTGATCATTATCCTGAAAGAAGAGATGTTAGGTAGGGAATAATGGTCTCATTCCTGGAACCTTTTGTTAAGTTCCCCAACAAGGTCTCAAGACTCCAACTGTGAAAGCTTATACAAAAATGATGTGAGGATGGCTACATAAGAGCATCCCATCTGACCTCCCCCAAACAACAAAAGCAGGTTCAGACGTTACCTTAAAGCTTCAAAGATCACAAAACAGACTAAGCAATCCAAGCCTCTTTGGCCACAGACAAATACAGCAAAAGATCTGTTACTCGGGTAAAATTAGGTTAATCTAATCTAACCTATGACTTCTCTCTTACTTTAAGTCTTTCAAGGAATTTCAATCTCTCTCTATCTGTCTAGACTAGGTATATTTTACTAGCTAAATCCGATGGAAATTCCCCAAATTTACAGTTAGTTTTTGTTTTGTTTTGTTGTTGTTGTTGTTGTTTTGGTTTTTTTGAGACAGGGTCTCGCTCTGTTACCCAGGCTGGAGTGCAGTGGCACAATCATGGCTCACTGCAGCGCTGACCTCCCAGGCTCAAGTGATCCTCCCACCTTGCCTCCCAAGTAGCTGGGACTACTGACACATGCCACCACTTGCAGCTAATCTTTATATTTTTTGTAGAGACAGGATTTATCCATGTTGCCCAGGCTGGTCTCAAACTCCTGGACTCAAGCAATCTGCCCACCTCAGGCCCCCAAAGTGCTGGAATTACAGGCATGAGCCACCATACCTGGCTAAATTTAGTTTTCTAATTGCTTAAATGTGTTCACTTTAATCAAAGAATTTCAATAATCCCATTATTTTTGATAAACAAATTAGTCCTTTTACCAAATCTCTCTGATGTATCCAATAAGAATATTTTTAGCATCACTTTACTCTTTAGATTCCTGTCTCTCATGGCTTAAATGCTTATCTGAATTTTGAAGAAGACAAGATTATTTTCTGCTAAGCTAGGTCAGAAATAACTTTAACATTTAATTTAACTCCTTTATCATGTTTAATTGCATAGTAATAGATATTTTGGTTGAAGGTTTATACATTAAAAAAATACATAACTGAGACATGAAACAATTTAAGTGCTCATACCTCAAATGGTCTTAGCTGTGCTCTTTACTAAGTTGTGATAAAATCTGTGTCCTGACAAGTATTCATTTACTCAACCAGAGCCCTTAACTCCCTAAAGTTAGTGTGGATAACTGAAGTGAATTTTGTACTTAGCTAGGAAGATTTGTTTTGCTAACCAAGGACTGTCAACACAAATTTGATGTTTTTTTGTGTGTGAATTAGCCAAAGGAGTACCCTTTCTTTCCTATCCTCTGGACTATGGCCATTTTAGAAGCATTTTAAGTATATTTACCTAGGGGAAGGATAAAGAAAAACAGAAAATAAAAGAACTTATAGTGGTTAATTTTTTGTGTGTAGCTCTGAATTTTATTTCTTTCCAACATCACAACGATGATGTGAAATAAAAACTCTATACCAAAATATATTCTCCCCTCCACTCAGAGAAAAAAATGTTGGTCATATCTACAGAGAAATTCTGCTAGGCTGTATCAACCCAAGTAAAAATGATGATGGTGTAGACCATGCTGTGCCTAAGTTAGCATTCTGACAATTTAGACAGAAACACCATCTCCTTTAACTTAACAAAGACACAACATAACATGAAAAAAATCATTGGCAAAGCTAATCATATCTCTAATTTAATGTACATTTTTGTGGAATTTCTGGTTTCTGTCATCATAATCTGGTACATTTATGTTTTGAATAACATGTAACTAGTTTTACAGTTTACTGCAAATAAACTATATGTAAAAAGATATGATTTGGGGTATAAAATTTTATATTAAAAATAAAACCATAAGATTTTCTATTTTTAGTCTATTATGAAAATATAATTTAATTGGGCCTACATCTTCAAAACAATCAGAGAAGTTTGCAAGCATTACATTATTGTTATTCAAATAATTACATGAAACAAACTAATCATGTGAAAAATAATCAAAGTCCAGTCATGCTTTTCTCCTGAACGGCTCTGTCTTATATACACTGGCATATCAATAAATATTTCTAGAATAAATATAATGAAAGTATGAAAGTGATCTGATCCCCCCCCCTCGACATCATTGGATTTCTTTCCTATAATAAAGATCAGCAATATTTTTCATTCAAATAATGGGACAAGGCAGGACAGGAAATTGTGTGAGCATCACTGGCTGTCAGGAGTGGAATTAGCTCTAGGTAACAGTTCAAATGCCTTAAAAATAATAGTAATGACACCTCTAGACAGTTTCTAATGGAAATGCGTATCTATTCTTGGGAGGTGCAAGGAGTACAGAAGTTAAGAGTACAACCCTGGAGTCAGAGTGTTTGAGCTCAAGGACTGGCCCAGCCACTTTCTAGCTGAGGAACCTTAGCCAAATGACTTCAAATTTCTTACCTGAAAATGCTTACCAGCACCTACATTTCAAGGAATTGTTGTAACAATATAATGTAGGAGGCCATATGAAATATTATATCCCTGGCATACATCAGATAGTGATGAAGATGATGATTATTTCTATTACCAGTAAGTAAATTACTAGAAAGCAATGTTATTACTATTAGTCTCTACATTGCTAAGAAGACCAGAAGCTAGCCGTCTGATGCCCCAATACCGGCTACCTTAGTGTTTGACATACATTTCAAAGTGAGATATTCACCATTAGAAGTAACCTTATACTGAGAAAGCCTATCGCCAAAAGGTCATACTTTGTGAAAATACTTTAAAATGCAAGGTATACTAGCCATTATGGAGTAAGCATCTATTGTTAGACTCTGCAAGCTATGTCACTCTAAAGGCAGAGACAATCTCCAGAGGGGATGGGGCTGACAACATTAAATGTGTCATGGTGTGTGCACAGTGTGGTTGCCCATAGATAACACCCATGATCAAAGGCAAGGGTTCCCACTTCCTTCACTCCTCAACCTCGCCTGCATGCCTACCTGGAGAAAAAGGACAAAACACTTATTCCCACCCTCACTCTCCTGTACCCTTAATCCTTCAAAGGTACAGGGTATTAGCCCTCTTTGCACATGGAAGGCCGTTTTGGCTCCTTTCTTTCTTTCTTCTTTCTTTTTGAGATGGAGTTTCACTCCTGTTGCCTAGGCTGGAATGCAATGGCGCAATCTCGGCTCACTGCAACCTCTGCCTCCCGGGTTCAAGTGATTCTCCTGCCTCGGGCTCCCAAGTAGCTGGGATTACAGGCATGCATCACCATGCTCAGCTAATTTTGTATTTTTAGTAGAGACAGGGTTTCTCCACGTTGGTCAGGCTGGTCTCAAACTCCCGACTTCGGGTGATCTGCCTGCCTCGGCCTCCCAAAGTGCTAGGATTACAGGTGTGAGCCACCCCGCGCCTGGCCTGTTCTGGCTCTTTCTAAATGGCAACAGGATATTGCCCTACTTATACATGTCATGACTTCCTGGTGGGTCTGAGGAAGGATGTGGAGAGTGAGGAAATGGTGTGGCTGTGGTAACAAGATGCCAGCCCGAATCCAGGAGTCAACACAGGCTGAGGCCAGGAATGTCTCAAGAGAGACGAAGAAAAGTGTACAACAGAAAGGAGAGGGACTGTCTTTCCAGGCCTCAGAGTCATGAGAGGTTTGTGAGTCCAGACGGTACCCAAGGAAATGATAAATTACAACTGTTCAAGCACTACTAATCTGAGAAGTCTCTATCAGAGACATGGTTGGTGATCCAGATCCCTAGAGACAGTTCTGTGCTGTCAAGAGGATTGGAGGATCCATAATGGTCTGACCTGACAGTGATGTGAAAGAGAGGACTCAGCCTCCCAAATTTTAGCACTTTCTCCAATGTGATACTCTCAGGGGATGCTGTTAGGTATGAAAATCTCAAGGCAAAAGACAAACACATTGAGAGTCACTATTTTTGAACATACCTTCACTTTTCCTCTGCATTTGGAATTTAACTTCATGGGGACTGCTCTTGGGGGATATGTCCCCAACTAGTGGTGAACTTGTGGTGCCTGGCACACTTCGAGAAAAATCCTGGGAGACTGAAGTATGAATATACATAGGATTTCTACAGGCAGGATTCAAATAATTTCCTGAATTTAGTGATGAGCTCTTAGAATCTTCTGAAAGATTCTCCTCTTTGGGAATGGCACTTCCCCCAGCAAACAATGGTTCTCCTACAGGGAAAAAGACAAAGGAGGCTATCTTCAATAGACTTACAATTCAAATACTACTAAAAGGTTAAAAATCTCATCCCTAGCAATAGTTCACTTAACTTGTGCTATACTGAACCACAATGCTCTAACACAAAGTTCATGGCTATCCCCTCCTTGGTATGGATGCATACACTGATTGATTGAGACAAAGTTTTGCTCTTGTTGCCCAGGCTGGGGTGCAGTGGTGCAATCTTGGTTCACTGCAACCTCCGCCTCCTGGGTTCAAGCAATTCTCCTACCTCAGCCTCCCGAGTAGCTGGGAGTACAGGCGCCTGCCACCATGCCTGGCTAATCTTTTGGGTTTTTTTTAGTAGAGACAGGGTTTCATCATGTTGGCCAGGCTGGTCTCGAACTCCTGACCTCAGATGATCCACCCGACTTGGCGTTCCTTGGCATTTATATTAATGGACATTGTCCTACAGTCCAAAGTGATTCCATATCACCTATATTTTTCATAGTAACTTACTATCATTTGCCAGTCTTGCCACCAAGGCTATAAACACCTCACTGAAGCATTTGTTTTTAGAAATGCAGTTCTTCATTACTATTTGTTATAATATGATCATACAGTTGGTTTCTAACATTTGTTTACTACTTGGGCAGTTACATTCTCTGGAGAAAGGCAGTAGGTTTTTCTATTCTTCTTTCTGCCAGTTTTTAGCAATACAAAAGTGAAGGAAAAAGGTTATTACAATTTTTTTTTAATCTATGGAGAAATGACAGCCGTCCACTTCTGAAGGGAATGAAGGGTTCAACAAAGCTGTCCAAGTAGTAGCCTAACTGCCAAACTTGTTTGGGCAAATTTACCTCCCTACCTCCAATACTACCACCCCAAGAGTATACATAAGTGGTAGCAGAGAAACATTTCTTCCCAGTCCTGGGAGGTGTAAATGCTATTTACCTTCAGACGCATACTCCTTTGTTTTGGGGAGCTTAGGAGAGAGAGGAACAACATATGGTACAGTTTGCTGAGGAGATCGTTTGGTGCTTTGCCTTTCTGTTACATCTTCTTTTGCTGTTTTCAAAGAAAAAACAGTTGTCTGTTATAACGAACTAATATACTCAAGCATTTTCATATCATCAGCATGAAACACTTCTGTTTCTACATCATTTGCCTACAATACCTTCATTGAGAACTTCTCAATTATTTGATGTTCATGAATAACATGTGTCTATTTCATCCTATTTTATATTTTCACTGAAATAATATTCAAGAGTTAAAAGCATTTCCAGAAGGAGCATATCTAGGCTTCTTTATTCTGAGGTTATCAGATCTCTCTAAATATCTCACAAGACAGTGAGGCAACCCATTAAAATGTGTCTAAAATGGCCTGAGAAAATTGTTCCCATGAGCCAGAGGAGTTAAAACTTCAGAGAAATTAAATGATATAATATAATGAACATCCATTTTGTTAAGTAACAATCCTGGCCTAGAGCTACCCTTAAAACAAGTCTACTGCTTACTTATCATTCAACCAAATGCACTTCTACCTAAAGGACCACTCCGTAAAGCATGATCCTGAAAGTAAAGACAGCTTTAATTATCAGTTATACCCTAAGTATCAACAAATATCCTGATTTAACCTCCAACTAAAAGGACAAATAAGGTGTAAGAGAAATCTAAAAAGTCTGATAGTAGACCTCAAAAGAGAAGAAAGATTGCAATGAGTATCAAAGTCAAACTTCATCTGGTTCAAAATTTTGGCTGAGGGCCAGGCATGCTTCTCAAAATCTTATGATGAGCAACCTTTAGCTCAATCTAGTTACTCAGTGAATCCCAATGAGTCCAGTAGAGCTCTTACCACTTTAGTTTCATTTTTAATAATGGACTGTAAAACCAACAGGCAAAACATATCTCATATTTCTACAATTAAGACATTAAATTCTAAGGAAAGAAATAACTGGCTTTTCATACCCATTTAATAATATGGAATATTCGAGTTCTAAAATATAGTTTTCTATAAATGTTTATTTACCTCAGAATCTCGGCAAGATTAGAAAAAGTCTTCATCATTTATTTGTAATGTACTCATGCTTTATGAAAAGTTTATCAAGCTGGGTATGGTCTACTATCTGGGGCTGAAACAAATATAAAATTGACTCGACTTCTGCTTCTGCGTATTGTAGTAAGCTAAGGGAGCAAAGTGTTCCTACAGAGATAACTAGGAAAAGCCAGGTAATTTACAAAGTATTTTTTAAATCATCAGAGAAGCACTTCCAGGATGACTGATCAAAGACCTCCAAAAATCTACTCCTTCATAAAAACAATGAAAACACTGGCAAAAACTATAAAAACTATCTTTTTCAAAACTCTGGAAATTAAAGACTTGCAACAATCCAAAGTGTTTAAGAAAAATGGATGGATCTCAGAAAAAAACAGCAAATTCTGTGGCATTTTAACTTGCCCTAATATAATCCCCCTCACCCCATTTTCACAGTAGCCTTGAAAACCAACACTTCACAACTACAGCAGGTGTGAAAAACAGCCATGCGATAATCGCTGGAGGGGGCACAATGGGTTTGGAGCTCTCCAAAAGCCCCATGCCCAGAGAACTATCACTATTAGACCAGTCTCGAAGCTCACTGAAAAGCTCCTTTTCAGGGTTTGTCTTTTTTTGACCTAAATTAGAGCTTGTTCTGTGTGAACAACCCCATCTCCAGGGCATCTGACGGGGGAAAATGGTGGCAACTGTTTAACTTTGCAGCTGCCTGAGACAATATTACCAGTCAGGGCTAACAACAGGCTGGCCAAAAAGCTTAAAAGGAAAAACTGGGTATAAGATGTCCCCTAGGAGACTTTGAAAAACACAAACATATTCCTGGGAATCTAGACGGTTCACATGCATATGCACAGATGTATACATGCATGTCCAGGAAAGACATGAGAACACCCTAATCTTTCATCTCTGGCTGACCTTGAGGCTCTGCACAAGGTTGACTTACAAGCTGCCTCTTGGAGCACTGAAGTTATGTCCCAACACACACAGAAAATCCCTTGGCCAAGGCTGGGAGATACACTGGTTCCAGGCATTTAAGGAAATATCTACCCAATCATTAGCTAACCACATTAAGCTAACCAAGCAGACTTCAGTGGCCACTCTTAACAAAGAAACACAGACTTTACAGAATTAGTCGAGGAAAAGTCACTAAACAGCACCAGCAACAACAACAAACCCTAGGGAGAAGGGAATCTGATTTCCAGAGTTGCCATTATATGATTTTTAAATGTCCAGTTTTCAACAAAAAAAAAATGAGACATGCAAAGAAACAGTATGGTCCATACAAAGGAAAAAAAAATCAGTAAACAGAAACTGTCCCTAAGGAAGCCCAGACACTGGACTTACTAGACAAATACTTTATTTTGGGACACAGTCTCACTCTGTTGCCCATGCTGGAGTGCAATGGCATGATCTCAGCTCACTGCAACCTCTGCCTCCCAGGTTCAAATGATTCTTGTGCCTCAGCCTCCCAAGTAGCTGGGATTATAGGCACATGCCACCACGCCTGGCTAATTTTTTTTTTTCTTTTTTTTGAGATGGAGGCTCGCTCTGTCACCCAGGCTGGAGTGCAGTGGTGCGATCTCGGCTCACTGCAAGCTCTGCCTCCCGGGTTCATGCCATTCTCCTGCCTCAGCCTCCCGAGTAGCTGGGACTACAGGCACCCGCCACCACACCTGGCAATTTTTTTTTGTATTTTTAGTAGAGACGGGGTTTCACTGTGTTAGCCAGGATGGTCTCGATCTCCTGGCCTTGTGATCCACCCACCTCGGCCTCCCAAAGTGCTGGGATTACAGGTGTGAGCCACTGTACCCGACCTAGACAAATACTTTAAATCAACTATTATAAATATTTTCAAGGACCTAAAAAATGAAAATCATGTCTAAAGAACTAAAAAAAAGGCTGGTGTATTAGTCTGTTCTCAGACTGCTAATAAAGACATACTGGAGACTGGGTAATTTATAAAGAAAAAGAGGCTTAATAGACTCACAGTTCCACATGGCTGGGGAGGACTCACAATCATGGCAGAAGGCAAAGGAGGAGCAAAGGCACGTCTTACATGGCAGCAGGCGGAAGTGCAGAGCAAAGGGGGGAAGCCCCTTATAAAACCATCAGATCTCATGAGAACTCACTCACTATCACAAGAACAGCATGAGGGTAACTGCCCCCATGATTCAATTACCTCCTACTGGGTCCCTCCCATGACCTGTGGGGATTATGGGAACTATAATTCAAGATGAGATTTGGGTGGGGACACAGCCAAACCATGCCACCTCATCTCTACTAAAAATACAAAAATTAGCCAAGTGTGGGGGCACACACCTGTAGTCCTGGCACTCTGGAGGCTGAGGTGGGAGGACTGCTGGAAACTGGTGGCAGAGGTTGCGGTGAGCCAAAATCACACCACTGCACTCCAGCCTGGGTAACAGAGCAAGATTCCATTGCAAAAAAAAAAAAAAAAAAAAAAAAAAAAGTAGGAAGTGAAAAGACAACCCCAAAGAATGGGATAAAATACATGCAAAGCATATACCTCATATAGGACTTGTATCCAGAATATACGAAGAACTCTTATGACTCAACAATAAAAAGACAATGAAACCAATTAAAAATGGACAAAGGATTCGAACAGACATTTCTCTGAAGATATACAAATGGCCAAAAAGCATAAGAAAAGATGCTCATCATCAACTACTGGAAAAATGCAAATCACACCATAATGAGATACCATTTCGCACCTGCTAGAATGGGTATAATGAAAAAGATGGACAATAACAAGTGTTTAAAAGGAAAAATTGAAACTTTCATTCACTGCTGATGAAAATGTAAAATGGTATAACCTCTTTGGAAAAGTCTGTCAGGTCCTCATCAAGTTAAACAGAGTTAACCATATGACCCAACAATTCCACTCCTAGGTTTGTACCTGAGAGAACACGTATCCACACAAAAACTTATATACAAATGTTCATTGCAGCAGCATTCCTAATAGCCAAAAAGTGGAAACAATCCAGAAGTACATCAATTGATAAATGGATAAACATAATATAGCCATACAATAGAATATTATTCAGCCATAAAAAGGAATGAAGCACTGATACATGCTACCACATGGGTGAACCTTGAAAACATAGGGTGGGCACAGTGGCTCACACCTGTAATCCCAGCATTTTGGGAGGCCAAGATGGGCAGATCACTTGAGGTCAGGAATTCGAGACCAGCCTGGATGACATAGTGAAACCACGTCTCTACTAAAAATACAAAAATTAGCTGTGTATGGTGGTGTGCACCTGTAGTCCCAGCTACTCAGGAGGCTGAGGCAGGAGAATAGCTTGAACCCAGGAGGCAGAGGTTGTGGCGAGCCAAGATCACACCACTGCACTCCAGCCTAGGCAACAGAGCGAGACTCCGTCTCAAAAAAACAAAACAAACAAACAACAAAACACATTATGCTAAGTGAAAGAAGCCACACACAAAGGTTGCATATTATATGATTCTATTAATATGAAATGTCTAGAATAGGAAAATCTATAAAGACAGAAGAAAGTCAATAAATGGTATCCAGTGGTGAGGGGGAAAAGACATTGAGGGATGATAGTTAATAGGTATGGGATTTCTATTGGGGGTGATGAAGACAGTGGTGATGACTGCACAACTCTGTGAATACACTTAAAAAATACTGAATTGTATACTTCTAAAAGGGTGAAATTATGGTATGTGAATTATATCTCAATAAAGTTACTATAAGAAAAGCATCCTCAAAGTATAGCAGTCATAGGAACTAATAAAATCCAATTCCAGAAGGGAAGAACCATTCTAGTCTAAACTGAAGATTTCGTCATATTTTTTCCCTGTAGGAATCTGCTGATTCTTGGCACTACAGTGAAAATAGAACTTGACACAGGCAGAGGGCCATACCTAGGCAAAAATAAATCAAAAAAGATTTAGCAGCTTCACACAGCTGGAGTGACAAATCAGAAACTCAAACTCAGCTGGTTTTCCCCCATGGGATATTTGCCAAGTTCTGGAGCTATACAGGAAGCTGGGGAGTTAGGCTGAAAACTCTTAAAAGGCACGCTGAAATCTCTCACAGTCTCATGATGCTTAAGAAATAAAGACCCACCAGGGGGTCTTTATTTTATTGTGTGTTTGTGGCAAACACACAAGCCACCTAAACACAGGTGCAAAGTTGTGATAATACATGAGGAAGAAGGCTAAAGAGCTGAGCAGCAAACCCCTGAAGAAGGGAAGTACAATTCCCCAGTCTTTCAAGGCTAAGGAGCTAGGGAATTCCCAGGTTCTCAATCAAAATCCTGGGAAAGTAACACCTGAAGAATAGCGAGGAATCAGGAGATAGACTGAGTCTTACTAAAACTGCTATTCAGTCCCAACCCAGCTCAATCACTGAATGGAATGAGCCCTCCTTCTTTCTGCTTAAAAAAGAGGAAACTTTTTAAGGTAGAAATCTGGAGCTTCTGCAGATCTTTTATATACAATGTCCCATATACAAAAAAATAGTGGTAAACATGCAAAGAAGTAAGACCATATAACCAACTATTGAGAGAAAAACTACTGGTGTCAGTAGACAAAGACTATAACGCAATTTTGATGAATATGTTCAAGAAAACAGGAAAAATGGACAGAAAAGATCAAAGAATAAAAAATTTCACCTAAGAATTATAATCTATTTAAAAAAGCAGAGAGCTGATAGGAAAGTAAACTGAGGCAACCACTTTGAAAAACTGTTTGGCAGTATCTACTAAAGCTTAATCTATGCATTTCCTGTGACCTAGCAATTCCCTCCAAGATAGATACAGGAACAGAAAGACGTGTATAGAATGTTCATGATAACACTATTTATAAGAGTACAAAACATAACACTATTTATAAGGGCACAAAACAGAAAGCACTCAAATGGATACATACCATGGTAGCATATTTATACAACAGAATATTATACAGCAATGAGAATGAATGATCTAACTATATGCAACAATACAGATGAAACTTACAAACATAATGATAGGCCAAAAAAGCTAGGCACAAGAGTAAATGCTGTATAATTCCATTTCTATAAAGTTCAAAAATAGGCAAAAGTAATATATGGTACTAGAAGTCAGGACAGTAGGTATCCTTGTGCGAAGTGAGGGGTAGTAGTGGATTAAAGGGGGTTTGACACATTAGCAGTGCTTCTAGGGTACTAGTAATAGCTACTTTTCCAACCAGTGACTGATTATACAGGCATGAAAATTAATCAAGCTACATTCCATGTATAATTTTCTCTATGTATACTATACTTCAGTAAAATGTCTTCAAAATTACTGCTAAAATATGCAAACACTAGATTTGTCAGAATCAAAGTCTCCTAAGAAGAGCACTCTATCTTAAACTATTTTTGAGTCACTTATTTTAAAAAATGTAAGAGAAATGGGATACTAGACGTGAAATCTTAGTAATAACCTCATAGCATTTATATGCAACTTCTTTAACTACAAGCTGACTTAAGAAAAACATAAGAGTTCCAACTCAAAGCCATTTTCAAATGGCTAAATTAAGCTTTCTGTGACAGAAAATTAATAACCCCTAAAATAATGTAAAATATGTGGATTATTCAGTGTATTTTTTCAAATAGTTACCTATTCTGATTATTTGATTAATCTGAAAATTCAAACATTTTGTGTTCAATTTAAAGAAGAATTACATTTTCTTTAAAATCTTTCAAAGAATGAGGCTTTGTAAATTACTGGCATTCTTAATGCTTTGTGTAAGAAATCAGGAAATTGGGCCTGGCATGGTGGCTCAGGCCTGTAATCCCAGCACTTTGGGAGGCCAAGGTGGAAGGATCACTTGAGGCCAGGAGTTTGAGACCAGCCTGGTCAACAAGGTGAAACTCCACCTCTACTAAAAATACAAAAATTAGCCAGGCGTGGTGGCAGGTACCTGCAATCCCAGCTATTCGGGAGGCTGACACAAGAGAATCACTTGAACCCAGGAGGCGGAGGTTGCAGCGAGCCGAGATGGTGTCACTACACTCCAACCTGGGTGACAGACTGAGACTCTGTGTCCAAAAAAAAAGAAATCAGGAAATTGTACTCTCAACATCTCCAACTCGTATTTTTCCCCAAATTACTCTTAGAAACAGAAAACCTATCAATACACAGACACCCCTCTTCCCACACAGGTGGCCCTTCCCTTCCTAGCCATCTTCCAAATTTCCTACCATTTTGGATGACCTCCTACCTCTCCTGAAGAAGGAAAAAAAAAGGATAATATCACATGAAAACATGAAACCTCACTCTTCCTCTTCCCCCTAGTTCTAACAGCTACCTTTTATTGCTCCTACTTCATGCCAGGCATAATGCAGGCTAAGAATTTACATATACTTTCTTTCAATTTCACAACCAAAGAGGTATCCACTTTGCAGATAAGGAAACTGAGAACTAGAGAGGCTCAGTACTTTGTCTATGGGCACATAGCTAGTTAACAGCAGGAACTGAATTAAAATGTAGGCCGGTCAGACTTTATACTCTTTCAGCAGAGATTACAAGGCCAGGATTGGAACCCAGGTCTGACAAACTCCAACACCTGTGCTCTCCATGCCACTGCTTCTCCATGTATACTTTTTGCAAGCATGTCACAGTATCATACCTTTATTTCAAAGGGACTCACTGGACAGCTACACCAGAGGGGAGAAACTGGAAAGAGGACTCCAGTTAGAAGCCTGCTTTACTAAACCAGAGAAGGGGTTAGTACAGTCTGAAGCAGGGTAGTAACAAGGAAATGGAAAAAAGGGGATGGATATGAGAGATGTCACTGAAGTAGAGGAGACAAGCTTTATGAAGAAGGGTGAGGGTAACCAGGAGGACCAGAAAAAAAAGTAGTAGCTAGAGACGTGGTACCCACGCTTCACACTTGAGTGGCACGTGAATTAGAATCCCTGGACTTAAAAAGATAGTCTGTGATGGTACTCTGTATTTCCAGAATCAGCAGCAGCTGGCCAGAAAACCATGCGGCAATAACACCTGAGAACTTCAGCTACTCTTAAAAGACCCACATACAATCCTGCCATGATCAATAGAACACAGTTAGCTTTCATGAGTCACATGAAAAAGAGACAAACCACTCCCAAAAAACAAACAGCACTTGCATAAAAGCTGAAAGAGCTTTCTTGCTTTAGGGATCAGAAGCAAGAAACCCACTTTTGGTTCTACAGGGCTATCTTACACCTACCCTTTTATTCAGGCATCGGTTTGGGGTTCTTATGGAAGAGAAGCAACCATGGTTCAAATGTCAAATTCAAGCATATCACAGGCTGGGTGTGGAGGCTCACACCTGTAAATCCCAGCACTTTGGGAGGCCAAGGCGGGAGGATCACTTAAGGTCAGGAGTTCAAGACCACCCTGGCCAACATGGCAAAACCCTGTCTCTACTAAAAATACAAAAATTAGCTGGGCATGGTGGTGGGCGCCTGTAATCCCAGCTACTCGGGAGGCTGAGACAGGAAGATCGATTGAATCTGGGAGGCGGAGGTTGCAGTGAGCCGAGATTGTGCCACTACACTTCAGCCTGGGGTGACAGAGTGAGACTCTGTCTCCAAAAACAACAACAAAACCGTATCATCATTTGTCAAACCTCAATGACAACAAAATTATCTTTATAGCCAATAGGCTCAACACGCTTTGCTAACTTCTGAGGATTATAAAAGTCAGTAACTTTAAAGCCATACTTCAGTCTAATAGAGAATGTTTAACTCTGTGAGGTAGTCAAAATGAAGCCAAACATAAGTAAGCCATGGGCTTTGATTCTGAAGTTCATTATGAATACAAGAAATTACTTTCCTATTTTGAATGAACAAAAACAACTATATGTTATACATTTCTAATTAGTTCACTGTGGCTAAAATGTTTACTTTGAGGAGAACACAAGGAAAAACAATTACACAAGATTCTCAAGTGAAACAGAAGTGTAAGAGTTTACATTTTCTCTCACCTGACTGATTTTTATCATGCTCTGCAGAGCTGTGAGTATGACCCCTGGAAGAACTAAAAGGCTGGCTACTCAAAAGGTTATCACACTGCAGACTGTGGCAGAAGTTCTCAAGAAAGCGAAGAGCAAATGATGCACTGTTCACTGGAGGGAGCTGGATGGAATGAGTTTCCCCATCAAAGGAGGCTATTGGGGGAAAAAAAAGGATGTCAGTAACCTCAGAGAGATGAGAAATACAACACTAATTAAAAAAAAAACTATCACCTTAGGAAAGGTATTATAAGTCTAATTTGTGTTCTTTGTAATTCATAAAGGAATGATCTTATATTATAAAAGCTCCTCTCAAACACAATAGCCTGTATTGGTAAAAACATCCTCATTTGAAAATACTCTTAAGTCAACAACAACAACAGAAACTCACTGATCTATGTAACACTTCCTTCTATTCCAAATATTCCATGGGTATGAATGTTGTGGTGTCTGATCATAGCCACCAACACTATCTTATTGCTTAGTGACTTCTTGAGTCACATATTTATTTAGAGCTTCTTATAGATAAAATATATTATCAGCCAAGGTACTCTGCCTATAGTGAGCTTAACACAGCATGTAAAACGAAGAATCTGTGACTTTTGTCCCAATTTACATTATTCTGACATCATTTGTCCATTTTAAAAGTAAACTTTTCAAACCAGGGCTTAAAGTCTATAAACATATAACTCCTATAAATGTTCTATTATACTAATATAATAAATATTACAGGCTAGGTGCGGTGGCTCACACCTGTAATCCCAGCATTCTGCGAGGCCAAGGTGGGCAGATCACATGAGGCCAGGAGTTCACGACTAGCCTGGGCAACATGGCAAAACCCTGTCTCTACTAAAAATACAAAAGTTAGCCAGGCATGATGGCGCATGCCTATAATCCCAGCTACTCAGGAGGCTAAGGTGGGAGAATCGCTTGAACCTGGGAGGTGGAGGCTGCAGTGAGCCAAGATCACACCACTGCACTCCAGCCTGGGTGACAGAGTGAGACCCTGTTCTAAAAAGATGAAGGAAGAAAGAAGAAAGGGCGGGGGAGGGGGAAGGGGAGGGGAAAGGGGAAGGGGAGAGGAAAGGGAAGGGGGAAGGGAAGGGGGAAGGGAAGGGGGAAGGGAAGGGGGAAGGGACTGAATTAGACAATGTATTAGATAAGTATACCAGTTATCACTTCTCCTCCACGATTATCTGGCTTCAGGTATCCAAAAACAGTTTTAGTTTCAAGGGCACAATCCACACAGGCCTGCACAATCCGGCGAAGCACCACATTCACCGGGCCCGGGCCGAAGTGGTCAGGCAGCTGCTGGATTCTCTTGGGATCCAGATGAGGGCCAAAGTTTCCATGTTTGTTTACATAGACACAGACTTGAGAAAAAATGCGTATGCATACATAACAATGAGACTGATTAAAAGAAATTTTGTGAAAACACTACATAATCAATTACTATATCCCACTATCCACTTCACTCACAGAAAACCTAAATATAGTTAATATCAATGATCATTTCTGCTACCTAAAAATATGTAAATATATTTTTACATTGATGCAAAGACACTGAACCCACAAAGAAACAATCAAAATGTTTATTCAATTTTTTAGAATCTTGTCCAAACTGATGATATAAAATCTACAGACATTTTAGGCACATCACAAAAACAATTCTTCATACATTCCCACATTATATAAAATGGCACAAAGACAGATGAATATTTTCATCTTTTAATTGTATACACAGTACAAGAATTTCCTTTCAAAACGGGTCATCTTGCTATGCTCTTTTTTGGACTGAATTTATTTTAAATCACCAATACTGCACCTCAATTATATTTTCTAAAGTAACCAAACAATTTAAGATATATATAACAAGTTATATTGATATATATTAATATTTTATTAATTTTAGGAAAATAAAAATGTTCCTTCTATATATACCAAGATTCATGGAAGAAAATTTTAAAATAAACTCTTTCCTTAGTATAATAAAAGCATATGATATAGAAGCAATTCATCTATAATCACATAAATGCCAACTTCCAATAATTTTCTTTACTGAGAATCAACAAATGCAAATCAATATACACTATAAAAACATGAGGGAAGCTGGGCGCAGTTGGTCACGCCTGTAATCCCAGCACTTTGGGAGGCCAAGGTGGGCGGATCAACTCAGGTCAAGAGTTTGAGACCAGCCTGGCCAACATAGTGAAACCCCATCTCTACTAAAAATACAAAAATTATCTGGGTGTGGTGGCACATGCCTGTAGTCCCAGATACTTGGGAGGCGAGGCAGAAGAATCACTTGAACCCGGGAGGCAGAGGTTGCATTTAGCCAAGATCACGCCACTGCACTCCAGCCTGGGTGATGAAGTGAGACTGTCTCAAAAAAAAAAAAAACAACAAAGAAACAAAACATGAGGGCACATCACTACCAAAAATAAAATAAATTGTCCCCCTAAGAAGCATGTTATTTTTAATCCATTAATTAATATTGCAAAACTTTCACACACACATAGTCTATATTTAGTATAAGAAAACTGATCAATCTCAGTTTTGCTCTGTTGAAATATACAATTCAATTTTGTGGCAACAGCCAGAGGAAGGACTGTTATCCTTCAGAAATGAAATAGCTATTAAAAATTCAACCCACGGTGCTGATGACATGGACAAATTCTACTGAACACAAGCGAAGCTAAACAAGGATTTCAATGTTTTATCTCCTTTGTGTTATATCCATTTAGCTAGTCTTTCCTGCTAATTAAAAATCAGAAATAATAAACTGAAAAAAATGAGATATGTTACAACAATCATTTTTAAAGTGACTTCTATTTTTAAAAAACTAAATTTACTTTTAGTCAGGAAAGAAAAATTAAAAGGAAAAAAAAGTCCAGGGAATAGGAGAGTGTAAGGGAGATAATTTTTAAAAGGCATTAAGAAAAGGTTTGAGGCAGCTTTGAAAATACATACCATACAAAAAGACAAATTTTGAAATGAGATAAAGGGAAAACAAGAATAGATTGGACAATGTAAATTGCATAAATCTTACTTAAATGGATAAAATACTTTAAGAGTATCTGAATTTTCAAGTGACTCATGTATTTAAAGACTTTTTCCTTAATGTAAAATGGAACAATCAGAATTTCAAAATACTTTAATATGAAAAATGCAAAGATAAATGTTTAATATTACCATCTTTTTCCCTTATTATTTTATTTCCAGGACTTCGAAGACACTGAAAATAATACAGGATAAAAGATTAGTAATTCTATACTATTTTTAAAATATGAATTTACCTGTAGACATCACTATTTTACATGGCCCAGAAGCGACATCTTTATATAACATGCCACGGTCTCTGGTCAGCGATTTTAGAGAAGCTGCAGATGTAGAACATATCACGGGCAAAGGTTTTTCCTGTTAAAAACAAAGGGAAAAAAACACAAGTATACAATACTCATTAATATATTCTTAGATAAGAAAGTCAGAAATTATAAATATCATTGGTTTATAAAATTATTAGTTATCAGAAGTCCTCAGGTTGGAAACTCCCGTGTGTGTCATGAACTGCAGAACTTTCCAAACTGAGCTTCTCAGAGGACCACAAACTGTCCAGGTAGGGGAGAAAGAGACCAAATGGCTGGGATTCCCTGTCCTACCCCTGCTCCAACTAATCACACCTTAGCCAAATTAGATTATTCCATAAAACATACTTTATTTTTTGAGGTTCCCTGTAAGACAAGTTTTTTCACATTGCTAAAGAAAAGTCTGTAAATCTCTAACCCAGAGCAATACCTCCAATAGAAAAAAAATCTCAGCAAGGCAGAGGACAGAGTTTATTTTCAGAAAGAAGTTGCTCATCTAGTTAGTCTTCGCTGTGTCTAACCCACAGTTCTCCATATTACATACAATAATTCTGACAAAATCACAACAGATGGCTTGCTAAAGTCTATACAAAATTATGCCTACTGCCTATAAGAACCAATGTTTCCTGAGCATTGTTAAACTTCACTAGCATTTTGTTTATTTTACATCAACTCTTGGGGTTTTCCAGGAGCTACCTTCAAACATGACTCTCCAATATAAGAGAAGGGACTCCTGTGCATAGAAAAGGTAATAACAGAGGGCATTTAAAAGGCAGGAACAAAGGAGTAAAAAATAGAACATTCGATGTTGCTGAAATTTATTTGCTTAAATTAATGGCTGTCGTTTGGGTTGACAGTAATCTAGTAAACCACATTTTTTGTTTATTTAACATTGATACAGTGTTCTTTATCAATGTTAAAGAAACAAAAAATGTGATTTTTTTTTTTTTGTCTTGCTATGTTGCCCTGGCTGGATTTGAGCTCCTGGGCTCAAGGGATCCTCCTACCTCCGCCTCCCAAAGTGCTGGGATTATAGGCATGCGCCACTGCCTGGACACAATCATGTTATTTTTCAGTACTGAATTATAATTACTGGGTTGACCATGTCATTCTTTCACTATTTTAAAAATCTGAAATCTGAATCCTTTGTCTTGAGACATACCAAGATAGTATGTTTGCATTAACACTGCAAATTGAATAAAGGTACATTCATTAAGAAAATGTGCTCCTGCACTCCTCCCTTAAGGGGAGGAAGAAAATGACAACTTGTATCCAAATATGACATAGATCCCATAAATACATACAAGTATTATGTATTCATAATAAAAAGTAAAAAACTTTTAAAATAATTTTTAAAAGATTAAAGTACCTGCCCCTTCTCCATCCCCATCATCAAATAAACAATGTTTTCAAAGAGAGCTCTCCAAAATTATCAAATTAGCTTGGAACTGGAAACTAAAGGAGTCAAAGGAAACTATTTGGTGTTATCTTACATTTTCACCATTATACCAACTAATCACAAAGACATTTCAGAAGCTGGAAAATATACACACATGTTAATTTTTTAATGCATTTAAAATATTATTTCACTTTAAATTTCACTATTAACTTTTCTTACTTTTATTTTTCATTTAAAAAATTTCATCTGCTACCATTTATATTAGAACAATCTGCCTGATTTTTTTCAATGTTCATGACTATATTTTTGAAATATTTAGCTTTGACTTTTGATTTTTATTTTGTAAATTTTGAGTGTTTTTAAAGAAAAATAACAGTATCAATATATTTTAAAATCACAATGTTATTTTTTTTCCATACAGCAAACATAAGTTGAAACAAAATGGAAATGTTATAGATACTGATATCGGATGGCTGAACTCAGGAATGTGTAAGATAATACTGCTGGCATTTAATTCAGTCAGCCACAAGAGATCTGAAAAGATTCTATGTCTTTATATTTAGAGTGCATCTCTTGTAGACAGGACATATTTGGGTCTTTAAAAAAAAATCCATGTTGATAATCTCTGTCTTTTTAACTAGAAAGGATAATCCACTAACTTTTCATGCAATTACCAGTATGTTTGGATCTGGGTCTACCTTTTTTTTTTTTTTTTTTTTTGAGATGGAGTCTCACTCTGTTGCCCAGGCTAGAGTGCAGTGGCGAAATCTCGGCTCACTGCAACCTCCACCTCCTGGGTTCAAGCGATTCTCGTGCCTCAGCTTCCTGAGTAGCTGGGATTACAGGCACCTGTGAGCATGCCTGACTAATTTTTGTATTTTTAGTAGAAATGGGGTTTCGCCATGTTGGCCAGGCTGGTCTTGAACTCCTGACCTCAGGTGATTCACCAGCCTCAGCCTCCCAAAGTGCTGGGATTACAGGCGTGAGCCACCACGCCTGGCTGGGTCTACTATTTCATTGCCTGTTTTTGATTTGTCTCCTCTGTGTTTGGTTCTGTTCCTCCTTTTCCTTTCCTTTTTTTTTCCCCCTTTGAGACAAGGTTTCACTCCTGTCACCCAAGCTGGAGTGCAAAGGCACCATCTCAGCTCACTGCAACCTCCACCTCCTAGGCTCAAGCAACTCTGCTGCTGCCTCAGCTTCCCATGTAGCTGGGGCTACATGCGTGTGCCACTGCACCCAGCTAATTTGTGTATTTTGTGTAGAGATGGGGTTTTGCCATGTTGCCCAGGCTGGTCTCAAACTCCTGGGTTCAAGTGATCTTTCTGCCTTGGCCTCCCAAAGTGCTGGGATTACAGGCATGAGCCACTGTACCCAGCCCCTCCTTTCCTTTTGTTAACAGTTTATATTCCTTAGAATATTTTATAATGAATATATTTGAATATTCAAATATTCCTTAGAATTACATTTTAATTTTCTATTGGCTTTTTAGCTATAATTCTTTGCATTTTTTTTTTTTACAATATGCCCTGGGGATTAGAATGTACATCCTTAACTTTCTACAAGCCACATAAAGTTAATATTGTACCACTTCACATAAAATGGTGAAATCTTGCAATGATATAGGATCCATATCCCCCACGTCAGGCCTTTATACTACAATTGTTTCATGTCTGTTAAATATAAACTCTGCAACACTGTATTGTAATTAGTTATAAATAGTCATGTTATTATAAGTCATTTGCATTTACCCAAAGATTTACCATCTTCAAAACAATTCCTTTCTCTTTGAGAAACCAGGTTTCCATCTGGTCTCATTTTCCTTTAAGCATTTCCTGCAGTGCTGGTTCGACAATGATTTATCTTAGTATGCTTTTATCTGAAAATGAAAATGTCCTCACCTTCATTCTTTTTAAGAAATATTTATATCTTTTGTTTCATAGAAAAGAGTAATAAGGAAAAGATTTCCTTCACAATAGCAACAAGAATCATAAAATATGCAGAAATAAATAAGAATAAACGAGAGTATAAATTATATGAAGAAAACTATTGAATTCTACTAAGGAATCTTTTCTACTTTATTAAGGTATAATTGACAAACAAAAATTATATATATTCTAAGTTCACCTTCATTCTAGAAGAGTATTTTTGATAGATACAGAATTTCAGGTTGATAGTTTTTTTTTTTTTTTTCCTTTCAGCCCTTTAAAGATGTTGTTCTACTCTCTTCTGGCCTCCATGGCTTTTGATGAGAAATGTCAGCTGTTAATCAAATTTTTGTTTCTCTGCATGTACTTTTTCATTCTTACATTGTTATCTTTAAGATTTGCTCTGTCTCTGGTTTTCAACAGTTTGACTCTAATATGCCTCAGCTTAGATAGATGTCTTTGTGCTTATTCTGTTTGCTCTTGGCTGAGTATTGTGTCTATGCATTTCTTTCATGACATTTGGAAAATTTTGAGACTTTATTTCTTCAAATATTTTTTCTGCTCCAGTTTCTCTTTCTTTTCCTTTTGGGACTCCAATTACATTGTATTGGACCTTTGATATTATCTAAAAGGTCTCTGGGTTCGTTTTCTTTCTCAATCTTAGTCTGAGTTTTTCACACTGGATAATTTCTATTCTTCTATCTTCCAGTTCATTTACTCTTTCTCCTGTCATCTCCAGTCAATTCTGGTTAATTTTGTCCAGTGAATCTTTTACTTCAGATATTGTATTTTTCAGTTCTTGAGTTTCAATTTGGCTCCTTTTTATCCTTTGTTTCTCCACTAAGATGGTCTTTTTAATCAGTACGATTGTGTGTGTGTGTGTGTGTGTGTGTGTGTGTGTGTGTGTGTGTGTGTGTCTGTGTAATGTCATCGAAGACCAGTTGAATAGCCACTTTAAAATTTTTGTTTGCTAGTTCTAATATCTGGGTTATACTTGGGTCTGTCTCAGTTGATTTTCTTTTTTCTTGAAAATATTATTCATTTTACTATGTATTTGGGTAATTGTGAATTACATTCCAGATGTTACAAATATTAATTTGTGCAGATTCTAAATTCTATATTTCTCTGATAATTGTTATTTCTTTTGTTTAGCTAGTAATTACCTTGGCTGGACTTGAACTTTAAATTCTGATCTTGGGCCTAATTTCATCCAGCCTCAGTTCAGATCTTTTGCTTTAGCTACACCGGCCTGTTGTGTATTAGACAAACATGCTCAGATCAGGGGTCTGTCAGAGACGTTGGTAGACAGAATTTGCAGATAACCTCTCTGGTCCTTTCCCTTCCAAAATCCCTCCATTCCCTTTAACAGCCACAGTTTTCCTGGCTTTTCTATTTTCTGGTTTCCCTAGGCCAGATAAATTGTTGTTTTTCTACTAATACTCCTGTTGTTTCACATGGTACACAAAGTGTACTTGACCTAAGGCTTAAAACCACAACAATGGAAACTCACTTTGTATAACACCCCTTATCCCAGTGAGTACTTCCCCTGCCACCAGAATCTGTCTGCTTCCATTCACTCTTCAGTGTCTTCAGGTTGTTGCTTTTTCTATTATTTCTAAGTTTTAGAGTTGACTCCAGCATTATTGAATTCATCAGATTGATTCTTCTCTCCCTGCCCCAGTTTATTGAGGTATAATATATGTACAGTAAGATTCACTTCACATTGATTTTTAAAGTATACTGAGTTTCAAACTAACTAGTCTGAACATAAATACACCCATGTATTAATAGTACTTTCATTGTGGTTTTGAAGAAGTAGAACACTATAAAAAGTTTTAAGTTTGCCCAAGCAAAGAAATAACAATCTATCGATAGTTATGTGAGGCTTTCAAAAGCCTACATACTCTTAGTACATTTCTAAAGACCCTCATCATACTCTTAGTAAATTCCTAAATTGTATGTTATAAATAATAAGGCACTATAAAAACCTATAATACAAATTAGGAGGACATACAACTAACCTTTTTTCCTGAGTTTGGACCTTTTTTCCTTGGTGTGATATTTTTAACAGAACTGCTCCTTTTGGGGACTGCAGTAGGTCCAGGTGGTTTAATTCGACTTGATCTCCTGACCTGCTGTGTTGGTAATATTAGAGTAGTTTTCTGTGGAGACTGCATTGAATGCTGGCTTGCTTCGGAAGGAGAAGACTCTGTTTTTGCTATATTCTTTACAATAGGAACTGAGGAAAAAAATACAAAAAATATTAAAGTAAATGACACAATTAAGGCATTGTCTCCTCATGACTCAAAATAAGTTTTACTCGACCTTTAAAACCATTTCCAAAGGTTATTCACTGAAAACCACTTAAAACTAAAAGTACCATCTGAAATGAAGTTTTAGGTATCCTAAGATTTCATATTATTTGAAAATAGTTTAATTCTCCAGAAAAAATAAAGCGGTTTTTATTAGAGGAATCAGTAACTTCAACTTAGCATGGTAAAAATTCCTAGCAACTTACCTATTAGGAACTTCCCATATTTTTATGGGAAGCACAAAAAGGAGTCTTTCCTTCAGAATACACTATCCAATTATGTCATATACAGGAATCATCTCTCACATCAACATAGAAAAACATAGCAAAGCAATTGCCTAGGGCTCCTGCTTCATGTTTCAGAGGGCAGGGGCTCCCTTGCTCTTGACTTTTTTCAGATTTAATGAGGTATAATTGGCAAATAAAAATTATATATTTAAGGTTGATATACATTATGTCCCTATATGTATGTCTACTAATAAAGTTTCATATACTAAAATAGAGACTTTACATTAATGTTGTCATGGAAAGATCACTATCAGGCCCAAGTGATTTGTAGCTACTAGTTTCCTTGTAGCCCAATACAGTTTCAATATTCAAATAAAGGTTACCTGCCAGGTTACTTTTGTCCATGTTCACATTTAAGTAAAAAGAGATATGTTTAGTATTAATTCCTTGATAATTTCATTATTACAAATAAATGAATTTTACATAGTAAAAAGCACTAATGCTTAAAAAAATTCTTTACAGGAAGAACTATGTAAGTGAAACATTTATACATCTATGCAAAAATCAACTACTGTTATTTTGAGGGCTTCATTTTACAACTCCAAACCAATCTGCTGCTTTGTTCCTCCCACACTCAAAGACTATGTACATGTAAATCTGACCCGCAATAGATAATACCACATCTTTCCTACGGCCTTTTCATCTACCTTCTACCACTTACCAAACCAAAAGGAAGGAACAGCCTATCCTGAGCTGCCAGGGCAAAGAGAGGACCACTTCACTGCCAACATCACTTTCCCCCTCATTTACAAGTAGTTTGCCTACTTACACCAGCCTCTTTTTACCTCATTGCCATCATCTACTTCATACTCCAGGCTCACTTCCACTTTTTTGAAAAAGTCCAGTAACCTAACACACATTATTTCTGCATACATAGTCTTCCTGTCTTCATCTTAAGGAATCTGACCATCGTACTCTTGGATGCTTCATCATCCTGACCTTATCACTGGAGAGTTCAGCTATTTCCTAAAATGGCTGTAGTTGGCAATTTCTGAAACTCTTGTATCTCCAAGACAACCAACCATGTCCCCTTTCTCCAATTCCAACTTCCTTACCTGTTATCTTTGCTTCAAACCAACTGATCAGGCTTTACATTCTCATTATGACATCTATCCACAAGCCCATATTCCATTTTCATGCAATCCATTAGCTTTCTTCTGGCTTTGCTTTACTCTCTACTCAACCTGCACCCAACTGTCCACCTCCACCAAAAACCCCTAACTAGTATACCTTCTTTTATCACCCTTTGATCTTTGATCATGTCCAGAATGTCAGTCCCCATCTCTGAGTCACACTATCATCTGCTTTCTCTGGTCCTGAGCTATAGAACAAGGGTTAGCTATCTTTTTCCAGGAAGGGCCAGAAACTAAATATCTCACGCTTTGAAGGCCACATAAGGTCTCTGTCGTACATTCTTTTTTGTTTGGGTTTTTTTTTTTTTGAGACGGAGTCTTGCTCTGTCACCCAGGCTGGAGTGCAGTGGCGCGATCTCAGCTCACTGCAAGCTCCGCCTCCCGGGTTCATGCCATTCTCCTGCCTCAGCATCCCGAGTAGCTGGGACTACAGGCGCCCGCCACTACGCCCAACTACGCCCAGCTAATTTTTTGTATTTTGTGGTAGAGACGGGGTTTCACCACGTTAGCCAGGATGGTCTCAATCTCCTGACCTCGTGATCCACCTGCCTCAGCCTCCCAGAGTGCTGGGATTACAGGTGTGAGCCACTGCGCCCAGCCCTTTTTTGTTTCTTTGTTTGCTTATTTTTCTACAACCAATTAAGAATATTAAAAAAATTCTTAGCTTATAAGCTACATGAGCTGGATGTGGCCCTCAGGCTATTGTTTGCCAACTCTTGCTTTAGAACATTAAGATGCTACTGGTGTCTATAAAATCCATGCTAACCTCAACTGAGGAGTCACTGCTGCAACTCACTGATTTCCAAGTATGTTTCCATGGTAGAAGGCTTTTCCCTATTTAAGTTCCCATCTCCCTTTCTCTCTTCCATTCAGGGAATGACCCAATCTTCTACTTTATGAGAAGATTAAAGGCTATCCCCTTTGGGGGTAAACTTAAAAATCCCATTTCTCTGGCTGGGCGCAGTGGCTCACACATGTAATCCCAGCACTTTGTGAGGCTGAGGCAGGTGGATCACCTGAGGTCAGGAGTTCCAGATCAGTTTGACCAACATGGTGAAACCCCATTTCTACTAAATAGACAAAATTAGCCAGGCATGGTGGTGCATGCCTGTAATCCCAGCTACTTGGGAGGCTGAGGCAGGAGAATCACTTGAACCCGGGAGGCAGAGGTTGCAATGAGCCGAGAATGCACCATTGCACTCCAGCCTGGACAACAAGAGTGAAACTTCATCTCAAAAAAAAAAAAAAATCCCATTTCTCCATCTTAAAATACTTTTTCAATCATTCTCATCTTTTTCTCTTACATCAAATGAAAAGTTTTCTCGGTGGGGGGAGGGAGGAGGGATAGCATTGGGAGATATACCTAATGCTAGATGACGAGTTAGTGGGTGCAGCGCACCAGCATGGCACATGTATACATATGTAACTAACCTGCACACTGTGCACATGTACCCTAAAACTTAAAGTATAATAATAAAAAAAAAAAGAAAAGTTTTCTCTCTAGTTTTCGAAGTCCAATCTTCTTTTATTTATGCCTTAACAACACCTTGCTTTGGTTCCTATGGGACATTTTGGTTTCAATTATCTCTTCTCTCCTCAATATTTGATCACTCAATCCCCAACTCCTTGCTGTCTCTTACTACTTTCACATATCCCTTATTTTGAAGTTACCTCCCTGTTTCTGATACACTTTCAAGCCCTTGAGGGAATTCCCTCTTTCCACTCACTACTATGAATAAAACATCAAGAAGAATTACCTATACTTGACATTTCAATTTCCTTATTATTCCATTTCCTTAGCCCCTGTAATAAACTTTTCTTCCCCCAAACATATTTTAAAGAAATTATTTTCCAAGGTCATTAAGTGACCTCTTTTTAGTTACTGAGATGGTTAGGCTTTGTGTCCCCACCCAAATCTCATCTTGAATTGTAATTTCCATAATCCCCACATGTCAAGGGAGAGACCAGGTGGAGGAAATTGAATCATGGAGGCGGTTTCCCCCATGCTGTTCTCGTGATAGTAAGAGAGTTCTCACGAGATCTGATGGTTTTATAAGGGGCTCTTCCCACTTCGCTCGGAACCTCTCTTTCCTGCTGCTTTGTGAAGAAGGTGCCTTGCTTCCTCTTTGCCTTCCACCATGAATGTAAGTTTCCTGAGGCCTCTCCAGCCATGCTGAACTGTGAGTCAATTAAACCTCCTTTATAAATTATCCAGTTTGGGGCAGTTCCTTATAGCAGTATGAAAACAGACTAACACAATTACTAAACCCAAATAAAATGTTCATTCTCTTGACCAATCTACTGATCTCTACAGTTCTAGTCCCCAACTCTAAATATATAGAATGAAGAAGAGGAATAATTGAGCTCCAGATCTGGGTTCAAATTCCTGTGCCAGGTTGGTTTAAGACAGAACCTAGGAATATAGGAGGTCCTCAAAAAATACTGAATGAACGAATGAAAAATATTTTCAGCCTGCAAGTCAATGTTATACCCCCAAAACTAGTATATTCTATATAAAATAAGCAGTTAAATTGTAGCAAATAGTAACTTTACAGAACATGGCAACTATAATGAAATCAATATTTGATCTAACTATTTTGGCATTTGAAAACTGAAGCTATAGTTTCAAATAGTCCCCTAAAGTATATATATTTGTTCTATATTATAATAAAAATTTTTTGATGTATGGCATATATGTATGTATGAGCAAAGTTAAAAACAAAGTACTATAAATTTTTTTTTTTTTTTTTGAGACAGAGTCTCACTGTGTCACCCAGGCTGGAGTGCAGTGGCATGATCTCGGCTCACTGCAACCTCCACCTCCCTGGTTCAAGCAATTCTCCTGCTTTAGCCTCCCAAGTAGCTAGGACTACAGGCGCGTGCCACCATGCCTGGATAATTTTTGTATTTTTAGTAGCGACTGGGTTTCACCATGTTAGTCAGGCTGGTCTCAAACTCCTGACCTCAGGCAATCCGCCCACCTGGCCTCCCAAAGTGCTGGAATTACAGGCATAAGCCACCGCGCCCGGCCAAAAATTTTTACATATGAACAAAATTTCACTTTAGAAAGCAGGCTTTTCAAAGTCAAGGACTCAGTTTTTTGGGGGTTTTTCATTTTTTGTTTGAGACAAGGTTTCACTCTGTCGTCCAGTGCCGACATGCAGGAGTGAAGTGATGTGATCATAGCTCACTGAAGCCTTGAACTCCTAGGCTCAAGTAATCTTCCCACCTCAGCCTCCTAAGGACTCGATTTTATTTATTGCCATATCCCCAGCACCTAGAATAAAATACTTTTTAAGCCGATTCAACTAAAAAGGAAAGAGTAACCATTCAATATATTACACATCAAAATTAAACTCCCAGGAGCAATCATATAACATACATATAGATATACATACATATATACACACACACACACCATGCTGAAACTCTATTCAGTATTAAACTACTTGAAATAGGAAATGGATTTGTTTAAATAAGGTTAAAACTATATATAAAACTTTATATGTTCATATGTATATGAACACACAAACTTTGTGTGTTCATAGTGGTCACAAAGTGAATAAAAATCTTTTTGAAAAAGTTATGTGAAATATAAAGAAGGATATGCTACTCATCTTTAATAAAACTTTTATGTAAACAACCAACACAAAATTTACCTGGTTCTTCAGCTTATCTTCAGACAGAACAGAAAATGTCCAGGTAAGAAAAACATCCAAGAAATGATAATTATTGAATTGTGGAAATGAAAAAGAAATTAACAAATCTTGGGAAACAATCTAGAAGGCAAGGAGTAAAGCCAACAGGGGGTCTGGAAGCCTGGAATGAGGGAAACTAGAGAAAGAAAGGAGATAGGTGCCAATATTTACTGGCTACCCATTACATGCTAGGCACTTCAATATCCATTATTGCATGAAATCCTCCCAAACATCCTATGAGGTAGATATTGTTTCCTCACTTTACACATGAGGAAACATAGGCTCTGTGAGGTTAGGTAACTGAGCCAAGAGCACCCATGTGGTTAAGAGTGTTTGCCTCCTAAGCTCATGCCTTTTCCAATATGCCACTCTGCTTTCTGTCCTGTAACAACAACAACAACAACAAAAAGGCCATCATCAAATTCACTCCCAAGTCAAGATGCATGTGTGTGTGTGTTTTTTTTTAATGACCCAGTGGACAACCTTGTGAACTCCTATGTGCTGTTTCACTATATAGTCAATAGTCAACAGGTGCTCTCTGACAGGGACTCTTGTTTAGAAAAAAAAAATCAGATGTGAAAGCATGTTTATAGGGAAAAATATTAACAAGCAGAGTATCCCCCCGTTATCCATATATTCTGGGGGATACATTCTGAGATGCTCCCCCACCCCCCTGCCCAGTGGATGCCTGAAACTGCCGATAGTATCAGACTCCATATATACTATGTACGAATTTTTTTTCCCTTCTTTGCAATTTCATAGATAAAAGTTTTGTTCTTACTGTAGACCTTGGCAACCTAAGCATATGATTTTTGTCTTTCCTTATTCAGTCAACAACTTTCACCTTTTCACTTAAAGGAAGCCTAGAGTTCATATACACTCAGCTGTGCTGCCCAATGCCTCTGCTTGGAACTTTGCTCCCTGTCCCACAGAACCCAGATTGCCACAAACTAATCAATCATGGGCAGCAATAAGAGCAAAGGGGAGGTAGGTCAGGTATAAACCCCGTGAGCTTCCTTCATTTGCTCCTGCTGCCATCCCATACCATAACACTGGCTTCCTTGACTGGTGTCTTCAGATACTGCTCTATTTCTTCTCTCCCTTCCCCCTACCTGTATCAGAAGAGCCACTCGTCCCATCCCAGAGGTCAACCTTGCTTTGGGAATTAAACATTCGTAACAACCAAGTCTGCTCTTCCTCTGAAAATACCTTTTGAATACTCAAGGACTGTTACTGTCAGATAAGAGTGACTTTACCTCTCCATAAGCATAGAAGTCCTTTAAATGTATGTTTATTTCCTTATTTTCAGCAACAACAAAATACCCTTTAAGAACACCTCAAAGGCTGAGGAAAACTCTAGAAGGAAACCACAAGGGGTAGATACCAGTGGAAAGGAAAACAAGGAAGCATGTTCCTGGTACTTATCACAACAGGCATCTGGAAGTCAGAAGCCAGCTGAACACTAAGAATTTTCTCAGAAGAGGTGGGGTAGAGATCACATGGACATGGGGCTCTGTTACCAATTGCTCTTTACAGCTATTCCTTTCCCTGCTTCTCACTATCTATTGTAGGAACACTGGTTCCATACTAATTAGGTTCAAATCCAGCTTCGCCACACAATACCTCCTATGAGATTTGGGGCAGATTATTTAAATTTTGCACGTGGCACATTTAATCAACAGCAGCAACACTCACATCACCATCCCTGTCTCTATTCCTACCCTCCTTTCCCAGGCCCTAAAGGTGTTCCTTGCCCTCTTCTATCAATGGATTAGAGACTGGGGAAGGCTTGCCGCCACTGCCTGACAAATGGAAGGAAAAAAGTTTCCTCCAAAGAAGGAAATCCTACTTACCTACACTCTCCCCAGCTAATACCTTCTCTATTTCCTTTTAAGACTAAGCTTCTTTAAAGACTAGTCCATGTTCACTATTATTACGATTTTCTCATTTTTAACCTGCTATAACAACATTTCCACAGATACAACCTTTTAGGGAACCTTTGTGTGTTAATATCACCAACAACTTCCTAACAGCCATTGACAATGGATGCCTCTTCCTGATCTTACTTGATTTTTAGCACTAGACACTCTGCCTTCTTTTCAAAATTCTTTAAGTCTCACATAGCAACTCTTTCCTGAGTTCCCTCCTACTTCCGTCACTTTTCCAGTAGTGTTCCTCATGATTGACTGCCTTCTCCCCCATCCCCACCTCAGTTTTGAGTGCTCTAGTTCAGTCCCATTATTTCAGCTACTGCCTATAGTAATGATTACCAAATCATTCACTCTCACGTTCTCTTGCCTGCTCAAGTGCATGCATACTTGTGCACATGCCTGCATACTCTCTCTCCCTCTCTCTAGCATAGGCCTCTTGCAAGTTCCAGAGATGTTTTCAATAGCCAACTAGATATCTACATAAGCATCCCAAATTCAACATTTCCAAAAGTAGAATTCATTTTGTTTATCCTAAATTCTCTATCTTGATGAACGACATTACCTATCTGAAGTCAGAAATCTTGAAGTCATCCTTGTATGCTTCCTCCCTCCAAATGTCTAGCCAAGCCTACCTCCCAAGTATTTCCCAGATGTGTTATTCATGCCTGTCAATGACTTGATTCAGGACCTCATAATGATAGAAACAGGAGGCAGAGAAATTCTGGGAGGGTGGGTTCCCAGCAAGGGCCTTACCCTCAAGCCAAAAAGCTTGATACCATGGCCCAAAGTGAGAACTTACATCTCTGTTTTACTGCTCAAATGTTGCCTTTTCCAAAACCACCCATGGCCCCCCTTACCCCCCATCCTGTGCCCATAAAAACCCCAGTCTCAGCTGGCAGAGTGAGGAGAAGTAGCTGGACCTCAGAGACTATGGTTGGACATCACAGAGAAGCGGCTTCACTTCAGAGGGACAGCTTGCCAGTGTAGCTTCAGGGGAGGATTGCCTTCCCACTCCATCCCCTTTTCAATTCCCCATCCCACTGAGAGCCACCTCCATCAGCAATAAAATCCCCCACATTTACTATACTTCAAATTCACTCATGCAACCTCATTCCTCCTGGATGCCAGACAAGAACTCAGGTGCCACAAGTGCGAGTGCAAAAGGCTGTCACACTGACCCTCCACTGAGCTGTTAACACTTAAGCCATCTGTGGATGGCAGAGCTAAAAGAACACTGACTGTTAACACTCCCTCTGGGGCTTCAGGGGTCACAGGTACCCCCCTAGATGCTGCCATGGGGCCCCCATGGAGTTCACTCCTTCCAGCGCCCAAAAGCACTCGCCCCAGCTCCTGCACCTGCCCACCTGTATGTTCCTCTTCCCACAAGGGGTGGAATGTAGCAGGTCCAAGTGAGTGGAGTTTGCCCCTGCCGGCACCAAAGCAGCCAGCTAGTGCACTCCAGTTCCCACCCATGAAGGGGTCAGGGAAATATCCTGCTTCAATAACCTCTCACATAAGCTACATTAGCCTCTTAATTGCCATTCCAGGCTGCCCTTTCTGATCCATACTCTAGCCCATAAGCATGATCTTTAGAAAATACAAATTTATGTCACTTTTCCACTTGAAACTCTTCAGTGATGCCACATTACCTACATGCTAAAATCTTAATTCCCTGGTCTGCTGTCTAAGGCCCTCTACTATCTGCCCTCTGTGTATCTTCATAGCCCCATCTTTTTTCCCAGCTGTCATTATAGATTCTGCCATAATCATCTGTGTAAACCAAAAAATAAAATTCTAAGCCCCACTCCCAACCATCGGAATGGACTTCCCCCTAGGATAGGGCACTTTAAAATTTAACCTGAAAGACTGGTTCAGGTCTGATGAGAAACAGGGGTCGGATATGCCTCGTTATACCTCTCCAGCATTAATATCAACACAGACCTTTAGTCTGATAAGAAACATTTATGATCTATTCTCTCTGAAGCCTGCTACCTGCAGGTTTCATCTACATGATAAAACTTGGTCTCTACAACCTCATATCACAACCCAGACATTTCTTCCTACTGATAACTCTTTCAACCAATTGCCAATTCGAAAAATTTTAACTCTATGACCTGGAAGTCCCCCCACCTTCGAGCTGTCCCACCTTTCTGGACCAAACCAATGTATTTTCTTAAATGTATTTGATTGCAGTCTCATGTCTCCCTAAAATGTATAAAACCAAGCTGCACCCTGACCACCTTGGGCACATGTTCTCAGGATCTCCTGGGGGCTGTGTCACATGCCAGGGTCACTCATATTCGGCTCAGAATAAACCTCTTCAAACATTTTACAGAATTTGACTTTTCGTCAACATCTGCTCAGGCTTCCATTCTCACTCTTTCTGTCTTCACAGAGATCGATCCTCCTTTCAGGAAAGGGCTTCCCTTCCTTGTTGTCAATGGCTAAACTATTACACATTCTTTGAAATTCTGCTCAACTACCAGCTCTGTAAAATTCTAGCAATAAGTTACCCAGGCAAACATAGGACCATGATGCTCACACAGCACACATACTGTATGTATTTATCTCTATTGGCATAGACCTTATAACATCTTATCTTTATTTACATATATCTATCTGTCCCACCACACTGTGAGTTCCCTTAGGAGAAGGAACTATGTTAAGTTCCACTGTTATATCTCAAATATCTGGTCTAGGGCCTACCATATAATGTGCATCCAATAAATGTTTGCTGATTGTTAATGTTAATGACTGTTTAAAATTCAGGTTTTGTCTCTGATCTTATGTTCTCATAGAAACAATTCAGGGTGTTTATGCATTAAATTGACTACTATAGCTTGATCGTAACATTTTACCATTTTCTTGGCAAAAGTAAGCTTCAAATACTCATCGACCAACTTAATTTTTAGAATATATTCAAAACAGAAGGAAGAACTGCAAATTTAGGTACCACTTCATACTCACTAGGATGGCTATAATAAAAAAGATGACAAATAACAACCGTTGGCAAGGATGTGGAGAAATCAGGACCCTTGTACACTGCTAGTGAGAATGTAAAGTGGTGCAGCTGCTGTGAAAAACAGTTTAGCAGCCGGGCGCAGTGGCTCACGCCTGTAATCCCAGCACTCTGGGAGGCCAAGGCAGGCAGATCAGCTGAGGTCAGGAGTTCGAGATCAGCCTGGCCAACAGAAACCCCGTGTCTACTAAAAACACAAAAATCCGCCAGGCGTGGTGGTGCACACCTGTAGTTCCGCTACTCGGGAGCATGAGGCACGACAATTGGTTGAACCCAGGAAGCGGAGGTTGCAGTGAGCCAAGATTGCACGACTGCACTCCAGCCTGGGTGACAGAGCAAAACTCAGTCTCAAGAAGAAAAAAAAAAAAAAAACAGTTTGGCAGTTCTTCAAAAAAATTAAATTACCATATGAGCTACCAATTCCACTCCTAGGTACAGATCCCAAAGAACTGAAAAGACGTACTCATATATATGTGAGTGGAATTGGTAGCTCATATGGTAGTAGTGCTGCTATGAACATGGGTGTGTATGTATGTATTGACATACATACATACGTATACATACATTGACATACATACATACACACCTATGTTCACAGCAGCACTATTCACGGTAGCCAAAAGGTGGAAAAAGCCTAAATGTCCATCAACGGAGAAATGGATAAGCAAATTGTGACATATCCATACAAAGGAATAGTATTCAGTCATAAAAAGGAATGAAGTACTGATATATGCTACAACATGTATAAACCTTGAAGGCATTATGCTAAGTGAAAGACACAAAAGGTCACACCTTGTATGATCCCATTTACACAAACTATTAATATCTAGAATAGGTAAATCCATAGAGACAGAATATAGATTGGTGATTAACAAGGGCAAGGGGGAGAAAGAAATGGGGAGCAACTGTTTAATGGGCACAGGGTTTTCTTTTAAGGTGATAAAAATGTTTCAGAATAAAATGGAGGTGATGGTTGCACAACATAGTGAATGTACTAAATGCTCTTGAATTGTTCGTTTTAAAATGGCTAATTTTATGTTATGTGAATTTCACCACATCTAAAAAAAAAAAACCAAAAACAAACAAAAAAACCAACCTTGGGATAAATAAAAACAAGGAAGAAAATTTGTTTCTGTTTTTGTTTGAGACAAGGTTCTCACTCTGTCACCCAGGCTGGAGTGCAGTGGTGTGATCATGGCTCACTGCAGCCTCGACTTCCCAGGCTCAAGAGATCCTCCCACTTCAGCCTCTCAAGTAGCTGGGACTACAGGCATGCACCACCACACCCAGCTAACTTTTTTATTTTTTGAAGAGACAGAGTTTCACCATGTTGCCCAGGCTGGTCTCAACCTCCTGGCCTCAAGCAATCCACCCACCTCGGCCTCCCAAAGTGCTGGGATTATAGGCATGAGCCACCATGCCAGGTCCAGGAAGGAAATTTGCAAACCTCAAATGTGCCATAGACTCTGCATATAGTATTAAAATTTGTCTTTACAATTTTGTGAAGCAAGTGTTATCTCTATTTTAAATATGAATAAACAGAGGCTCAGCAAGATAAGTAACCACCCAACCCAGTATCACACATTAGTCTAGAAGTGGTAGAACTAGGATTCAAATTCAGAACTGTCTTACCCAAAAGCTTATGCTCTTTGTTTAAACTGGGTACTATTTTTAATTAATGAGGAGGAAAATGAAAAGAGATCTTTTAATCAAAATATTTTCTTCTATAAACTTAAACATAAAACAGAATTAAATATTTTGGTTAAATATGTTTTTCACGTTCAAATTTGAGGGAGCTTACATAAACCACAAAAAAAAAGAACAAAGTAGTACAGAAAACAAATATCGACATGCCCTTCCTTAATAATCCAGTGTAATAGGGGAGAAGATGGCCAACTAGACACAGCAGGAAGTGCCGTTCCCACCAAGAGAGGCCAAATTAGCTGGGTGTGGTAGCTCACACCTGTAATCCCAGCACTTTGGGAAGCCGAGGCGGGAGGATCACTTGAGCTCGGGAGTTCGACATCAGCCTGGGCAACATGGTAAAACCCCATCTCTACAAAAATTAGCCAGATGTGGTGGCACACGCCAGTAGTCCCAGCTACTTAGGAGGCTGAGGTGAGAGGATCACTTGAGCCTGGAAGGCAGAGACTGCAGTGAGCTGAGATCATGCCACTGCACTCCAGCCTGGGCAACAGAGTGAGACCCGATTTTGAAATTAAATAAATAATAAAAGAGAGACACCAAATTATCAACTAAAGCACCATAATTTGGGCAGATCTTTGGGGAGAAAACACCAAGAGTGAATGGATAGGCACCACTGAAGCAAAGGCTGAAGAGGGAGGAAGCTGGGAACCCTGCACAGGGTACCCGAATGCAAGGCTAGCTCCCAGCCCTGAACAGCTCCTGAGAAAGGGGTAAAAGAACTGAAGGACAACTCACTCTGGCCACGGACCTCTGTGACTTTAGCTACAGAGGACCCTGCATCCCCCATGGACATGTGAATTGGCAGGGGGATCTACCCGGGAAGGAGGCAGAGACAGGCCTTTGGATGGTGCAGAGCCCAGGAGGTTTTATGTGCTGGGCAGCTCTGGCAGAGAGCAGCCACAGACACCCAGCTGATCTCTGAGCCAGGAGAGAGCTGGGCCAGCTTCCCCATGGGACTGGAGCATGCCTGCTCTGCAAGCCCTCCTGCCACCAGCCCCTCCCAGGCCCAATGCCTAGCTACTGTGCAGGAGCAGGTGCACGGCACAGCCCCTGCAGCCCAGCCTGAGTGCCTTGCTGCAACTGATTACTTTCCTAGCAACCAAGAAGCACATCAGATCCCCCAGCACAGCTGGAACCTGACCAGGAGCCACGGAAAGTTCCAGTTCCTCCACGGCTGCAGCCTGCAACTAGGGAGTATACAGCTGAGATCTGTGGCTGCCACTCGAGGAGAGGAGGGGTACCCACCCTCAGAGCCCTGAGAGGGGCAAGACATGTAGGTTCCTGAGCCAGGGCGGGAGCAGGGTGTGCCTCCCTCGGAGGGCCGGTCCAGAAGGGGTGTGGTGTATTTCTCCACTGCAACCCCTGCCCGACAGGACACCACAACCTGGAAAACCTAACAAAAGAATCACAAGCACAACAGTCATCAGAGGGGGCTCCCCCAAGGCCCAGGAGCAGACCTGGGAGGGGACCACTTCTCTTCCTCTGTACCCCACTATAGAGCATGCCTGTGGACACGAGGAAGTACAAAAGCGTGGATGGGTACTAACCTAACAACCTACAGCTATTACTGTCAAGTGCCATCTACTGGATCACAGCACAAACTACAAAACGAAAAATTATTGGGCTAATAAATACACCTATAAATCAAATGTAAGAATTCACCTACACATAAAGATCCTGCACAGGGCACTGGCCCCTTGAAAGCATCCAGAAATGAAGCCAATGGACTATACTCAACTTACACCACAGTTAAAGGAACACCAACCCTCCTAGATGAGAAAGAATCAGCACAAGAACTTTGGCAATTCAAAAAGCCAGAGTGTCCTCTTTACCTCCAAAGGAGTCTACTAGCTCCCCAGCAATGGTTCTTAATCAGTCTGAAATGACAGACACAGAATTCAGAATCCGGATGCGCAAGGAGGCTCATTAAGATTCAAGAGAAAGCTGAAATCCAATCCAAAAAATCCAGTAAAACAATGTGAGAGGTGAAAGACAAAATAGCCATTTTAAGAAAGAACCAAACTGAACTTCTAGAACTGAAAAACTCACTACAAGAATTTCATAATACAATCAAAAGTATTAACAAGTAGAAGAGACCAAGCTGAGGAAAGAATCTCAAGAGCTCGAAGACTACTTCTTTGAATCAACTCAGTCAGGCAAAAAGAAAGAAAAAATGATTTTTAAAAACGAACAAAATCTCTGAGAAATATGGGATTATGCAAAGAGACCAAATCTATGACTCACTAGCATTTCTGAGAGAGGACAGAGAATAAGCAACTTGGAAAATATATTTGACGATACAGTCCATGAAATTTTCCCTAATCTCACTAAAGAGGTTGACATGCAAACAGAAGAAATACAGAGAACACCAGCTAGACGGTCAAGACAACCATCCCCAAAGCACATAGTTATGAGATTCACCAAGGTCAATGCAAAAGAAAAAATTTTACAGGCAGCCAGAAATAAGGGTCAAGTCATGTACAGAGGGAATCCCATCAGACTATCAGTAGACCCTCAGCAGAAACCTTACAAGCCAGAAGATATTGGGAGCCTATTTTCAGTGTCCTTAAAGAAAAGAAATTCCAACCAAGAATCTCATATGCCACCAAATGAAGCTTCATACATGAGGGAGAAATAAAATCCTTCTCAGACAAGCAAATGCTGAGAGAATGCATTTCAACTAGACCAGCCTTACAAGAGATCCTTAAGGGAGTGTGAAACATGAAATTGAAAGAATGACACCTGCTACCACGAAAACCCATTTAAGCACATAGCCCACAGGCACTATAAAGCAAGTATGCAATTAAGTCTACATAACAACCAGCTAACAACACAATGACAGGATCAAAATCATACATATCAGTACTAACCTTGAATGTAAATGGGCTAAACACTCCACTTAAAAGACACAGAATGGCAAGCTGAATACAAAGACAAGACCTAACCATCTGTTGTCCTCAAGACACCCATCTTACATGTAACAACACTCATAGGCTCAAAGTAAAAGAATGGAGATCTATCACACAAACAGAAAACAAAAAAGAACAGGAGTCGCTATTCTTATATCAGATAAAACAGACTTTAAACCAATAAAAAATAAGATAATGAAGGTAATTATATAATGATAAAGGGTATGATCCAACAAGAAGTCTTAACTATGCTAAATATATATGCACCCAACACTGGAGCACCCAGATTCATAAAACAAGTTCTTCCTGGCCTAAGAAAAGACTCAGACAACCACACAATAATACTGAGAGACTTCAACACCTCACTGATAGTGTTAGATCACTGAAGCAGAAAACTAATAAAGAAATTCTAGACTTAAACTCAACACTTGACCAACTGGACCTAATAGACATCTACAGAATACTCCACCCAACAACCACAGAATATATATCCTTCTCATCTGCACACAGAACATATTCTAAAATCGACCACACACTCAGTCATAAAGCCAAGTCTCAATAAAACTAAAAAAAACTGAAATCATACCAAGCACACTCTTGGGCCACAGTGCAATAAAAATAGAAATCACTACCAAGATCTCTCAAAACTACATAAATACATGGAAATTAAACAACTTGCTCCTGAATAACTCCTGGGTAAACACCAAAATTAAGGCTGAAATCAAAGCATTCTTTGAAATTAATAAAAATAAGGAAACAACTTACCGAAATCTCTGGGATGCTGCTAAAACAGTGTTAAAAGGAAAGTTTATAGTCCTAAATGCCTTCATCAACAAGTTACAAAGATCTCAAATTAAAAATCTAACTTTGGGCCAAGCACAGTGACTCCGGCCTGTAGTCCCAGCACTTTGCGAGGCCAAGGCAGGTGGATTGCCTGAGGTCAGGAGGTCGAGACCAGCCTGGCCAACATGGCAAAACCCCGTCTCTACTAGAAATACAAAAATTAGCCGGGCGTGCTGGCAGGCACCTGTAATCCCAGCTACTCGGGAGGCTGAGGCATAAGAATCACCTGAACCTGGGAGGCGGAGGTTGCAGTGAGCTGAGATCGCACCACTGCATTCCAGCCTGGGGGATAGAGTGAGACTCTGTCTCAAAAAAAAAAAAAAAAAAATCCAACTTGGCACCTAAAGGAACTAGAAAGAAAAAAAAAAACCAACCCCCAAAGCTAGCAGAAAAAAGAAATAACTAAAATTAAAGGCAAATTTAATAAAAGTGAGACATAGGCTGGGCGCTGTGGCTCACGCCTGTAATCCCAGCACTTTGGGAGGCCAAGGTGGGTGGATCACCTGAGGTCAGGAGTTCAAGACCAGCCTGATCAACATGGAGAAACCCCATCTCTACTACAAATACAAAATTAGCTGGGCGTGGTGGCGTGCACCTGTAATCCCAGCTCCTTGGGAGGCTGAGGCAAGGGAATCACTTGAACCCAGGAGGCAGAGGTTGCAGTGAGCCAAGATCGCGCCACTGCACTCCAGCCTGGGCAACAAGAGTGAAATTCCGTCTCAAAAAAAACAAAAACAAAACTGAGACGCAAAAATCCATACAAAAGATCAAGGAAACCAAGAGTTTGTTCTTTGCAAAAATAAACATGATTGATAGACCACTAGCTAGGTTAACAAAGAAAAAAAAAGAGAAAATAGAAATAAGTACAATCAGAAATGATAAAGATGACGTTACAATTGATCCCACAGAAATATAAAAGATCCTCAGAGAATACTATGGACAACTCTATGCAAGGCCGGGCGCGGTGGCTCACACTTGTAATCCCAGCACTTTGGGAGGCCGAGGTGAGTAGATTGCTTGAATCCAGGAGTTCGAGACCAGCCTGGGCAACATAGTAAAACCCCGTCTCTATTAACAATACAAAAATTAGCCAAGCATAGTAGCACACACCTGTAATTCCAGCTACTTGTGGGGCTGAGGCGAGAGGATCACTTGAGCCCAGGAAGTTGAGGTGGCAGTAAGCCAAGATCACGCCATTGCACTCCAGCCTGGGTGACAAAGTGAGACCCTATCTCAAACAAACAAACTAACAAAACCAACAAAACTCTACACACACAAATTAGAAAATCTAGAGGAAATGGATAAATTCCTGGAAACAAACAATCTCCCAAGATTGAATAAGAAAGAGATTGAAACCCTGACTAGACCAATATCATGCTCTGAAATTGAATCAGTAATAAAAAACCTGCCAACCAAAAGAAGCCCCAGAACAAATGAATTCACAGCCGAATTCCATCAGACATACAAAGAAGAGCTGGTACCAATCCTACTGAAACTATTCCAAAAACCTGAGGGGGAAGGACTCCTCCTGAACTCATTCTATGAAGCTAGCATCATTAGCCTAATACCAAAATCTGGCAGAGACATGACAAAGAAAAAAAAACTTCAGGCCACTATCCCTGATGAATACAGAGGCAAATATCCTCAACAAAATACTAGCAAACTGAATCCAGCAGCACATCAAAAAGTTAATTCACCACGATCAAGCAGGCTTTATTCCTGGGATGCAAGGTTGGTTCAACACACACAAATCAATAAATGTGATTCAACACATAAACAGAATTAAAAGCAAAACCACACAATCATCTCAATAGGTGCAGAAAAAGCTTTCGATAAAACCCAACATCTCTTCATAATAAAAACCCTCAATAGACTGGGCATCAAACAAACATACCTCAAAATAATAAGTGCCATCTATGACAAACCCACAGCCAACATCATACTAAATGGGCAAAAGCTGGAACCATTCCCCTTAAGAACTGGAACAAGTCAAGGATGCCCACTCTCACCACTTCTATTCAACATAGTACTGGAAGTTCTAGCCAGAACAGTCAGAAATAAAAAGCATCCAAACAGGAAAAGAAGAAGTCAAACTATCTCTCTTCAGTGATGATATGTTCTATACCTAGGAAACCCCGAAGACTCTGCCAAAAGGCTAGTAGAACTGATACATTATTTTAGCAAGGTTTCAGGATATAAAAATCCATGCGGAAAAATGAGTAACATTTCTACATACCAATAATATCCAGGCTTAGAGTCAAATCAAGAACACAATCCCATTTACAACAACCACAAGGAAAATGAAATATCTAGATACAGGTAACCAAGAAGGTGAAAGATTTCTACAAGAAGAACTATAAACACTGCAGAAAGAAATTAGAGATCACACAAATAGATGGAAAAATATCCCATACTCATGGATTGGAAGACTCAATATCATTAAAACAGCCATACTGTGTAAGGCAATTTACAGATTCAACACTATTGCTAACAAACTATTAGTGTCATTCTTCACAAAATTAGAAAAAAACTATTCTAAAATTCATACCGAACCAAAGGAGAGCCCAAATAACCAAAGCAATCCTACACAAAAAAGAACAAAGCCAGAGGTATCACACTACCCAACTTTAAACTATACTATAAGCATGGTACTGGTACAAAAACAGACAGACCAATGGAACAGAACAGAAAACCCAGAAATAAAGCCATATACCTACAACCATCTGATCTTGTGCAAGACCAACAAAAACAAACAATGGAGAAAGGACTCCCTAATTCAATAAATGGTGCTGCGATAAGTGGCTAGCCATATGCAGAAGAATGGAACTAAACCCTTACCTTTCACCATATACAAAAATTAACTCAAGATGGATTAAAGATTCAAATGTAAGACCTCAAACTATAAAAATCCTAGAAGAAAACCTAGCAAATACCCTCTCAACATTGGCCTTAGCAAAGAATTTTTAGCTAAGTCCTCAAGAGCCAGTGCAACGAAATTGACAAGTGGGAGCTAATTAAACAAAGGAGCTTCTGCACAGCCAAAGAAACCATCAGCAGAATAAACAGACAACCTACAGAATGGGAGAAAATATTCACAAAATACACATCCAACAAAAGTCTAATATCCAGAATCTATAAGAAACTTAAATCAACAAGCAAAAAATAAATAACCCCATTTAAAAATGGACACAGAACATGAACAGACACTTCTCAAAAGACATACATATGGCCAACAAACATGAAAAAATGCTCATCATCACTAATTATCAGAGAAATGCAAATCAAAACCACAATGACATACCATCTCACACCAGTCAGAATGGCTATTATTTAAAAAGTCAAAAAACAACAGACGTGGCCGGGTGTGGTGGCTCACGCCTATAATCCCAGCATTTTGGGAGGCTGAGGCGGGTGGATCACCTGAGGTCAGGAGTTCAAGACCAGCCTGACCAACATGGAAAAACCCCGTCTCGCACTAAAAATACAAAATTAGCAGGCACAGTGGCACATGCCTGTAATCCCAGCTACTCGGGAGGCTGAGGCAGGAGAATCGCTTGAACCTGGGAGGTGGAGGTTGCAGTGGGCCAAGATCGTGCCATTGCACTCCAGCCTGGGCAACAAGAGCGCAACTCCGCCTCAAAAAAAAAAAAAAAAACAGATGTTGGCAAGGCTGTAGAGAAAAGGGGACACTTATACATTGTTGGTGGGGACATAAATTAGTTCAGCCATTGTGGAAAATAGTTTGGAGATTCCTCAAAGAACTCAGAACTACCATTCGGCCCAGCAATCCCATTACTGAGTATATACCCAAAGGAAAACAGATTATTATACCAAAAAGACACATGCACTCATATGTTCATTGCTGCACTATACACAATAGCAAAGACGTGGAATCAATTTAGGTGGCCATCAATAGTAGACTAGACAAAGAAAATGTGGTACATATACACCATGGAATACTAGATAGCCATAAAAAAGAATGGAATCATATCCTTTGCAGCAACATAGATGGAGCTGGAGGCCATAATCCTAAGCAAATAAACACAAGACCAGAAAATCAAATACTGCATGTCCTCACTTATACGTGAGAGCTAAACACTGAGCACACATGGACATAAACATGTGAACAATAGATATTGCAGACTACGGGGGGGTGAGGAGGAGGAGAGGTTGAAAAATTAATTATTGGGTACTATGCTCACTACCTGGATGCAATATACCCATGTAACAATCCTGTACATGTACCGTCTGTATCTAAAATAAAAGCTGAAATCTAAAAATAATAAGTCCATGTTTAGGTGCTTTAGTTTTTTGTTTTTTCCTCAAAAAAATTGAGTTTTTTCAATTCTCTTGACTAAATATACCTTTAAGAAAAACTATTGCACCAAATATTGGTGGAGTACCTTCTGATAGTCTTTCTTGACAATTTAAATTTTCCTGTGGAATTTCTCTAATTCATATATTTACAATCGGACCACATTTTAAGTCTGTTAGCTACCAGAATAACAGAATAAGAATACCTAATTAGATGAGATGAAATTAATACAATTCTGTGTACATAGAATAGAATACAACATATGCTTTTTAAAAGATGCCCTCAATTGGTCTCAATGACTACTGGCAATTAAAATTTGATTTTTAATTAAAATATTCTAATCCTTATATACCAAAATATTAGCAGTGATAATCTACAGATGGCAAGAATACATGTAGTTTTCAGATTTTCCTCTTATCACTTATTTTCTAAATGTTCTATAATACATACCAATTTTGTCATTAAAAATACAAAATGTCCCCAAAAAAACAAACAACTTAGCCACTTCTTTGAGTAACAATAGAACCAGCCATTCTAAATACATAGATGTCTCTAAAGAAAATGATGATTTAACATTAGCATTATAATATTCTATTTAGATAAACAGCTATAAAATTTTTAGACTAGCATATGTGAACCTATTAAAAATAACATTAGAAATACCCACGCAGGCTCACTGCATGCCAGCAGTGACCTTTAGAATCCTCACAAATAAAACACAATAATCTGCAACTCAGTCTCCAGCAATTTCAGAATTAAAGAATAGATCACCTCAGTACTACAGGCAGTAATCATTCAAAGAAACTGACTCAGCAGAACATAATGGTAAAAGCATTTCTGTTGCCCAAGTAGCTGACCGTCAGAAACACACAGTGTCTACCTCCATGCATAGTAACAGGGCATCCTCTGTTCTAGTCAGACATCCCTCCCACACCTCAACCTTGCCTCCCACAGGTTAGCACTCTTCCTTGTATCATCACTTAAAAACTTCTCTGAGATACTACTTTTTCATTCTTTCTCCCACTTCCTACTGTACCCAAAACGAGCACAAAAGGCCCTTTTGTTCCCCTCCCTTCATTTTCAAAGATTTGTTTTGCAACTGATCACCACAAGGAAAAGGGATGAAGTTACAAAGGAAAACACAGTCTTTAATTTTCAGTGGTAGCTGTTCCAGTTTTTATAAAAATTGTACCTGCCTTTTCATATTTTAACCCTTGTTGGACCTTGCACCAATTTCCCTATTTGAACCAGAGGGTTCTCTTCATCTATCAAGCAGAGATGGATGACATGGCCAGAGTTCAAGAGCTAAAACAAGCCCAGAATCTGCTGCCTTAGCTCCTTCACCATCCTTCCTGAGTCTCCTTGATGGTCCATGTAGGTTTCCCTCTCAACACCAAAGATATCAGTTTTACAGTATTAAAAATTACATGTTTAACACATATAATAAAAAGCAATTCCGACACAAAAAGAAAGAAATCACTCACTCAGAAAAGTAAAGATTTCGTTTAAATTAGATTGCTTTGGGGGTCTGACAGAACTTCTCATTAGGAAGCGCTGTTACGTCTTTTCCAGCAGCTTTTAAAAATTAGGTCTGGGTAACTAAACCAAAACCAAATATATTGAAAGGATCTATAGTTTTGATTCACTCCCTCCTCCCCCACTTCAAAACAGGGCTTGGGGACCTAAGATAAACAGATTAAAGAAGGAAGAAGAAACACTTCATATATCTTATAAAACATTATACCTTAATCTGCATAGAATATTCTATCTTAAGGTTACTGGAATCTTGCAATGTTACTGGGAAAAATTTCCCAAACCCAATGAGACATTAAAGGATAGTTCTCTAACCTGTATTTTGTTTAAGAAACAAAAGACCAGCTAAAGTTGTTCTCTACCGCCATACCTAAGTGACAATGCCATTTTAAGTTGGCATATATGCTAAATTAAAATAAGAAAATCTAATTTAGTAAAATTTACATCGTTTCCCTACCCTGTTATATAATTATATCCCCATAAGTATTCAGCCTAGAAAGAAAATCATAAAAATGCAAGAACAAGCTAGAAATCACAATTAGAATTTAGAAAGGCTCTAAGAATCTTGTTTTTAAAACATGTTTGTTTTCTACTTGCCAATCAACCACTGACACTATTTGTAAACTACTCCCCCCTTCAGCCTCATGGGGGATGCTTCTTATGAAGACTATTTTATTTCACAATTGCTACTCATATGTGCTTACTTCAAAAGAACCAAGATTTTGGTCAAAATGACATTATTAAAAATATGATAATCTCCATAGCTTTTAATATTTTCAGAAGAAAGTTCACACAAAAAGAAGCAACTTCAGTTGTTTTAGGTCAATTCATAATTCATCTAGCAACATGAGCTTTTAAAAGCCACTCAATTTTTAAACCTTAGTATCTTGTTTCTTCCTAAATTATTTCTACAGAGTAACTTCCATTATGCTACTGTTAAAAAAAAATCTTAGCTGTCTCTGCTACAATTTCCAAAAAAACACATCAGATGTATTAATATATTTAATTAGTAAAATGTTATTCACATTTTTGTATCATAAAAAAACTTTTAATAAATCTCAGGTAATACCAGTAAAAAAGCATTTACTGTCACATCCCTAAAAACTATTTTTTAAAAAATGACAACAGTGTCATTACAAACTGGTGATTTAAATGATCAAACTTGACTTACAATAGGACTATTCTTTTTAAAAAGAAAAAAAAACATTTTTATGGTAGAAATAACCAAAGGCTTACTTTTCCCTGTACCATAAAACAATTTTTAGAAGTGACTATTCAAATAATAGTGCCAACAATTTCAATAAGTAATATTTAGAACAAAACAGAGGACATCTTTGAGATAACCAAAATTACCGAGATATTTAGTATACAAAAGCTAACAAAGCAGACAATGAATTTCTTTAACCACACTTCAATTACAATATAAAAAAACTTTTGCAGTAATTCGTACCTTTATCAATATTCCAGAGAAACAAGTTGTTGCTGTTTTTACCGTTAAGGTGATTTAGGTTCCAAATGATAGGATAGCCTTGCTCCTTACCAGGAATAAAATTGCCTTTCTGGAGAAAGCAAGTCAACAAAGCCCATGTTGCCTGAGCAAGCCTGAATTTCTAGCAAATGGGGATGAAGCTATTTGCATTTGTTGGTTTAAGGGGGGAGGAGTGGGAGGAGGGGACTAAGGGGACTGCTAAAGTAATTCGTATATTGTCTGTGGACTGTAGAGACAGTGATCATCAGTCACCTGCTCAAACCTCCTTCACTCCTGCCTTCAGAAGAACCAAAGGTCCTTCCAAAGGTTACCCGGGGTCAGAGAAACTAGAAAGAAATGAGAAGACATGCAAAATCTAACTGCTAACCCACTGCATCTATAGACAAAGTTATCCCCACCTGATCACATGTCCTAAAAACCAAGACATTTTAATAGTCTCAAGAGAACTTGCTAAAATATATCATACAACAGAAGCAAGAAAGAAAAATCTCCAGACTCTGCTTGCAATTGTTGCAGTATTTAGCTGGAACACTTAAAACAGAAAAAGGAAATTTTTTTTCCAAGATGCTTCTTTGCATCATAATAGCCATCTCATTTGCACAAGCAAAACATTTGTTCCAAGCTGTTCATATGAAAAAGAAAATATCAGCTGTATTAAATTTCATAGCTTTTGAGTCAGTCATTTAGGTTGACAGCATTTCTAACCATTTCATTTATACCAAACAAGAGTACTGAATATACTCAGTATATTAGTCCATATTTTATTATAAACTACATTAAGGGCAAAAATCTACGTAAATACTCAAGTGTTTATTCAGAAGCCTTCTAGTGGGACTAACACACCTCGAACTTTTTACAACCTTAGTTATATGCACCTCTGCCACTTTTGACCTACTGTTACACAGAAAAATAAAAAGTGCTGCTTTATGTGGCTGTAACTGAACATACACAGTCCTACAAAAACAGGGAGAAAGTTGGTGAATACATGCATTAAAAGCTATAAAATCTTAATTTTAAAATTTAGAGAGATGAAGCACAAGTTACAGATACCACATACTCCTCTCTGCGCATACCTGAACAAAGAGCAAAAAGCAGCCACAATTTCTAGTTTTGTTTTCTTAAAAATGAGAATGGGATGGGAGTGTGGAAAGTAGACCTATTTCTTGTTTGCTGAACAAAAAAATTCCCAAAAGACAAACTTTGAAACAGTTAAGAAGGAAAACATTAGAGTTTTTCAAAATAGAAAAAAAAAACTACTAAAGTGACCAGTTACATTTTTTTAAAACATCAAACGTTTAGATTTTTAAAACCCACTCCCTTAAAGTTTTAATTAAGAAAAAACTAAACCACACACATACTTGCCCATAAAATAAACCAGCATTCAAAGAAGCAGCTAACACTGCCCAAAATAATTAATTACCTTTAAGGTCTATTTAAGTAAGTTGTGAAGGAAATGCCATGTTACCACTGAGTTCCAATTCTAAATAAAGCTGTATCTGTGAGATGTAGGGGGACAGAAGACCCAATAAACGGGAAGGTTTTATCAAAAAGAGTTAAGATGGTCACTGGCAGCCTACGATGCCAAAGGACAGGAATGCTTTGCTACACTTTCCTGATTCTAGGTTTTCCCCTCCTCCACGGTTCCCTTTGGACCAGAAGAATTCCTCTATACCCTTGGGATCCTGCAACCTTATACTCGGCATCTGGAAGTTTGCTGCTTGCCCTCCTTCCTAGTCTGTAAGGTCACAATTGCTTAAAGAATTAGGCTACAAGATGACACTTCAGACCAGTGTAGGTCATTAAGTTACAATCAATGATACATAAATCTGAAGCTAAAGTTAAAAACTTTGAACATCCCATAATAATGAAAGCAATTAATACTGGGGGCAAACTTTTAAAAGAATCTTTTACTTCTTAGTTTTTCAAAAGACTAATTTCTCCAAAGACTAATAATTTGTATTTATTTATTATGTTAATAAATAAAATTATAGAGACAAAATAGTAATGAGTTTACAAACTTTCCCCAAAAAAGACAAGAAAAATAAGAGATTTTAAAAAAATTTTTCACATAGCCTTCAAAACAAGGTAGTCCTAGTTCTGATTCTAAGTTGCTGGATTATCCTGTCTTGCTCTTTCATGTATTAAATATTTGGACTTTAATGAAATGACTGGCCATATACTCCTATAAGTATATATGCACTGGAGACATGGGAATGGCAATATGAGGGAAAAAACGGTAGCTTACAGGGCATTCCTAAATTTCTATTATTTTTTAGAGAGAACTAAAATATAAGATACAGAAGAGGGGGGAGCACGTTGAAAACGGAAAACGGCAAGATCAAATAAGTTTGCAAGAAGAAAATCTACAATGGGCCTCGTTTTCATTTGCGTGATTCAGCCTTCTGCAAGTTGCCAAGGACACAGCAGCACATATGTTCCTTTCCTCTTTTTCACCAGACACTCTGTACGGGTCTCGTGAGTAAATCTGATGAGCTGTGACAGCACCAACCAGAAGCTAAGGGCTTTGAAAGATTGTAGGGTCATAACAAGAGCTAAGAAAAGAAAACTTAAATAAACAAGAGGGAAAAAGCCACACAGCTTGCTGAATTTTCTATCCAAGTAAGTTTCTCAGTGATTTTTTTCTACCATTAATAAGCCTAATGCAAATTTTTGCTGTTTCTGATCACAGAAGTATTTACACAGTTTTTAAAAATTGTTAGAAAAAGTTTTAAAGTAAATTAAACTTTATTACTATCCTTGAAAAGGAAACCAGTAAAGCTTAAATAAACATTTATTTAATGTAAAGTCCTATCAAGGAGCATTCATAGATGCCTCGTTACATTTTTTAAGAAACTAGGCAACTGTATTTCTTTAGTTATTAATTATAAAGTTTTAAGTGCTACGACCTTAAAATATTTTGGAAAAGCTGTTATATAAAAGTTGAGAGCAAACATTTCCAGTGTTTTTAAGAAATATTCAAAGTATTGTCATTTGAATGATGTGTTTAAAAAAAAAGAATAGAAACATTCAAAATAAACAAAAATACAGATTTTTTTAATTTATGGAATTCAATTAATTTAATATTATGTGTGCCTTTTGAAATTATTTAACTCTAAGACATTTAAAGTATTTAACATTCAAGTCAATAAATAATATTTCTCTCAGTTAAAAAAACTTTAACATTAAAAAGCAAACTACTGGAAAAAAGTTTTTACTTTTATGACACAGCGTTGATATGTGCAATAAATGAAGCACTCAAATCAATAAGAAAAAACACGCTAAGAGAAAAATGGGAAAAGGTGATTAGCAGGCAAACTATAAAGGAATATTAATGACCAAAAAACATGGAAAGAAAAAGATTCAATCTCACTAGTAATCTAAGAAATGAAATTTTGGAAAACAATTGTTTTTTTAATTAGCAAAAAATAACAAGAAAAATAATTCCCAAGGTTGGCCAGAGTAGGAAAAAAACACTTTCACCTACTTCTGAGGTTGGCGGAAATGGGTATACCTTTCTGAAAGACCACTTGTCAGCCTTAAAAACATACCCCTTAACCTAGCAAAGTTATCTATGGAAACAGAGAGGTATACAAAGACATATACATAAAAGTATTCATCATATCATCTAGTTTAATAACAAATCTGGAAATATTCTAAATGCTTAACAAAATAGAGATTGGGTTAAGTAAATTATGGAACAGCCATACAATGGAATGCAGTGCAGACATAAATTTCAATTTATAGAGATATTTTACATGGGAATACAGTCACAACAGATTATGAAAAAAAATAGGCAAGAAAGCAGAATATACACAATAACCCCTTTTCAAACGAAAATTGTCATTTTATTTACTTTAAAGCACAAATCCTATATACAAATATATTCTTGTTTTTTTTAAAAAAAAGCCACAGATAAAAGCAAAAGTCCCCATTACCACTTCCCTTACCATTCAACATCCTTCGCAGAAATAATCAGTATTATAGATCTGATATATAGCCTTCCAGATTTTTTTTACATATTTACACACATATTTCTAAAGGTACATATAGAAATACATATTTATTTTGTTTTGACATAACAGTATTACACTGTATATATTTGAGGGGACTTACTTTTTTCACTTAATATATCTTAGAGAGCTTTCCTTCTTAGTATAACTAGAAACACTCTCATTCTAAATTATTCTATAATTATTCTAAAGAACAACTATACCATAACTTATTTCAACATTTCTCCACTGATTTGACCATGTGTGTGTTTTCTAAAGTTATATGTGTAAGAGAAAAGAAAAGTAGTATGAAGCCAAATACCACACTGCTTGCGATAGTTGTATCCAAAAGCTTTTCCCAATATTTTGCTTTGAGCATTTACTTTTTCTATTAGAAGAAAATTGTTATGTTAAAAATTAGAATGAAAAATAATTAGAAAAATATTTTGCTTTCAAGAATATACAAATTATATCTAAAAAACTGTACTTTTATTTTATAGCTGACATCTAAATAAATGGTGTATTGCCTAAATGTTTTCTCTACTCAAAAAGAGTATTTCACTGTACTAACCACTATTAACCTATCCATAATTAATAAGCGATGCCTGAAAAAAAGCAAAATGAATCACACATGCATTATCTTTGGGTGAACGCCAACTACAAGTTTTTAACCATACTTTCCCCAGAATCCCAAAGTTCTTCTGGGGACTTCTGGGAATATTTATAAAACAGATTGTGGCAGCAGTGGGCATACATTTGTTTCTACTCTTAACTGCTTCCAAATTCTACTTTAACATGGTTTGGACTATTTGTACTCAATATTCAAAAGGCTATCAAGAAAACTGCTTTATAACCTTGAATTACTTGTGCCATCTGAAATCCTTAATTTCTCACAATGAAAGTAAACAGTGTATTTGTATATGTGTGGTTTTGCCAAGACATCAAGATTCAACAAAACCTACAAACAGAACTACCATGGTGACACTGTAAAACACCAAAGATGACATGAAAAGATTAAAGTAGCTAGATTTTAAAATGACAGATTACAGTCAGAGGAGAAATACTGACAGCTGTATTCTCAACAGCAATAATGGAAACCAAAAGTCAAAAGAATGTCTTCATTGTACTGAAAGAGAATGGCTGCCAACCTGGTATTTTACCATCACAGAAAGTGTCTTTCGAGGACAAAGCTGAAATAATGACATATTCAAATGAACATAAACCAAGACAGAATGCCACTAGCAGACCTTCAGTAAAGGAAATTCTGAAGGATCTACCTCAGAAAGAAGAAAAGTAATCCCAGATGAAAGGTCTGAGATGTCAAGAATAAAAAGCAAAGAACATGCTAAATATGTGGGTAAATCTCAACAAACATTGACTATGTAAGTAATAATAGTAATAGTCCATGAGATTTTTTAAAGATACAATAGGTAAATCACTTCAAGATGGCTGACTGGAGGCTTCCAATATTCCTCTTCTCCACAAAGAAGAACCAAAATATTAAGTATATAATCTTCAAACTGAGCATCTAAGAAGGAACACTGGAATCTAAGAAGTAAGAGGAAACACCCGAGGCATGAAAAGAGAGGAACGCAAGACAGCCAGTTTGGCCAAGACTGGCTGAGAGCCCGAAGAGGCTCTTCAGTGAGGGGAAAGGGTAAGTGAGAGATCCACAGTGGTCAATATTCCCACCATGGACTCCGCCAGCCCTAGCCACAGAAAAACCCATCACAGGCCCTGAGAACAGCTTAAGGACCTGCCTAGAGATCATGCAACATCATTGCTCTAGAAAGTGAGCCCACGTCCCAAGTCCTAAGCAACTGTAGCACAGCGCCATTCTGAGACTTCAGCCCCCACCACACTGCATCCTGCCCTGAAGCCCAACAACCCCTACATCTCCACATCCCTAGAGCCCCACCAACATCTCCCAACATCCACCCAGAGGGCTGCAGTGGCACAACAACCATTAGACCCAGCGAAGTGGCAAGATCCCCAGCACTCTACCATACACAGTGTCCTGCACCCTGGGGAACAAATGGTGCAGCACATTGGAGAGGCTGCCCACCCCGATCCAGGACAAAGGGAGCCAAAGCACGTGCTCCATAGAGTCTAAGAACCACCTACCTGGGAGGACTACTACTGACAGCAACCTTAATCCCTCCACAGTAGCAGGGCTCCTTCACACAGACTCTGAGAACAGACTCTAACACTGCCCACAGCAGCTGCCACTGGGGGCCTAAGTGTGCACCACTAGCAATTACCCCCCACCCCCAGAAGCAAGGCCACCTCTGCGTACTTGCACACTGGTTTTCCCTGCTGCTACCACAGCCGCCACCACCAGGGGCTAAAGCACATGCCCCCACCAGGGCCTGAGAACTGCCTGTCTGTGGCTGCAGCTCTCCCAAGCAGCAGTACGGAGGCACACTTGCATACACACTTGCTCTGCCTGCTCACCACTGCTGCTGCCACCCAAGCACTGCACCAGGGGTCCAGGGTATTGCCCCACCCTGCCCACCACAGCCAGTGCCCAAATACACCACCAGGGACCTGAGGACAGGCATGGCTAGCTGGCACTGCTCTCTCATTGCCCAAGTATACCTCCCGGGAGCTTGGAGACTGCCCCGCCCTGACCATCACTGCTATGCACTCCTCCTGGAGGCCTGAAGATGGGCCCAGCCAGCCTGCCGCTGTCATCTCAGCCAGCACCCACTGGCACATACCCGTTGGGGGCCTGAGGACTGGCCCACCCAGCCTGTTGCAGGCACTGTTAACATGAACACATGCTGCTTTGGGGCCCAAAAGTCGTCCTATCACCATTAGCGCCATCACCTACACCACACACACCACCCAGAGAACCAAGGACCTACCCGCCCACCCAGCCCACCACTGCCACTGCTGATATCCTATCAAGCCACCTGCAAGCCCAAATTCAGCCAGTTTGGACCAGATGACACCGGTGTCCATATACACTGACCATGGGCCCAAGAACAGGCACGCTCGGCCCTCTACTGCCATCGCTGGGGCCTGAGGACTGGCCCACCTGGCGTCCTCATCCACAGCAAAACCTCACCACAGCCTCAAACAACAACTGCAGCCTAAGCCATTGAGGAAATTACAAACACTAATGACACTGTTTACAGCCAAATAACTCATAGAGAAACTTCACTACTTCATGCACTCAGAATCAAAGCTAAAGTATCCTATCCAACCAACACATAAATACATCTTCAAAAAAAAGATTTCCCCTATAAAAGCCAGTCCAAAAAATTAGAAGCGGCAACTATTATGCTAGATGTGCAGACATCAATGTAAAGACCCAAGAAATATGAAAAAAGAAGGAAATGTGACACCTCCAAAGGAACACGATAATTTTCCAGCAACAGATTCCAATGAAAAAGAAATAGTTGAAAAAGAATTCAAAATAATGATATTAAAGAAGCTCGGTGAGATACAAGAGAACACAGATAAATAATACAAAGAAATGAGAAAAACAATTCAGGTTGTGAATGAGAAATTCACCAGAGAAATAGATAGCATAAAAAGAACCAAAGAGAAACCCTAGAAATGAAGAATTCAATGCATTAAATAAAAAATTCCTTTGAGAGCTTCACAATAGATTAGAGCAAGCAGAAGAAAGAAGCTCAGAACTGGAAGATAGGTCCTTTGAAATAGCCCCCATCAGACAAAAAAAAAAGAATAAAGAAAGCCTACATGACATATGAGACACCATAAAGCAAACAAATATACAAATTTTGGATGTTTCAAAAGATGAAAAGAAGGCCAAAGGCAGAGAAACCTATTTAGCAAAATAGCTGAAAACTACCCAAACGAAAAGAGACATCACAACAAAAGCTACAGAAATACAAAAGATCATCAGAGACTATTATGAACAACTATACACTAACAAATTGGAAACCCTAGAGGAAATGCATAAATTTCTGGACACATAGAACCTATCGAGACTGAATAAGGAAGAAATAGAAAACCTTGACAGACCAATTGACAAGCAATGAGACTGAATCAGTAATAAAAAGTCTCCCAACATCTTTGGGATGCTGGGATCAGATGACTTCACTGCTAAATTCTACCAAACTTATAAAGAAGAACACCAATTCTCCTCAAACTATTTCAAAAAATTGAAGAGGTGAGAATTCTCCTTAACTCATTCTACAAGGCCAGCATTACCCTAATACCAAAACCAGACAAGGACACAAGGAAAAAAAAAGAAAACTACAGGTCAATTTCCCTACGAACATAGATGCAAAAATCCTCAACAAAACACTAGTAAACTGAATCCAAACATAATACACCAAGATCAAGTAGGATTTGTCCCAAGGATGCAACGATAAGTTCAACATACACAAATAAATGTGATACATCATATCAACAGTATGAAGGACAAAAACCATACATCTCAACAGATGCAGAAAAAGCATTTGATAAAATCTAACGTCCTTCATGATTAAAAACTCTCAACAAACTAGGCACAGAAGGAACACTACTCAACATAATAAAGGCTACATATGACAAAACCACAGCTAACATCATTCTGAATAAAAGCTGAAAGCCTTTCCTCTAAGAACTGCAACAAGTCAAGAATGCCCACTTTCAGCACTCCTATTCAACATAGTATTGGAAGTCCTAGCCAGAGCAATTAGGCAAGAGAGATAAAAGGAATCTAAATGGAAAAAAGGAAGGCAAATTGTGCCTCGTGGGCTGGCTTTGGCTCAAGTGGTTACTTCCTCACACGACTTTCTAACCACTAAATTGTCCCTCTTTGCAGGTGACATGATCTTGTATTTAGAAAAACCTAAGGACTCCACCAAAAAATTCTTAGATCTAATAAACAAATTCAGTACAGTTGCAAGATACAAAATCAACACACAAAAATCAGTAGTGTTTCTATACACCAATAATGAAATAGCTGTAAAAGAAATTAAGAAAATTCCACTTATAATAACCACATAAGAAATAAAACACTGGGTGTGGTGGCTCACACCTGTAATCCCAACACTTTGGGAGGCTGAGGCAGGAGGATCACTTGAGTCCAGGAGCCTGGGCAACACAGTGAGACCCTGTCTCTACAAAAAAAAACACAAAAAACAAAACAAAACAAAAAACATTTTTTTAATTAGCTGGGCATGGTGACACATGCCTGTAGTCCCAGCTACTCAGAAGGCTGAGGTGGGAGGATTGTTTGAGCCCAGGAGGTGGAAGCTGTATTGAGCCGTGATCATGCCACTGCACTCCACCCTGGGTGACAGAGCAAGAACCAGTCTCAAAAAAAAGAGAGAAGAAGAAGAAAGAAAACACTTAGGAAGAAATTTTACCAAGGAGGTGAAAGATCTCTACAAGAAAAACTACAAAACGCTGATGAAAAAAACTAATGAGGACATGAACAAATGGAAAGACATCCCATGCTTATGGATCAGAAGAATTAATATTGTTAAAATGAACACACTACCCAAAACAAGCTACAGATTCAATGCAATCTTTATCAAAATACCAATGTCACTCTTCACAGAAATAGAAAAAACAATCCTAAATTTTATATGAAACCAAAAAGAGCCCATATAGCCAAAGTAATCCTGAGCAAAAAAAAGAGAGCAGTATCACACCACCTGACTTCAAAATACATTGCAAGGCTATAGTAACCAAAACAGCATGGTATTAATATAAAAACAAATACATTGACCTATAAAACAGAAAACCCAGAAATAAGCCCATCTATTTACAGCTAACTGATTTTTGACAAAGGCGCCAAGAACGTACATTGGGACACGGACACCGTTTTCAATAAACAGTGCTAGGAAAACTGGATATCCATATGTAAAAGAATGAAACTAGGCCAGGCGTGGTGGCTCATGCCTGTAACCCCAGCACTTTGGGAGGCCAAGGCAGGCAGATCACCTGAGGTCAGGAGTTCGAGACCAGACTGGCCAACATGGGGAAACCCCGTCTCTAACTGATGGGTAACCCAGCTGCTCGGGAGGCTGAGGTAGAAGAACTGCTTGAACCCAGGAGGCAGAGGTTGCAGTGCACCAAGATTGCACTGCACTCCAGCCTAGGTGACAGAGTGAGACTGTGTCTCACAAAAAAGAAAAAAAAAAAGAAACTAGTCCCCTAGACCCCTCTCTCTCACCATATACAAAAAACAACTCAAAATGCATTAAAGACTTAAACATAAGGCCCGAAACTATAAAACTATGAAACTACTAGAAGGAAACATAGGAGAAACAGTTCAGCACATTGGTCTAAGCAAAGATTTTATGGCTAAGACCTCAAAAGCACAGGCCACAAAAACAAAAACAGACAAGTGGGACTACATAAAACTAAAAAGCTTATGCACTGCAAAGGAAACAATCAACAGAGTGGAGACAACCCTTGAATAGGAGAAAATATTTGTAAACTATTTATCCCACAAGGGACTAATAACCAGAATATACAAGGAACTCAACAGCAAGAAAAAACTAATAATCCCTTAATTAAAAAGTGGACAAAGGGGCTGGGCAAGGTGGCTCACGCCTGTATTCCCAGCACTTTGGGAGGCCAAGGTGGGCGGATCACGAGGTCAGGAGATCGAGACCATACTGGCTAATACGGTGAAATCCCATCTCTACTAAAAATAAAAAAAAAAAAATTAGCCAGGCATAGTGGCACACGCCTGTAGTACCAACTACTCGAGAGGCTGAGGCAGGAGAACTGCTTGAACCTGGGAGGCAGAGGTTGCAGTGAGCTGAGATCGCGCCACTGCACTCCAGCCTGGGCAACTGAGTGAGACTCCGTCTCAAAAAAAAAAAAAGTGGACAAAGGATCTGAATAGACACTTCTCAAAACAATACATACAAATGGCCAACAAGTATATGAAAAAATGCTCAACATCACTAATCATCAGAGAAATGGAAATCAAAACCACAATGAGTTATCATCTTACTCCAGTTAGAATGGCTACTATTAAAAAGACAAAAAAAAAGATGCTGGCTAGGATGCAGAGAAAAGGGAACTCTTTTTTTTTTTTTTTTAAATAGAGACAAGGTCTCGCTTTGTTGCCCAGGCTGTAGTGCAGTGACATGAATATAGCTCACTGGGATCTCTTAGCCCCAGGGCTCAAGCAATCCTTCCACCTCAGCCTCCCCAGCAGCTAGGACTATAGGCACGTATCACCATGCCCATTTTACCTTTTTATTTTTTTGTAGAGACAGAGTCTCACTGTGTTGCCCAGGCTGGTCTCAAACTCCTGGCTTCAAGCAATCCTCCCACCTCGGCCTCCCAAAGTGTAGAGATTATAGGGTAAGCCACTATGCCTGGCCAGAAAAGGGAACTCTTATACACTGTTGGTGGGAATGTAAATTAGTATAGCCATTATGAAAAACAGTATGGCAACTTCTTGGCCAGGCGTGGTGGCTCACGCTTGTAATCCCAGCACTTTGGGAGACCGAGGCAGGCAGATCACTTGAGACTAGGAGGTCGAGACCAGCCTGGGTAACATGGTGAAACCCGGTCTCTACTAAAAATACAAAAATTAGCCAGGTGTGATGGTGCGCACCTGTAGTCCCAGCTACTTGGGGAGCTGAGACAGGAGGATCACTTGAGCCCAGGAAGTCAAGGCTTTACTGAGCCAAGATCACACCACTGCACTCCAGCCTGGGTGACAAAGTGAGACCCTGTCTCAAAAAAAAAAAAAGTTTGAGCCTTAGTCAGAAAAAGATAACAAAAACATCATCCACACAAAATCTGGTCATCAGATAAAGCAGACGTTAAGGTTAAAAAAAAAAAGATCGGCCAGGCATGGTAGCTCACACCTGTAATCCCAGCACTTTGGGAGGCCAAGGCAGGTGGATCACCTGAGGTCAGGAGTTCAAGACCAGCCTGGCCAACATGGCGAAACCCTGTCTCTAATAAAAATACAAAAATTAGCCGGGTGTTGTGGCAGACGCCTATAATCCCAGCTACTCAGAAGGCTGAGGCAGGAAAATCAATTGAACCCAGGAGACAGAGGTTGTAGTGATCCAAGTTCACACCACTGCACTCCAGCCTGGGCAATGGAGCAAGACTCCGTTTCAAAAAAAAAAAAAGAAAAAAAAAATCATTAGGTTGGTTTCCCCAGCAAAAGGAGAAAAACCATAAATAAATCAGGTTACCGTGGAAGGTTCAGTTCACCAGGAAATTATAATAATTCAAAACTGGTACACACTTGATAATACAGCCACAAAATAGATAAAGCAGAAAGCAAACACTGAAAGAAATACAAGAAAAAACAAATCCATAATTATATGAAGTCTGTAAGGGAAAAAAAATCTGAATAACAGTAGATTTCTCATCAGAAACCACAGAAGCCAGATGGAAGTTGCAGAATACTTTTCAAGTGTGAAAAGAAAAGAATTATTGGCCAGGCAAGGTGGCTCACACCTGTAATCCTAGCACGTTGGGAGGCCGAGGCAGGTGGTTCACCTAAGGTCAGGAGTTCGAGACCAGCCTGACCAATATGGTGAAACCCCGTCTTTACTAAAATTACAAAAATTAACTGAGCGTGATGGTGGGCACCTGTAGTCCTAGCTACTCAGGAGGCTGAGGCAGGAGAATGACTTGAACCCAGGAGGCAGAGGTTGCACTGAGCCAAGATCACACCACTGCTCTCCAGGCTGGGTGACAGAGCGAGACTCCGTCTCAGGAAAAAAAAAAATCAAAAAAGAAAAAAATGAAAGGAATTATCAACCTAGAATTCCATGTCCAGCAACTATCCTTCAAGAATGAAGAGGAGGGCTAGGTGTGGTGGCTCATGCCTATAATCCCAACACTTTGAGAGGCTGAAGAGGGAGAATCACTTGAGTCCAATAGTTCAAGACCAGCCCGGACAATACAGTTAGACCCCGTCTCTACCAAAAATTTAAAAAATTAGCCTGGGATGGTAACACGTGCCTGTAGTCCCAGCTACTGGCGAGGCTGAGGCAAGAGGATCAATTGCTTGCACCTGGAGAGTTGAAGCTGCAGTGAGCCATGATTGCACCACTGCACTCCAGCCTGGGTGTCACGGCGAAACTCTGTCTCCAAAAAACAGAGAATTTGTTGCCACCCAACCCTAAAAGAATGGTTAAAAGAAGTTCTCTAAACAGGAAGAAAATGATAAAATAAGGAAATCTTGAAAATCAGGAATTAAGAACAATTTAAAGGGTAAAAATGTAAATAAATACAACAGACTTTCCTTCTCTTGAGTTTTCTAAGTTATGTTTGATGGTGGAAGCAAAAATTATAATACTAATGTGGTTCTCAATATTGAAGACAATTATATATAATAGAGGGTAAAGGGACATAAAGTGAGGTAAGATTTCTAAAGTTCACTCAAAGTGAATGTCAACTGGGGTAAAGACAGAGGAAGCAGATCTCACAAAGTATTGGGAAACCACTTTTTCTTTTTCTTTTTTTTTTCTTTTTAACACTGTACATTTCCTATTTACTCCTTGACTCTCTAAATCTAGCTTTTTAAAGAAGCCGAGTAACCACAGTTTTACTAAGACCGCTAACGAGTTCTCCTCTTGCTTGACTTTTACACTGCCTTTGATAATGTTGAGTACTTTCTCCTTAAAATCTTTTCTCTCCTGTTGCCATGGAAGCCAACCTAGTGATCTCCTACATTTACGTATACTTTTTTCCAGTGTCCTAGATTGACTTCTACTACCTATTCCTTATTTTTGTGCTTCTCAAAGTTCAGGCTTCAAACCATGTGCACTGGAAACAACTGAGCCCCACTTCGAACCCACGGATTCAAACCCCTGGATGTGAGTTCCCGAGCACTCCCTTTTAACAAGCTCCCCCAGGCAATTCAAGAGTGATAATTACTGCTTTAAATGTCGACCCACAAGGTTCTGTCCTGGTCCTTTTCTACCTCTACTTGTTATACACACACAATTAAAACACACTCAAAACTTCCACCACTTGCTGCTATCAACAAAATAAGTAAACTGCTCACCCTCCCATCCCAAGCACCTATAATCCCACCTGGCACAAAGAATATTTATCTGAGGGAACATGATGACTCTCAAACCTGCTTTGTCAACAAGACCTATCTTTTTTAGGCTCCAGATCTGCATGTGCAGCTATCCAATGAACATGTGCACCTGGATGTCCCAAAGTTACCCTGAATCAGTTAGGATTGAGTTCAGCTAGCAGTAATAGAAAAACCTAAAAGAACAGTGACTTATATAACATAGAAGTTTATTTCTCACAATTGTCTGAAAACAGATAATATGGGCTAGTATGAAAGCTCTGCTCCACCAAGTTCTCAGGGACTCTGGCTCCTGGCTGCTTTCCACCCACTCCACAGTGCCTAGCATATGGTCCCCATCTCATGCTCCAAGATGGAGCTCCAGTCAAAACCACATTCGTAACAGCAGGATAAAAGCAGAAAGAAGGAAAAGGAAAGGACATGCTCATCTCTCTATAATATACTTTCTGGAGAAAGTACACACTATGTGTACTTTTATTCCATCAATCAGGACTTAGTCTCGTGGCCATACCATACTGCTAGGAGTCTGTATGTTAGGCAGCCAATTGTAATACTAAGAAAAAAAGAGAGAAGAAATACTGGAGGACAACAGCATTCTCAGCCACACGTTCCAAACCCACTGTGTTCCAAAGTGAACTCGTCAGTTTTTAGGATAAACTGGAATTTTGCACTTTTGTTATGTATCCATCCTACTTTTATCTCCATTCTGCCTGGCAAACTCCTGCTTCTCATCTAATACTCACATCATGCACCTTTTGTGATGCTTTCCTTTATGCAACCACCTTTCCCTCCAGCCAAGACTGGAAGACTTTGGGCCACCTCCACATCTAGCATACATCTCTATTTTTGCATTGCTAATACTATATCTTCTTTTTACAAATCTATGCCTCCATGCATCCCTCTTCCATTAGAAGGTAAACTTCTTGAGGGTAGAGACTATGTTTTATTTATCTTAATATCATATACACACAGATCTGTATCATACTAAATTTTACAAAATCAACCATTAATATCTACTTCCTAGACTTATGGAAGCAGGAAACTGGTTAAAGATGTACCTAATAAAAAGGACACTGTGGTATACAGTACTGTAGTATAATGGAATGTGTTAAAGTCCCGAATTACAGATGATTCTAACAGCCATTGCAAGAATAATATGGCTATAAGCTCTTACCTAGACATTATACTCCTCTGCACACTTTGCGTACTTATTTTCTACATCTATCTTTTTTTCTCATAAAAATAAATATACTTAGTAGCGTTAGTTTTTTAAGTATGTTTATATTCAATCCCACTAAGTTGATTTTTCATTTATTTATTTTTTTGAGACGGAGTTTTGTTCTCGTTGCCCAGGCAGGAGTGCAGTGGCGCGATCTCAGCTCACTGCAACCTCCACCCTCTAGGTTCAAGCTATTCTCCTGCCTCAGCCTCCTGAGTAGCTAGGATTCCAGGCACACGCCACCGCGCCCGGCTAATTGAATCCCACTAAGTTTATATTAACTTAGGCCAATGATTGGGTTCTATGCTTAGACCCCACTTAAGCCTCAGCAGTTACTCCATCATAGAAGACCAGGTTAGGCATATCTAAGCCCTTGAAAGAGTCACCAAGGAACATCAACATGTTGACAGCTTTTCTCTGAAAGAAAATATCTAGAAGATCATAGTACTCAGCTTAGGAAACACCGTTACAACTAATAAACATTACCATGACTAAAATAGCATACTAATTTATGATGGCTTCCACAGAGTCAAAAATTTTCACTGTAGATTTAACTTAAGGCTATCAAAGTGTCAATTTAACTTAAAAACAGGACAAAAATCATGTAAGACATGTTTATAACAGTTGTTAAGCCCAGTCTTTTAAAAAATATCTTTGAGATATGAACAATGGAATACCATGTATAATTTTTAATTGAATATCAACTATAAAAGGAGCTGAGTACATACCACCCCCCTTGCTTATAGCAACAAGACCTCAATGGTCCAAATATGACTTTTAGCTTTGTCCATAATCTCCAGTGTGGACTGGAACTCAGACTATGATGCTGCAGTGACCTCAAGAATTCTAATCATAGCTTTCCTTTACCTCCAGTTCTCTAGCCTGGACAGCGCTTTGTTCTGTCTGCCACCAGTTGGGGCATGTACCACCTGGTACCACCAACGCTAATCACAATGCCACCAATGACAGTTACATCTAACTTCAATAAAGTAGAAGAAAAAGTAGTTAATTATTATCTTACCACTAGTTCCTGGGGGTTGTAATACATCTCCTGTCAGGCGACACCACCCAGCTGGGAAAATATCTCGAGAATCATACTTGCACCAGTAATCAAAAGCTCCACTCCAGCCATCAAATGTGATATGAACTTCATCCCCTTTAACATCTCCAATGGTCGCAGGACAGATGAGATACGGGTTCTTTTTGTCAATAGCTTCCAGTTTCATCCCCACTTTAAAATTATTTAGTGGGGGCTTTGGTGGTTCCTATCAAAACATTAAAAAAAAAAAAGATTTCATTGTTAAGATGTATTAAGACTCATGTGCTCGAAGTGAAAAGTTGCGTATTCTCTCACAACCCTTAGCAACCAAAAATTAAGCTCCATGTTTAATTATCAATTAATACAGGAAGACAACAGTTCTCACAGATCTGAAACTCTGCTCTCCAACATCTCATATTTTCTCTGGAGCAGAGTCAAGAACCTGGAAAGAAACAAAACCAGCCGGGTTCATTCATTCAAGAAATATGTATTATCTACTATGTACCAGGAATTTAAGATTCATTGATGAACAAATATATCAAACATCCCTGCTCTGGTGGAGCTTACATTCTAATGCTGGTGATAGTAGTGGTTGCGGACAGGGAAAAGCAATCAACAAGAAATTTTACAACAGGCAGTCAAACAAACCTAACAAATATGTAAATTGGTGTGTCAAAAAGTGGTAAGTCCAAAGAAAAGAAACGACATCAGATAATATCCTAAAAGAAACTCAAAGTATAAGAATTCTAAAGAAAATGAATAACTTAAAATTTAAAAAAAAAAAAGAAACTGTAAGTATAAAATACAGACACAAGAACATGAAAGTCATATAGTATGGGGTCATTTATAATACCCAATCCAGAAATCAACATTTTAAAAGTATTAGTCACAAAAAGGTTAAAGCACGTAAATGTTAACAGGATTGCTAAAAAGCCCAAGTGTTATGTTAAAAGCAACATCTTTTCTTTCAATCTGCTTTTCATCCTACTAAATGGCACCATCACAGCAACCCAGTCACCTAAGCCAAAAGACTGGAAATAGTAATCCTATTCTACTGACACTTGTTCAAATTAAAAGAGAAAAGAAAAGAATTTAAAAAAAAGTAGTCCTGGACTGGTGATTTTCTGCCCTAATGAACATTACAATCACCTGTGACCACACCACCAGAGCTAATAATTGATCTATGGTGGGTCCTGGGAAGCAGCAATATTTTAATTATCAGGGAAATTCTAAGGTGCACTTGAGGTTGAGAACCACTACCCTAGATTCATCCCTTTCACTTACCCATAATTCAATTAAAAACCACAACCTCCCAATCAGAGCTGGATTTTAAACCTAGGCAGTCTGTCTCGGAGTCACCTCCTTGGAGCACCCTACCCCAGCATCTGCCTGGACAACTCCAATTCACCCAGTTTAAAGCCCAGTTCTCCTAGCTTCCTTGAATGCTTCCCTGACCAACCCCTGCCCACTCCTAGGCCCAGTTCCAACTGAGCCACTCTCATCTTCAATTGTAGTATCACTATAGAAATGTGTTCATTCCTCTATGAGACTAAGAGATTATTAAAAACAGCTATTCATATTATTATTTCCAGCACAATAACCAAAAGCAAGCAATTTTTTAAATGAGAGAACCAAGGAATCACCCCAAAACAGTAAATAAGCTCTCAACTAATTCTCTCATCAATTTAAAAAATATATCTGGTAGGTTGGTTTCTTTTTCAAATGCCCCCCTTAAAACCCATCTCATCACCCTGTATTTTTCTATTGTTACTCTTTACACCCTTACGATCTGGAAGCTCCTTAATTATTAGCTTCCAAAGTCCTTTTAATTACATATTCTTTTTTTAATTTTTATTTTTATAGAGATGAGGGCCTCGCTATGTTGGCCGGGCTGGTCTCGAACTCCTGGCCTAAAGTAATCCTCCCACCTCAGCCTCTCAAACTGCTGGGATTACAGGTGTGAGCTACCATGCCAGGCTGAATTACATATCTTAATTTGATTCTTAAAAACCACCCTGGGCTCAAACCTGTAATCCCTAATTCAGCACTTTGGGAGGCCAAGGCAGGTGGATTGCTTGAGCTCAGGAGTTTGACAACAGCCTGGGCAACAAGACGAAACCTCGTCTCTGCAAAAAATACAAAAATTAGCTGGGCATGGTGGCAGCACACCTGTAGTCCCAGCTACTTAGTGGGCTGGGGCAGGAGAATCACTTGAGCCCCGGAAGTCATCCAGGCCGCGGCGAGCCGTGTTCTTGCCACTGCACTCCAGCCTGGGCAACAGAGTGAGACTCTGCCTCAAAAAAAAAAAATCCACCCTGAAAGCTGGCAAGTCAAAAGGTAGATGATTAAAGATCAAAGTATTTGATAAATAGCTGGTAAGTAAGAAGCAGTGTTACATGAAAGGGCTAAAGGTTAACTGCCTGTTACTATGTATGAGAAGAAAATAGTGGGGAGGTAAGCTGCATTTAACAAAGAATAAACACGGCAGTTGACAAGTTTGTGCTAGATGCTCACAGAATGCAGAAAACATTCAAGGCACACATAAGGATCCCAGGACCTTACACTGTCTTATAACAGACTGAGACTTTCTGTAGCAAAGCAAACTAAGTTCAAATGGCAATGTATATTTTCTGCAACAAAACAATTAAAAAACTGGAATAAGCAATGCAATAGAACTAATTTTAAGATTCAAATATGTAACCTAGGCCAGGCATGGTGGCTCATGCCTGTAATCCCAGCACTTTGGAATGCCGAGGTGGGCAGATCATTTGAGCCCAGGAGTTAGAGACCACCTGGGCAACTTAGCAAAACCCTATCTCTAAAAAAGTATAAAAATTGGCTCACACCTGTAATCCCAGAACTTTGGGAGGCTGAGGTGGGTGGATCATGAGGTCAGGAGGTTGAGACCAGCCTAACCAACATGGTGGAACCCCGTCTCTACTAAAAATACAAAAATTAGCCAGGTGTGGTGGTGCATGCCTGTAATCCCAGCTACTCAGTAGGCTGAGGCAGGAGAATCGCTTGAATCCAGGAGGCGGAGGTTGCGGTGAGCCAAGATCATGCCATTGCACTCCAGCCTGGGTGACAGATCAAGACTCGTCTCAAAAGAAAAAAAAAAAATTAGCTGGGTGTGGTGGTGCATGCCTGTAGTCCCAGCTACTCAGGGGGCTGAGGCAGGAGGATCTGCTTGAGCCTGGGAGGTGGAGGTTGGAGTGAGCCAAGATGGTGCCACTGCACTCCAGCCTGGGCAACGGAGTGAGATGCTATCTCAAAAAAAAAAAAACAAAAAAAAACAGGAAGGAAGGAAGGGAGGAAGGGAGGGAGGAAGGAAGGGAGGGAGGGAAGGACAGGGAGGGAGGAAAGGACAGGGAGGGAGGGAGGGAGGGAGGGAAGGACAACCTACAGAAAGGGAGAAAGAAAATACTGGCAAACTATCCATCACAAGAGATTAATAACTAGAATATATAGGGAACTCAAACAACTCAATAGCAAAAAACAAATAACCTGATTTTAAAATGGGCAAAAGACCTGAATAGACATTTCTCAAAAGAAGACACAGAAATGGCCAAGAGATGCAAATCAAAACCACAATGAGATGCCATCTCACCCCGGTTAGAATGACTATTATCAAAAAGACCAAAAAAATAACAAATGTTGGTGAGAAAGCATAGAGAAAAAAATAAAACTACCAAATGACCCAGCAATCCCACTTCTGGGGGTACATAACCAAAAGAAAGGAAATCAGTATATTGAAGAGATATCTGCACTCCCATGTTTACTGCAACACTATTCACAATAGCCAGATATGGAATCAAAAGTGTCCATCCATGAACAGATACTTCTCAAAAGAAGACATACAAGTGGCTAACAAGCGTATGAAAAAAATGCTCAGTATCACTAATCATTAGAGAAATGCAAATCAAAACCACAATGAGATGGCCTGGTGCAGTGGCTCATGCCTGTAATCCCAGCACTTTGGGAGGCTGAGGTGGGTGGATATCCTGAGGTCAGGAGTTCAAGACCAGCCTGGTCAACATGGCAAAACCCTGTCTCTACGAATAATACAAAAAATTTGCCAGGCATGGTGGCTAGTCCCAGCTACTTGAGAGGCTGAGGCATGAGAATCTCTTGAACCCGGGAGACAGAGGATGCAGTGAGCCGAGATTGGGCCACTGCACTTCAGCCTTGGAGACAGAATGAGACTCTGTCTCAAAAAAAAAAAAAAAAAACCCACAATGAGATACCATCTCACACCAGTCAGAATGGCCATTATTAAAAAGTCAAAAAACAGCAGATCCTGGTGAGGTTGCAGAGAAAAGAAAATACTTATACACTACTGGTTGGAATGTAAATTAGTTCAGCCACTGAGGAAGGCAGTTTGGAGATTTCTCAAAGAACTTATAACAGAATTACCATTCGACCCAGCAATCCCATTACTGGGTATATACCCAAAGGAAAATGAATTGTTCTACCATAGACACATGTTCGCGTATGTTCATTGCAGCACTATTTATAATGGCAAAGATGTGGAATCAACCTTGATGTCCATCAATGGTGGGCTGCATAAAGAAAATTTGGTACATATATACCATGGAATACTATGCAGCCATAAAAAAGGACGAGATCATGTCCTCTGTAACACAGATGGAGAGCTGGAGGCCATTACCCTAAAGGAACAGATAAACCAAATGCTGCATGTTCTCACTTACAAGTGGGAGCTAAACAGTGAGTACACATGGACACAAAGAGGTGAACAACAAACACCAGGGCCTACTTGAGTTGAGGGTGGAAGGTAGGAGGAGGGTGAGGATCAAAAAACTACCTATCGGCTACTATGCTTATTACCTGGGTGATAAAATAATCTGTGCCCCAAAGCCCCCCAGCACATAATCTATCCGTATTACAAACCTGCACACGTACCCCATGTACCTAAAATAAAAGTTGGAGAGAAAACAAAAAAAATCAAGTGTCCATCAACAGGTGAATAAAGAAAATGTGATATATATACACAGTGGAATATTATTTAACTATAAAAATGAAATCCTGTCAATGCAGCAACATGGATAGAACTGGAGGTCATTATGTTAAGTGAAATGCTTTTAAAGAATTTGGTTTGTCATCATCATCGGTTCTTTAATAACTTCCTGAACACAAAAATATAATTTGCAAAAGCAATAGCTAAAATAAACAAGGAATTCTCTTTTACGGTGAGACAAAAATGGTTCTATTCTAGAAGATGGCTAGCAAAGAATGCTCTTTTAACCACCTCCCTTTTTTTTTTTTTTTTTTTTTTTTTGAGACGGTCTCTCTCTGTTGCCCAGGCTGGAGTGCAGTGGCACGACCTCGGCTCACTGCAACCTCCACCTCCTGGGTTCAAGCAATTCTCCTGCCTCAGCCTCCCGAGTAGCTGGGATTACAGGCGCGTGCCACCACACGTGGCTAATTTTTGTATTTTTAGTAGAGATAGGGTTTTGCCATGTTGGCCAGGCCGGTCTCGAACTCCTGACCTCAGGTGATCCACCCACCTCGGCCTCCCAAAGTGCTGGGATTACAGGTGTGAGCCACTGCGCCCAGCCTTTATATTTATTTTATTTATTTTTTTTCATTTCTATTTTATTTTATTTTACTTTTACTTTTATAAAAGACAGGGTCTCCTCACTATGTTGCCCAGGCTGGACTCAAATCTCCTGGGCTCAAGCAGTCCTCCTGCCTCAGCCTTCCAAGTAGCTGAGACTACAGGAACGTGCCACCACATCCAGCTTTTAACCTCCCTTCTTGATTACCTACAATATGGTTCTCCTTAAAGGCTATTTCTTCCCATGTCCCACAAAATCCGAAACCAGTCTCAGCATTCTCTGCATTACTCCTCTGCCTGGGGAATAATCCTACTCTTGTAGCCTCATGGTTCACTGTCTGCCTTCCTTCAGATCTTTACTCAAAAGGTACCTTCTCAGACCCTCCTGGCCAACCTGTCTAAAATGTCGACCTCTCTTCTAAACATGTGAGAGTATAAAACATAAGATACACTTTCTTTATTTAGCATATCTATTAAACATTTCCCCAAGTAGAAAGTAAGCTCCATAAGAGCATATTTTATGCTTTGTTTACTGCTATATTCCCAGTACCTGCCTCTGACCACAAACTAATACATGAACTTCTATCTCCTTATTTTTAATCAACTACTTATTTGACCTCACCAATAATTTTAGTCCTTTAACCTTCATTTATTCATTTACAAATATTTACTTAGTATCTACTATATTCCGGACACTACTGAAGGTTCTTGGGATATATTAACAAGCAAAAAAGACAAAATCCCTCCCTCACAGCACTTACATGCTAGTGAGGAGAGACAATAAACATAATTTAAAAAGTAAAACACATACATTAGAAATGATAAATGCTATGCAGAGAGAGAGAGAGAGAGAACAGCACAATAGGAAAAATCCAGAGAGAAATGTAGGAGGGGTTGTACAACTTTAAATAGAGAAATTAAAACAAGTCTCATATAGAAGGTGACATGTGAGCAGAAATCTGAAGGAGGGAAATGGACAGAACCAAGGCCCTAAAGCAGGAGCTGTGTCTGAAATGTTCAAAGAACACCAAGGAAGTTGAGTGTGGGTAAAATGTAAGTAGGAGAGCAGTAGGAAATGAGGTCAGACAGATAATGAGGGGTCATATCATATATAGTTTTATAGATCACTGTAAGGATTCTGGCTTTTACTCTGAGTAAAACAGGAAGCCCCTGGAAGAGTTTGAACAGAGGAGTGATATAATTTGACTTATGTGGGTTTTTTGTTTGTTTTGTTTTTGTTTTTGAGACGGAGTCTCACTCTTGTTGCCCAGACTGGAGTGTAGTGTCGCAATCTCAGCTCACTGCAATCCCTGCTTCCCGGGTTCAAGCAATTCTCCTGTTTCAGCCACCCGAGTAGCTGGGATTACAGGTGCGCAACCACAATGCCCAGCTAATTTTTCAATTTGTAGTAGAGACAGGGTTTCACCCTGTTGGCCAGGCTGGTCTTGAACTCCTGACCTCAAGTGATCCACCCATCTCAGCCTCCCAATGTGCTGGGATTACAGGCGTGAGGCACCATGCCCGGCTGTGATTTACATTTTAAAAGGAATACTCTGGTTGCTGTGCTGATGATAGCCTGTAAAGTTATAAATGCAGAGACCAGTGAGAAGCTACTGCAGTAATCCAACTGAGATTGAAAAAGACAGCTTGTACCAGAGTGTTAACAATGGAGACGGCAAGAAGTGGTTGGATTTTGGATATACATTTGTCCCTCAGAATCCACAGAGGACTGGTTCCAGGATCCACTGAAGATACCAAAATCCAAGGACACTCAAGTCCCTGATATAAAATGGCACAGTATTTGCATATAGCCTATATACATCCCCCCATATATTTTAAATAATCTCTAGATTATAAGTAATTTAAGTAATCTCTAGATTACTTATGATACCTAATAGAATATAAATGGTATGTAAATAGCTGTTATACTATATTTTTTTCACTTGTACTATTTTTTACTGTATTTTGGGTTTGTTTTTTTTTAATATTTTCAATCTGCAGTTGGTTGAACCCATAGATGCAGAACCCGAGGATATGGAAAGCTGACTGTATTTTGAAGGTACAGTCAATAGGATTTCCTTATGGACCAGATGTAGGGTGTGAAAGAAACAATTACCAAGGTTTGAGGCCTGAGCAACTAGAAAGATAGTTTCCCCTCCCTGAGATAGGGAGGTTAACAGGTGGAACTGTTTGAGATGTCCATCAGACATCCAAGTGGAGATGTAGAGTAGGTAGCTGGATATACAAATCTGAGTTGGGAGTAAGAGGTCTGGGGTAGAAATACAAATTTGAAAATCATTTGCATATAAACTGTATTTAAAGCCAGATAATTAGATGAGCTCACCAGGGGATTAATACAGGTTAGGGTTTCTCAGCCTTGGCACTACTGACGTTTGGAGCCAGAATGGGTGTGCGTGTGTGTGTGTGTGTGTGTGTGTGTGTGCGCGTGTGTGTGTGTATGTGTATTCTGTGCATTGTAGGATGTGAAGCAGCACTCATATCTAGGTTACAAAGCATCATTTCACTACTCTCTTCTCAGCATCCAAAACCAACTTATTCCCTTGTCTTTGCCCTGTTATTCCAAACCTTAGTTCAATATCACCATCCACTTCACCTATTTATACTTAGCTGCTGCTATGGTTTGGCTGTGTCCCCAACCAAATCTCAACTTGAATTGTATCTCCCAGAATTCCCACTTGTTGTGGGAGGGACCCGGGGGAGGTAATTGAATCATGGAAGCCGGTCTTTCCCATGCTATTCTCGTGGTAGTGAATACGTCTCACAAGATCTGATGAGTTTATCAGGGGTTTCCACTTTTGCGTCTTCCTCATTTTCTCTTGCCGCCACCATGTAAGAAGTGCCTTTCACCTCCCACCATGATCCTGAGGCCTCCCCAACCATGTGGAACTGTAAGTCCAATTAAACTTTTTTCTCCCCAGTCTTAGGCATGTCTTTATCAGCAGCATGAAAACAGACTAATACAGCTGCTGAGCACTGCTGCAGCAAAGTCCCTCCCACATGCTTATTACATGTAGTGACACACATTTTTACCCTTCATCCTTAGCTAAGCCCTCCAAAATACTGTCATGTGTCCCTAGACCATTCCCTCTCCCATCCCGTATGGCAGCTGTTCCAAACCTTAACCATTCTCCTTGAGATAAATGATGTAGCCTCACTATATGTTTGTTATTTTGTTAACTGACTTTATCCCCAACCAGTATGTATGAATTTTCTTCCAGCCTTTGCCAGTTTCCTACTTTGCAGAAATAGGAATTTGAGGTTTTGTTTTTTTGTTGTTGTTGTTTTGTTTTGTTTTAAATCAGGGTCTCACTCTGTCACCTAGGCTAAAAGGTTAGCATGCAGTAGCGAGATCATGGCTCATGGCAGCCTCAACCTCCCAGACTCAAGTGATCTTCCCATCATTGAGGTCTATTTATAGAAATAGTAAATTGAAGCCATCAGGAATGATCTCCATATAGTCTGCCCAAAATTATAAATTTAGCTGAGGACACTTTTCACCTGGACTTTAGCTCTTGCTAATGTAACTGATGATTTTCTATCTACCAAATAGTCAAAAATCAGCTTTCCTCATAAATGACCTTCCTTAAGTACATGATATGGGCCAGGCACTGTGTAATTCTAAGCTGTACTTGAGACTGTTAACCACTCCCTAATCCTTGCAACTCTGCCCCACTGGATTCAATGACACTGGCTTATTCTAGTTTTCCTCCTCCATTTCTAGAGCTGCTCCTATCCCTTTACCCACCCTATAAGGTAGGTAGGTATTTCTCAAGGCTCTCACCTTGACACTCCTCTCTCTTCCTTCTATATATTCTCTGGACTAGCTCATTTAAGCTCAAAGCTTCTATCACTACTATTTCTGCTAAAAATTTCCAAATCCATGTGCCCAAGCCAAACTTTGTTCCTAAGTTCTAAACCATTTACTTTCAACAGCCTGATAGTCATCACTACTCAAATTTCCCAGAGACACCTCAACACGTTCAAAACTAAGCCCATCTGTTCCTTCCATAAATATTTATCTTCCTGTATTCTTTTATCCTTTCTTCATTCTTTTAACAAACAAGTATGTGTCCAGAAACTAATATAGGCACTGACAATACAAAAACATGCTAACTGCTCAAAAGGAACTCACAGTCCAGGAAGAGAGACAGTAAAAATAATAATATAATCTAACACATACAAAGATTGGGATATATACAATGCTATAGAAGTATAGGAATGGGCCGGACACAGTGGCTCACACCTGTAATCCCAGCACTTTGGGAGGCCAAGGTGGGTGGATCATTTGAGGTTGGGGGTTCGAGACCAGACTGGCCAACATGGCGAAACCCCGTCTCTACTAAAACTACAAAAAAAATTAGCCGGGCGTGGTGGCAGGTGCCTGTAGTCCCAGCTACTTGGGAGGCTGAGGCAGGAGAATCACTTAAGCCCAGGGGGCAGAGGTTGCAGGCGGCAGTGAAGTGAAATTGTACCACTGCACTCCAGCCTAGGCAACAGAGGGAGACTCTGTCTCACCAAAAAAAAAAAAAAAAAAAAAAAAAAGTAGAAGAATGGAGAAGGGGAATTAGGGATATTATCTTGGAGGATTTAACATCTGACTTGAATCTTTAAAAAGTAGGAGCTAACCAGGAAAAACCAACATGAGTCAAAACAGAGCTCTAAAAATAAACAGGTATCTACAAGCTTTCACAAGCAATTTAAGAACATAACATCCAAAGCAGGGAGTGGCATCCCTAAATTTGATCACACAGGACCTAACAGGCCATATTGAAAAACTTATACTTCTTCCTGAGTATAACCAGGAATTTCAAAAGAGTTTTAAACAGGGGAATAACATGGTAAGGTTTTTGTATAAGATACACATTTCTAGCGGCTGTGTGAAAGGGTGAAGATTAGAGGCAGTTAAAAGGCTAGCATAACAGTTCAGGCAAGAGGAGAGCCTTATAAAAGTTGTCAGAATCAAAATGGAGTCACTTATGCCAAACCCTAACAAAATGGACCATAGAGGAGGGGCTCTCATGTACACACGCCTATGATAAAAACTATTACAAGGACTCTCTGAAAACCACAACCTCACACAAAGAATACTCCTGCAAGGACATCTATCCAGTAACCGTTCAACCCCAGATACCACTCTTGTTATTGATCCTTGTGGCCAAGGATAAGTGTTTCAAAACAACTTATGTAACCTTCCTTGTTTTGCCTTTAAAAGCTTCCCTTTGCCTTACCTTCACCAGATATGCCAATGATCCATCACAGCACAAACATCCTGCATTGTAATCCCTTGTCATTCGTTCCCAAATAGACTATTTTTTTTTTTTTGGAGAGCCTATTTCTCTGCTGTTATTTTAGGTTGACAGTCTGCCCAAGGAGCAGTGGTGGTAAGGTTAGAAAGAAACAGGACAAATAAATAATTAGGAACCTAAGTGAGTGGACCTCCAGAGGCCAAAATCAAGGAAAAGTGAGGATTTAAGATGATGATTCTAAGAAGAAAAGAAATCCAATAGAAAAACAGTCAAAGGGCCAAGCACAGTGATTCACGCCTGTAATCCCAGCACTTTGGGAGGCCAAGGCAGGCAGATCACCTGAGGTCAGGAATTCGAGACCAGCCTGGCCAACATGGTGAAACCCTGTCTCTACTAAAAACACAAACATTAACTGGGTGTGGTGGCACATGCCTGTAATCCCAGCTACTCGGGAGGCTGAGGCACAGGAATCAGTTGAACCCGGGAGGCGGAGGTTGCAGTGAGCTGAGGTCACGCCACTGCACTGCAGCCTGGGAGACAGAGTGAGACTCTGTCTCAAAAACAAAACAGAAAAATAGGCAAAGGCTATAATCAGACAATTCACAGAAAAACAAAAGGCCATTAAACAAATCTTAAAAGCACAATTTCACTAGTAATCAGTGCAATGCAAATTAAAACAATGGGATACCATCCTCATCTTCACCACTCCCTCCAAAAAAAGAGTCATGAAAATTTAAAATGGATAATATTCAATGTTAGTGAAGGTGTGGAGATACAAACATGTTTATGGGCTAATGGTGGAGCATAGCTTAGAACAGGGGTCCCCAACCCCCCAGACTGGTACTGGCCTGTGGCCTGTTAGGAACTGGGTGGCACAGCAGGAGGTGAGCAGCAGGCAAGCAAGCAAATCTCCATCTGTATTTACAGCTGCTCCCCATCACTCGCATTACCACCTCAGCTCTGTCTCCTATCAAGAGAGGCATTAGATTCTCATACGAGTGCAAACCCTATTGTGAACTGCACATGCGAGGAATCTACATTGCACACTCCTTAGGAGAATCTAATGATAAACGCAATGCGTTTGAATCATCCCGAAACCACCCACCCCTCCATCCATGGGAAAATTGTCTTCCACGAAACTGACCCCTGGTGACAAAAAGGTTGGGGACTGCTGCCTTAGAATACCCTTTGGGGATGCAATTTCACAGTATATATCAACATTTAAAACATACACCCCTTTGTTTTTTCTTTATAATTTTTAAAATTTTTTTTCAGGCAGGGTCTCCCTGTGTTGCCCAGGCTGGTTTTTAACTCCTGGGCTCAAATGATCCTCCTGCCTTGGCCTCCCAAAGTGTGAGCCACCATGCCCAGCCAAAACATACATCCCTTTGAACAAGCAATTCTAGTTCCAAGAATGCAACCGTTCACGTTTATACACAAAGCTCTTTAAAAGAATGCTCACTATAGAGCTGATCTAAACAAGAATGTGGAGATGACCCAATCATCCATCCTTACAGTTAAGTCAATTCTAGGGTTAAATGAATTCTGATGATCCATACTACACAAGAGTACAATACAAGCTAAAATATATATGAAATGAAATAGAATGATTTCCAAAACTGTTAGGAGAAAAAGTAAACCACAGAATAATATGTACAATATATTCCAACTGATGTTTAAGAAAATAAAAGCCCATATTTGTTTGTAAATGTAAAGAAAGGCCGGGCGCGGTGGCTCACGCCTGTAATCCCAGCACTTTGGGAGGCCGAGGCGGGCGGATCACGAGGTCAGGAGATCGAGACCATCCTGGCTAACACGGTGACACCCCGTCTCTACTAAAAAAATACAAAAAATTAGCCGGGCGTGGTAGCAGGCGCCTGTAGTCCCAGCTACTCGGGAGGCTGAGGCAGGAGAATGGCGTGAACCCGGGAGGCGGAGCTTGCAGTGAGCCGAGATCGCGCCACTGCACTCCAGCCTGGGCGACAGAGCGAGACTCCGTCTCAAAAAAAAAAAAAAAAAAAAGAAAAAGGTCTGGGAGAACAAATAAAACTTCAATTTGGAGGGAAGAGAGGAATGAAGGAATGGTTGGGACAAAGGGAGATGCATTTTTCACTCTAGCTAAGAGTATAGCTTGATTCCCATCCCCTGCCCCCCACCACATGAATTACTTTTATAATTAAAAAAATTGAAAATATAATGTGTATGACAAGTGTGGCATGCTGATTAAGCAATCTGACTAGTAAAACAGATCCAATGGCTTTTCTAAAGCCACAGCCCAAGCTAATAGGTGTTCAATAAATAAAGACTTCTGCTAAATATTTTTTAATTGGCTATTCTCACACATGGCTTACCACTGGCCAAAGGGCCTGTGCTGCCTGTGTCCCTTGCAGGTAGGGCAAGTCCACTTTCTGCATTCATCTTACTCAGAGGCGTACCCACAGAATTTTTCTTTGCAATGGAGGCATAGTAATTGATGTTTCACATCCTTATGCCTTCAATCTTCTTCAAAAGCTTTTTAAAACAACAATCAATTCTTACCATTCCAAGTATAGTTGTAATAAAAGTTAAGTGATTGAAAAACAATCAGGAGAAAAGGTGAGAAAGAAATATTCTGACTCATAATTTAACTAAAACGTGGCTTTTATTGTTTCTTAACATACTCTTCAACATTTTCTCAAGAACATAAACTACTTTGGAAATTTTTCCTCTTTTTTTATATACCAAGTATTTCCTCATAACAAATTCTTTCTGATGACTGCTTTTAACATTACTTCTGAAACCAAATCTCTCCAACTAACTTTCGAGTGATTTTTTGGCCCATCATCTTTTTCTCCAATATCAAAGGGACTAACACAGTAAAGTGAGGGGAAGCTTCACTTCTGAATGCAAATAAAAAATAGCAATGAATATTTGCTTCCAGTAGAGCACTCTTTTTATATCTACAGTCAAGAAAGAGGCTGCTAATGAAATTGGACCAGTGGGTTATTGTAATTGAGACTTTTTTATGACTTGCTGTTCTGGGCTGAATTGTGTCACCCCCAAAATTTGTATGTTGAAGCACTAACCCCCAGTACCTCAGAATGTGATGGTATTTGGACACAGGGTCTTCAAAGAGGTAATTAAGTTAAAATAAGGTTATTAGGGTAGGCCCTAATCCAATATGACTGACATCCTTATAAGAGGAACAAATTGGACACGAATAAACAGACCACGTGAAAACACAGGGAAAAGGCAGCCATCTATAAGCCAAGGAGAGGCCTCAAAAGAAACCAAACCTGGCCAGGGGCAGTGGTTCATGCCTGCAATCCCAGCACTCTGGGAGGCCAAGGCTGGCAGATTACCTGAGCCCAGGAGTTCAAGACCAGCCAGGACAACATGGCGAGACCCCGTCTCTACTAAAAACACAAAAATTAGCCTGGTGTAGTGGCACGCGCCTGTAATCCCAGCTACTCAGGAGGCTGAGGCATGAGAATTGCTTTAACCCGGGAAGCCGAGATCACACCACTGCGCTCCAGCCTGGGTGACAGAGCAAAACTCAGTCTCAAAAAAAAAGAAAAAGGAGTTCAAGACCAGCCTGGCCAATATGGTGAAACCCCACCTCACTAAAAATACAAAAAAAGTATCTGGGCATGATGGTGCACGCCTGTAGTCCCAGCTACTTGGGAGGCTAAGGCAGAATTGCTTGAACCTGGGAGGCAGAGGTTGCAGTGAGCCAAAATCGTGCCACTGTACTCCAGCCTGGGTGACAGGTGAGACTCTGTCTCAAAAAAAAAAAACAAAAAAAAAAAAACCTGCTGACACCTTGATCTCAGACTTCTAGCCTCCGCAACTGTGAGAAAATATATTTCTATTATTTAAGCTATTGTTACGAATTTAATTGTATCATCTCAAAATTCATATGCTGAAGCACCAACCCCCAACATATATGTATTTGGAAATAGGGCCTTTAAGGAAGTAATAAAGGTTAAGTGAGGTCATAAGGGTCGGCCTCTAATCCAATAGGACTGGTGTCCCTATAAGAAGAGGAAGACACACTAGGGATGTGCATGGATAGAGAAAAGGCCATGTGAAGACACAGCAAGAAAGCAACCATCTGGAAGCCAAGAAGAGAGATCTCACCAGAAACCAATGGGATACCATCCTCATCTTCACCACTCCCCCACAAAAAAGATTCCCAACATTTTAAAAGATGAATAATATTCAATGTTAGTGAAGGTGTGGAGATACAAACATGTCTATATGCTAATGGTGGAGCATTGCACATATCTGAGGGCACTTTGATCTTGGACTTACAGCCTACAGAACTGAGAAAATAAATTTCTGTTGTTTAAGCCACCCAGTCTGTGGTACTTTGTTATGGCAACCCTAGCAAACTAATACACTTGCCAATCCAGTAATTTTAAAAGTATGTTTGCTTTTCCATGTCACAGAAGATTAAGCATTTAAGCATTCCCACTAAAACAATAAAAACATGGCAGCTTTTTATAACATCTTTCTTACCTTCTTAAATAATGTGGCAGATGCCATTTCAGACCCATTTAGTGTCTTTAAGAGGAACATCGGCCAGGAGGATGTATTCATCTGGTACCCTGTTTTATAAAATAAATTAGGTATCATGAAAAAGCCTCCTTGTGATACTATTAACAAGTTGGTATAAAAAATAGGTTTCATTCACCATTCTTCTCGAGAGAATGACTTTCTTATCTAAGAACTTTGAACATGGGCAAGAGGAGCAGATGTACCCTCCTCTCATTGCTAGTGTCCCCACTGTACTGTCTGGCAACAATGCTACAGTGGGGATAGAAACTCTCCTTTTAAGAGAAGTCACTAGCTAGAATTCACAAACAAACATGTATATAATACAAGGGGTGATCTAAGCTGGAGCCTAGGAGAGCTTCCATTCCACCACCAACAATCACACAAGCAAGGGCAAAGGCTGTAAAAGACTTCTAGCCCCCTTTTCCTCAGGGCCCCAGGCTTCTTTCACTTCAGAAAGACAGTTTTCTGTCAAACTCAGCACATATACACACACAACAGTACATTTCATTGCATGCAATTTTACCTCAAAAGAAAAAAACCTATAGATATTGACTCGTTAATGATATATATGCTAAAATATTTAGGGGACGTGCACTGATACCAACAACTCACTCTGAAATGTACTAAAAAATAAGAAGGATTGATGAATAAATAGAAGGGCAGATAGATAGACAGATATGTGATAAAGTAAATATAATAAAATGATAATGGTAGAAACTAGAAACTGGACATGGGGGTACTCACTGTAAAATTTTTTCACCTTTTCTGTATGTTTGAAATTCTCCATAAAATGTGTTAGAAAAAAGACAGCTCTCACTTTAGCAATCTTAATACATACTAAAAATGATCTTCTTTTAGAATTTGTATCAGATGCTATCAAAATAGACTCAACAGGTGTCTTTTCTAGAGATCTCACCAACTAATGGCTTCACAGCATCTGGCATATGCAGCAGGGAGCAGGGTTCTGCTAGTTTTACTGCTTTCTGGGGGCAATCTGTTTCATGCAACACCTGCTTGCCTCAATGCCAGAATTAGAAAGAACTTGGTATGCGCCCCTGATGCATGCATACATTAAGACAGGGAGGCACATGAATCATTGGCAATGGGTGCAGGTTTTGTCCTATTTTCCATCAATAAAACAAAACATACAAAAAAGGTAAGATGGAAAGTCATCCTCTAATAATCCTGTACCAAAATCCCCTTAATCTGACCAGAGACACAATTGTTGAAAAAAAAAAAAAAAAAAAAACAGGGGTGGGGGGAGATTTGTTACATACTCCCTTATAATAAATCAACATTATTATTCTCCATTCTGTGGAGAGTATTGCATAAGAATCATTCTCTGGTCCTTAAGCCTCTCTCTCAACTCCCATATTATCCTATTCCATCATGTGCCCAGATTTTCCTAAATGTAACATTTTACTTAATTCTGTAATTGCTTAAAGTCAAACATAGATTAAAAGACCAAAATTGGATTAAGGTACATATAAAAACTTTAAAAAGAGATAAAACTAATCTATAAGGTTAGGAAGTATAGATGGTAGTACCTTTAGGAAAGGAGAGATTATGGCTGGTTATCAGCAGGAGCAGGTCTTCTGGGGGGCTGATAATGTTCTATTTTCTGATTTGGATGATGGCTTTACAGATGTGTTCATTTATAAGCTATATACTTATGACCTGTACACCTTTCAGTTTGTGTGTTAAAACTTTATAAAATCTTTTAATAATAACCTTTAAAGTTTAAACAAATAAATCTTTTTAAAAGGAAAACTAAATAAGTTGTATTAAAATGGAAGTTAAACTATTCAAAAGTACCTAAAAAGCAAACTGGCACCAATGGTGCATTTTTAAATATACTGCCAAAACAGATACTAATCAGCACATATTTCTATACATTTCATATTTTTAAATAAAACAAAGTCTAAGAATTTTATTAAAAAGAATGACCATAAATCTAGTTATGTATTTGAAATGCTGACAATTACAACAGCAGCATCTCCTTTAAACAAACTGCAAAAACATACCATATTGCAACAAGAGAAATAAAATCCAAATAGGGAAGCACTAAGCCTAGGATTGCACTTATCTTTCACATAGAATTCTGTGTAATTTGAGAAATATTATAAACAACAAATAAACGACAAAAGACGTGAGTGAAAGAAGGCAAAAGGCAAAAAACAAACATGCCCCAAACCATCTTCTTGGAATAACATATCTCCAACTAGTTTTTAAAAATATTTTAGCCGGGCACAGTGGCTCACGCCTGTAATCCCAGCACTTTGGGAGGCCGAGGTGGGAAGATCACCTGAGGTCAGGAGTTTGAGACCAGCCTGGCCAACATGGTGAGACCCCGTCTCTACTAAAAATACAAAAATTAGCCAGGCGTGGTGGCGGGCACCTGTAATCCCAACTGCTCGGGAGGCTGAGGCAGGAGAATCGCTTGAAACCAGGAGGCGGAGGTTGCAGTGAGCCGAGATCACACCACTGCACTCCAGCCTGGGCAACAAGAGTGAAAACCATCTCAAAAAAAAATATTTTTTAAACCAAATTAGTTATAACGAACAAATAGAACAAGGACAGCATAAAGATATATTACTAAAGAGTGGCTATTGTTAATATCTTAAATTTGTGAAAAATTTTCACTTAAATTAGTGAAAAAGGAATTTTTCACTAATAGGAAAACAAAAAAATCCATTCTTTTATTGTGCTTTGCAACAAGGAATTTTCATTTTCAGCACTGTAAAGAACCAAATAAAAGTAAATGCCCACCATTCACTCAAAGTATAGAACAGCAACTAAATAAACTAAATCATTTCTTTCCTACAGAGTATCATGGTATGCTTACATTTTAAAAAGAAAAATGTTGCCCCAAATTAGTTACACCCTTTTTACCTTTCAAAAATGTGGCCAAAATTAAAGTACATATTTTGTACCTTAAAATCTTTGCTAAAATCTCCATTTTCTCCTTTTCAAAGACCTAAAGGTACTAATTCCTGTCCCTCTCGCTCTGATTTCTTCCCACTGTAGGTGAAATGAAATTCTTGAGTTTGAAACTGGAACCTGAATGTGGAATCATACCCTTCCCCTAGGCTTATCCCCATACCAAAATTGCTGAATGGCTCAGTGGACAATATTGAGAGAGCATGTGCCTTGTATCAAACGCTACAAAGTTCTTCCCCAGAAGGAGTTCTGAATCTGCATATGTAATCTAGTAGAGCTGGTTTTGACATTTCAAGTTTGAAGACCTAGCATGAGTCTTGCCCTGGAGTGGAGAAAACTTCTACACACATATGCCAAATATGTACTTAAGCAAAACTCCACAACAGATGGTGCTGATTTCCTCTCTCATCATACATTCTCCACAGCAACCACCTGACCATCTATTTGCAAGAATGCCCAAGAAAATAAATTTTAAAAGGCCACTTAAAGCCATTTCTATTGAATATCACATTAGAAAGAATACGCTATTTTTAAAACTTTCTTCTTACCTAGTGGAGGTTGAAGTAAGTCTCCTTCCTTTTCACATGTCCCAACAGGTTGTATGTCTGGGGAATCGACAAGCCTCCAAAAATCATTTCTGTTGTCACTACCATCCAGTCGTAACCGTAACCTGGCCCCAGTAATTCCAATAACCGTAGCAATACATACTGAAGTGGCATTGCGAGGGTCACGGGCTTCCAATTTCATACCAACTTTGAAATCATTCACAGGTGGAATCTGAGACTATATATATAAATAAAATTTGGTTAAAATGCATCAACTATAAGAGAAGACACATGGACAGCTATGTCACCAGAATACCTGAGGAACATTTTAAATAACAGTCACAGTGGATGATGAGTGAGGTCAGAGCTGTAAGAGTCAAGGAAAAGATCTTCAAAATTCTCTCCTTGGCTTGACATGCAGCATAAAAACACTACCCGCTGCTGTTCTCACTCATCTGCCCACTTCCAGGCAACCCAAATACAGCCTCTAAAATATACCGAGTGGCTTTCTAAAGTAAGAATCTGATTAGACCATTCCCCTTGAAATTAGCCAACCAGCAGCTCACCACTGCCTATAATGAAGTCCAACTCCTCAGCACAGTTTAAATGCCCCCACACCTTTAACCTCATTTCCACATTATCGCCTCTATCCACTTTGTGCTCCAGCCACCCCAAGCCATCCCTTAATACTCAGATTCTTTCATGCCCATGTGCCTTGGCTTTGGATGTTCTCTCTGCCTGGACTATCCTTCCTCCCATTCCAACCATCTCAAATAGCATCGCTCCTGTGAGCCCTTCCAGTATGGAGTTATCACACTTCTCATAATTATTTATTTATATGTCTGCCTTTCCTGCCAGATGGGCAATCATAAAGCTTATTATACCTGACATAGAGTAAGTTCTTAATGAATGCAAAGAGACCATCTGGCTCTTAAGAGGCACTACCACAATCCCACTATCTCCTCACACTACCAGAATCTAACAATCACACAGACGTCCTCCAACAAGTTAATAGTTTACATTAACTAACAGCTACAGAATCTTGGCATACCTGACGGAAGCACTCTGAAGGAGCACTTATAGACCCAGTCTCTTTCAAATACTCCTCCCAGTGGAAATCATCTGGAAAAAACACATGTGCAAAATAGTTTCTTAAAGCATATACAATGTAACTTTTAGTATATACAACTTTCAGGATTAAAATGGGTTTTAGTTCCATGCCTCTTAAAAGAAAAAAAAAAAAAACTTCCAAAAGAGTAGATTCAAAAATCCTGATCTACATTTCATGACCAGCATAAAAATAAAAAATAAGACGATATCCTGATAATAATGGCTCAGAAATAAATTATAACCTAGATACTCTCATTGTAATGTGGACTACAGCACAGTGATTCTAAAAATGTGGACGTTAGAAATAACTAAAGAAATTGTTTTAGAGTAATAGCGAAGTCTACCCATCTGTCTCTAATATAAATTTATTCAATAAATATGTTTTCACCACTTTATTCCATTAATGTGAAGGCACTTCTTTGTTATTCATGGGGAGCTAAAGGTTTAGTGTGCAGTCAAACAGAATTTTACCCTTGCAATGCTTTATGGAAAGAAAAAAATGTGGTAACCAGAGTAGTTTCTCAATGGACTATTAGATCTCTATTCAGAGTGTCAAGAAGATGGTGGCAGAACAAAGCAATAAACCAGTCATCAGTACAGTCACTAATATGGATTATTTTAATGACCTACATTTTCTACAGACTCTTGCTGTCCTTCCTCACTTAGTTTTCATGACATATTATAATGTTAGAAGAGAAGATCAGAAAGCAGAGCACATTGCCTGGCTTGAACGTATCATTTCACTGTGCCAGCCAGACTGTCAAGACACTGAGAAAAAGACTTGACAGTAGTAGTGAACAAACTAGTAATTCACATGATGTTTAATTCTCATCATTCATGAGGCTTTTCTATACTCTTGCTAAATTTCCTCACTATAAAAATATTGGGTTTGACAGTTCTCTTTCCTGGAAGAATCTACGTTTACCAGCTTCTTACATTTCCTTCAAAAGATATTATACTTAGATGACTCCCCCCTTGCAGAAAACAAAAAACAAAAAAACCTACAGAGTGCTGATAATGTTTAACAACCAGCTTTCTGGAAAATACAACAAAAAACCTGACTGACAGCGTTTGCAGATTTCCGTGATGTAAATATGACCACCATGGTTGACTGTAAGGTGCCAAGGTAAAACCACCAACCATGAAATTGGGAAAAGATGTACACAATTGGCTCTCCCAAGCCGGTGTGAGCCAGCTCCAGTGTACCACCATTACATATGTGTGTATGCATTTCTATATGTATGTATACATATTATATGTGGTATTAAGCATGTCACATGTAACATTTTGCACCTTGCTTTTGGTTAATAGATCTAAGAGACCGTTTCATCTAAAAGAAAATACTGGGTTTGATTCCACTTCCAGATGATGTGAAGCAAGCACTACCAGCATTGAAAATCATGCATCAGAGAGAGTGTTAAGAATGTGGGCTTTAGGGCCAGGTGCGGTGGCTCTGTAATCCCAGCACTTTGGGAGGCTGAGGTGAACAGATCACCTGAGGTCAGGAGTTCAAGACCAACCTGGCCAACATGGTGAAACACCATCTCTACTAAAAACACAAAAATTAGCCGGATGTGGTGGTGGGCACCTGTAATTCCCAACTACTTGGGAGGCTGAGGCAGCAGAATTGCTTGAACTCGGGAGGTGGAAGTTGCAGTGAGCCAAGATCGCACCACTGCACTCCAGCCTGGGCAACAGAACAAGACTCCATCTCAAAAAAAAAAAAAAAAAAGAATGTGGGCTTTAGAGTCAGATCTGCCTACTTCCAGTATGGCTCTACCTCTTACTAGCTATGTGACCCTGAGCAAGTCATTCACTTTCTTAGCCTCAGTTCCTTCATTTATAAAACGGGAAAAGTAATGTACATGGTACTAGATATGTTGAGAGCTAAATAAAGTAGCATATATGTAAGTCACTCAATAAATGGCACGTTATAAAACTAGAAGTCATAGTTGTGCTCAAATTTATTAATACAGAATAGCTTTGTCAAAAGTGAAAACCGAAATCCACGGCTTCAAAATTAAACAGACCAGATGTTTCAGTGATTGCCCCCTAGCACTACAGATTCTAAGTGAAGCTCTACTACCATATGATCTTGGAGAGCATTAAAAAAGAACAAAACGGGCGAGGCGCAGTGGCTCACTCCTGTAATCCCAGCACTTGGGAGGCCGAGGTGGGCAGATCACCTGAGGTCAGGAGTTCCAGACCAGCCTGGCCAACATGGCGAAACCCCGTTTCTACTAAAAAAAAAAAAATTGCTGGGCATCGTGGCGGGTGCCTCCCAGCTACTTGGGAGGCTGAGGCAGGAGAATCGCTTGAACCCGGAAGGTGGAGGCGAAGGTTGCAGTGAGCCAAGATCGCGCCACTGCACTCCAGCCTGGGCAACCAGGGGGAGACTCCGTCTCAACAACAACAACAAAAAAAGAACAAAACAAAACATTTAGTTGGGATGGATGGATGTCATTAAGAAGTTGACACCCTGGAGGAAAATAGTGTAAGTCAGAAATAACAAGCAGGAAATGAATACCCAAAGAACTAACACTCTTCCATAAACCAATGACATTTGTAAAATTTTTCAGTAATATTAGAAAATACTTAATTCATCTCCATAACACAAATTTTTAAAATATTCTATTACCATTTGTGTCTGAATGGGCTACAATCTGAGCTAGCAAATCCTTTATACTAGTGCTCTACAATATAATTTTCTATCAAATTACTGGTTAATGACCATATGCAGCATTTGCCATTTGGAGCCTCAGGTTCGTTGGTTTTTGTTTGTTTTCTTTTCCCCTTTTTCCATAAGGCAAAATTCTTAATCATCTTGATAAAACTGTTCATCTTGGCTGCCCACGTGTTCATAACATAGGGGAAACACACAAAGCTCCAGGCTTTACTAATTTAGACTTGACACATCTACGTCAATACCACCATTGGAATTCCCAACCAGAAGCCAAAATAGTCAGAAAGTCTTAGTTAAGCCTGAGGTCCCAGTCTGCCTCTGCATCATGTCTTCATTGACAGACTGGGGATGGGGGCAGTATTCTATCTCAGAAGAGAGGCCTGGGAACTGATATGATTTTATATATATATCTCCTTGTGATCTGATTGTTATTCACATGTGCCCATGGTCTCTTCTTTTTTTATTTGTACTCTATTCTAGTCTACACATTAGCTCCAACATCTTTTTGTACTGAATATAACCCATATGAGCTCCCCTGGTCTTCTCTAGAGTAAATCAGAATCATGTCTTCCACCAGTGCTATCCTTGGGATCCCTTGCTATGTGAAGATGGGCAAAATACCTAGAGATAGAAGTTTCTCAGCTGAATGATCAGCATCCACTAATTCACAGCATTTATCACAACTACAATTAGGCATCTGTTAATTTCTATCTTGCCCACTAAGCTCAAAGAGGGTAAGAGGCTGGGTGCAGTGGCTCACACCTGTAATACCAGCACTTTGGGAGGCTGAGGCGGGCAGATCGCTTGAGCCCAGGAGTTCAATACCAGCCTGGGAAACACAGAGAGACCCCGTCTCTACAAAAAATTGTTAAAAATTGCCAGGCATGGTAGTGCACGCCTGTGGTCCCACATACTCGGGAGGCTGAAGTGAGAGGATCACTTGAGACCAGAAGGTCAAAGCTGCAATGAGCCATGATCATGCCACTGCACTCTGGCCTGCATGACAGAGTAAAACCTTGTCTCAATCAGTCAGTCAATAAAAGAGGGCAGGAATCATGTCTATATTGTTCGTAACTGGATTCCCATAGCAGGTCATCAGCATGTGCCAGGCACTGTCCTAGGTACTGCAGATGCATGAGTTAATAAAACAGATTAAAACCCTGGCTCTCTTGGAGCTTACCTTCTGGTAGTCACTCACTGATTTCTAAAATAGGATGTTAGGGCCCAGGCCTGAGAAGTATCTGCAGATGGCTATCAACTTAAGTAATCTATTTTTTTAATTAAATGTCTAGAATGGGAAAATCTATAGAGGCAGAAAGTAGACCTGTGTTTGCCTAGAGCTGGGGGAGACAGGAGGCACTAGGGAGAAATGGGGAGTACTGTTAATGGGTACAGGATTTCTTTTTAGGGGGATAAAAATGTTCTAAAATTGACTGTGGTGGTGGTTGCACAACTCTGTGAACATACTGAAAACCATTGAATTGTGCACTCTAAATAGGTGAATTATATGATATTTGAATTATAACTCAGTAAAGCTGTTATATTTTTAAAAACAGATGGAGAGGAGTTTGTAGGGATAAGGAACAGTCTAATTCAATGGCCTCCATTTCCTCAGAGGATTTGGGGGTCCCAGGGAAGAGTTGAAGAACAAATAAGGCCATGGTAAAGAAAGTTAAGGGAGCACTGAGGGCCCAGCTACAGTGAGAGAACAACAATTCCGTGGGGATTACCTCTATAGGCAATCTTCAAGTAGGAACAGAAGGTCATAGGGTGAACTGCTCTGCACTGGGGCTGGCAGGGCAGATACAACAGAAACACAAGGGGCAAGAAATCTCTGGAAATGTCTGGTAAAACAATAGTTTGCTACGTTATTTTTTAATGCCTTTTGTGTACATATGACTTATTTTCTCATTTAAGAGCAAGCCAATGCATCAGATTCTATTACATCTCCTGAGTGTCTCTGATGCAATATTATACATGTACTGTTCATAATAAGGAACATGAATTAATAAAGTTAACATTTACTGAACACTTACTATATGCCTAGGCATTATATTAGGTGCTTTAAATTCATTTCCTCTATTTATTTCCAGTAGTGCCATGAGATAAGTACTATCATTATCCCTGTGTTATAAAGAAGAAAAAAGAGCCGGGCACAGTGGCTCACGCCTGTAATCCCAGCATTTTGGGAGGTTGAGGCAAGTGGATCACCTGAGGTCAGAGGTTTGAGACCAGCCTAGCCAGCACAGTGAAACCCCATGTCTACTAAAAATACAAAAACTAGCCAGGCGTGGTGGTGCATGCCTGTAGTCCCAGCTACTCGGGAGGCTGAGGCACAAAAATCGCTTGAACCCGGAAGGTGGAGGTTGCAGTGAGCCAAGATCACACCACTGCACTCCAGCCTGGGTGACACAGCGAGACTCTGTCTCAAAGAAAGAAGAAGAAAAAACGTCTAAGAGCTGTTGAGTAATGTGCCCAAGGTCACCATGGCCAGTAAGGAGTGAGGACAGAATTCCAGAACACATCTGTCGGACTCACCACAATGCCTATAAGCTCTTAACCACTGAACTGTCTTCTGACCATGAAAAAAAAGCTTTCACATTGACTGTAACGTTAGAAGGGTTTTTGCTAATAACCAAATTATTTTAAATTGGTAATACATGGCAATTAATAACTAGATACCTATAATTTAGGAAAATTTGCACTGAAATATACAAAGTTACCCTTTTACTTAATCCGTGTCAACTTATCTCTAAGTAAAATTTTCAAAATAAAATACAATTTTTGACCTTTCTTATTACATTTTGTATTTACAGAAGTTTACAGTATACAGACTGTACAATAAGAAATCAAAACAATAAGAAAATTTGCACTTAAAGTTAATTTTAACACTAGTGAGGAAGAAAACTATGCTGTATTAAATTACTTTAAAACCTACCCCTTTGTACAGAAGATGTACTTGACTGAGGAGTTTTCTCTTGATTCTCCTTCTTGACATCCATGGAATCTAATAAAAAAGAAAATAGCAATACTGGGAGTCCACAGCAACAGCTTGAAAGAGCACTCAGAAAAATATAAATTAAAAAACTTTAAAGAGCCAATTTTAGTTTTATAATATCTTCATTTTCTATGTAGGACTTACCATTTTCTAATGTACTATGCATTTTATAATCTGCTCATTTATTGTCTCACTCTACTCAAATGAAATCTCCAAAAGGGCAGAGATTTATTTATTTTATTGTCTATCTCATTCACTGTGGTATCCTCAAGCGCCTAAAACAGGACCTGGCATCGCAACACTCTCAAGCATTTGTTAAATCAATGCATCAGGCCAGGCGTGGTGGCTCACGCCTGTAATTCCAGCACTTGAGGAGGCCAAGGCAGGCAGATCACATGAGGTCACGAGTTTGAGACCAGCCAGGCCAACATGCGAAACCCTGTCTCTCCTAAAAATAGAAAAAATTAGCCAGGCATGGTGGCGGGCACCTGTAATCCCAGCTACTCGGGCAGCTGAGACAAGAGAATCACTTGAACCCGGGAGGCAGAGGTTGCAGTGAGCTGAGATCGTGCCATTGCACTCCAGCCTGGGTGACAGAGCGAGACTCCGTCTCAAAAAAAAAAAAAAAAAAAAAAAAAAAAAAATCAGTGCATCAATAAATCAAAATGAGCTGATCTTTACAATGTTTAAATTAACATGTCCTAGAAATAAAACAGATGCTTTTGAGAGTTCAAAACATAACAGAGAAGCTACAATACACTGTAATTCAATGGACTGGGCAGAGATTTTCTTGGTGCTAAGCTAAAGAGCTCAAATAACACTGGACCTGGTAACCTCACCAAATCTAAGATGTATCATTTCATCCACATGTATTATAGTATGTATCTCTAAAAGGACTCATTTTTAAAAACTTAAGCATAATATTTCTATTACATCTAAAAAAATTAACCATAATTCCTTAAAATCATCAAATAACCAGTGTTCCCCAATTGTCTTAACTATTTTTAGTGTGTATGCTTGATTCAGAACCCAAATAAGTCCACACACATAGCAATGGTTGATATGTCTCTTACATCTCTTTTGATCTACAGGTGTCTTCCTCCTTTCTTCTCGTTTTTATTCTTCCCCTTTACAATTTTTTTGCTGACAATACCAGTTGGTTGGTCCTTTCAAGTTTTCCAGTCTGGATTTTGCTGACTACCTCCCCACAGAGTTCGGTTCCTCTGTTTCTTGTATTTTCTTTAAATTGGCATTCATATTTCAATCCAGAAGAGTTTGGTCAGATTTAAGATTGGCTTTTTGGTGGGAGAGGAGAGGATAAGATGACTTCATAGGTGGTGTTGTGTATTTCTCACAGGAGGCTCCTAATATCTAGTTATCTCTCTTTTCGTGATGTGAACAGTCGTGGATGGCTATTGCCTAGATCCTTTCGTTTATTAATGGTTGCAAAATGAAGGTATTCTAATTCTATCATTCTTTATTAGCCAGAAAACTTCTATAGAGAGAAGCTTCCATGCTTCAACCATTCAGTTACCTTAAGGCACGGATCACATAGAGAAATCACAATCAGCACTTTATTATTTTCCTGTATTTCTAGTTTTCAAAGTGATGAGCTGGATCTCTAGCATTCTCCACAGATGACCAGTAAGTTTTATTTGTTTTGCTTTTTATTATCATTATGAACTCATGGATTTAAACATACTTGTGTTGCTATTTTACCCTTACCGATGTTCTAATTGTCAAGTGACAAACTTCTTAAAGAAGGATCTAAGAATGATGCCATTCAACGTAACAGATCTACTTACTAGTTATGACTGAGTGACTCTTCAAGATGTGTGAACACTTGAGAGGGATATATGAGCTGCTTTCTGTTTAAATGATTTCAACTGAGTGGTTGAAGAAAGGTAGTTTCTCTATATAGAAATTTTTTGGCCAATAAAGAATGATAGAATACCTTCATTTTACAACTACTAATAAATGAATGGATCCAGGGAATAGCCATCCATGACTTTTTGTGATTTTTCACATCACAAAAAGAGATAACTAGGTTGGATGTGACAGCTCACACCTGTAATCCCACCACTTTGGGAGGCCAAGGAGGGAGGATCACTTGAGGCCAGGAGTTTGAGGCCAACCTGAGCAACACAGCAAGACCCAGTCTCCACAAAAATTTTTTTAAAAAATTAGCCAGGTGTGGTGGCACACATCTGCAGCCTCACCTGCTTGGGAGGCCAAGGCAGGAGGATCACTTGAGCCCAGGAGTTTGGGGTTACAGTAAGCTATGATTACGCCACTGCACTCTAGTCTGAGTAATTTCATCTCTGTAAAAAAATATTTTTTAAAAAAAGGCCAGGCACGTTGGTTCATGCCTGTAATCCCAGCACTTTGAGAGGCCGAGGCGGGAAGATCACTTGAGGTCAGGAGTTCGAAAGCAGCCTGGCCAACATGGCAAAACCCTGTCTCTACTAAAAATACAAAAAATTAGCCAGGTGTGGTAGCTCACGTCTGTGGCCCCAGCCTCTCAGGAGGCTAAGGCAAGAGGATCACTTAAGCCCAGGAGGCAGAGATTGCAATGAGCCATGATCGTGCCACTGCCCTCCAGCCTGGACAACAGAGCAAAACCCTGTCTCAAAAAAAAATAAAAATAAAAATTTAAAAAAAGACAGAGAGAGATAACTAGATATTAGGAGTCTCCTGTGAGAAATACACAACACCACTTATGAAGTCATCTTATCCTCTCCTCTCTCACCAAAAAGCCAAACTTGAATCTGTACAAAGAACGTACAAATTTGTATTTACTAAATAGTTCTACAGAAGGATTTTTCTAAAAGAAAACAAAGTAAAACTGTAAAGGCATGCTTAGCTTCTAGAGAAGCTAAGAATCTAGTCAAGAGACTACACTAAACTGATACACTTAAAATTAGAGAACAGCATTTAGTACTCAGCATTCAGCCAGAGGAAAAGTCATGAGAGATACAGCGCTTGAAGGAGAAACAGGATGTAGGAAGGCCAATATGTAAAGAATGTATTATGGGAAGGAAGATACAACACAAAGCTGACTGCAAATGAGTGTGGCATATTCATGGAATAGTGAGCAGACTTCTCATAGAGCAAAACAGGATGAAACATTTTTTAATCACTCTTTGGATTCTAATCTTGGCTTTGTCACAAACTGTTGTATGACCTTAACCTCTCTAAGTTTCAGTTTTCTCATTTATATAACTAGCAAGGAAAGACAATGACCTTTAATAGCTATTCAGTTCTAAAATTCAAATTCTAAGCACCTAGCATCTCCTATAAATTTATTTTTTAAAGGCTTTATTTCAAAAGTTCAGTATACCAGAAGATATTCATTCCAAATGAGTAACTAAAAACATTATTGCCTTTAACAAGTAAATCTTACCTTCATTCACTGTTTGTCCCATGGTATCCCTATTTGGTGTTGTTTCCTACAAGGAGAAAAACCAATTAATGCCTCCTTTTAGCATATTAGATTTCTGAAGGATAAGAAGTCAGTTATAAGGCCAGATCAATTTAATCTGTTTCCCTTAAACAAAAATGATAAGATTTGTATATGCCTAGTTGCCTGGGAATGGAGGAAGAAGGAATTGAGGAGTGACTGCTAAGGGGCATGAATATGGGTATGAAGTTTCCTTTGTGGGATAATGAAAGTGTCCTAGAATTAGATAGTGGTGATGGTTATACGCCTTGTTGTGAAAATACTAAAAATCATTGAATTGTATACCTTAAAAGGGTGAGTTTTATGGTATGCAAATTTTGACTCAATTTTTAAAATTAATTGAGTAAAAAAGAACAGTTGGTAGGTTAGCAAAGTTAGGATTCAAACTGAGGCCTATTCCAGGAAGCCCACTTCTGCTACATCATGTTGCCAAGAGGTACAAGAATTATGACCGTGTTGGGAAAACCTGTAAGAACTGCAAGAGTCAAGTCTAACAAGAATTATTTGTTAGAAGCCTTGTGTATTTTGAGCTATAATTCATTAATTCAAACTTTTCCTGCATGTCCTCAATATGCCAGACATTCTGCAGCAAAGATAAATAACAGGCTGTCCTTGGCCTCCAAGACCCCAGTCTAGTCAGAAATAAGCATATGAACAAAACACAATATAAGTGCTATAAAAAAATATGTACATGGATAAACCTAATATGGCAAAAGGCTATCTATCCCGCCATTACTCCATGTGCCTGTAATAAGAACATGATGATGTGTATAACTGAAGGTAATCTGGCACTTAAAGTAAACCTATGAAGAATACATTCATAGGCTGGGTGCAGTGGCTCATGCCTGTAATCCTAGCACTTTGGGAGGCCAAGGCGGGTGGATTTCTTGAGCCCAGCAGTTCAAGATCAGCCTGGGACACTCAGCATCAGAGACACTGATCAATTAAAGACTATAGCCCAGTGGCTAAAGAAACAGACAAGAAAGTAAAATATATACGGGGTGTTGAATCCACACAGATGATAAAGCACTGTAATCCAGGTAGTAAGTGAAGGTACTTACCGACTCTCATCAAAGAGCAAAAACCTGTGAATTACATTAAAATGAGTCTTATCAGGCTGGGCACAGTGGCTCATGCCTGTAATCCCAGCACTTTGGGAAGCCGAGGTGGGTGGATCACTTGAGCCCAGGGGTTCGAGACCAGCCTGGGCAACATGGTGAAACTCTATCTCTACAAAAAATTTAAAAATTAGCCAGGTGTGGTGGTACATGCCTGTAGTCTCAGCTATTCAGGAGGCTGAGGTGGGAAAATCACCTGAGCCCGGGAAATCCAGGCTGCAGTAAGCTGTGATTGTGCCACTGTACTCCACCCTGGGAGTCAGAGTGAGACCCTGCCTCAAAAAAATAAATAAATAAATAGTCTTATTACTATACAAATGAATTCAGTCCAATAAACTGAGGGATGGGTCACACACAGAAGATATAACCAGGTTCCCATGTTCTCTCAAATATCTAACCCATAGCTGAATGCTTAACTCAGCTGGTAGCAATTGCTTCCATTGGCTGAATAAGTTATTTTTGTAATCCTGGAAGGAGTGAAAATACGTATACAGATGATCGAAAATACATACTTGAAGAAAACCTAAATAAATCACCATATTCACAAGCTGGAAGACTCAATATTCTTAAGATGTCAATTCTCCCCAAATTAATCTGCAGAACCAACAAACTGATCATCAAAATCCTCATAGGGTCTTCAGAGAAATATGCTGATTCTAAAATTTATATTTTTGAAAATGGAGAAGATTAGAATAGCTAAAACAATCTTCAAAAAGAACAAAGATGGAGAATTTACATCATCTTATTTCAAGACATAGTATAAGGCAACGGTATTCAAAACTGTGTGACATTGGCATAGGATATACAAATTAGATCAGTGGAAACAGGCTAGGCAGTCCGGAAATAGACCCACAAATATTTGGTCAATTGATTTTCAACTCAGGGAACAAGGTAATCCAATGGGAAAAAGAAAAATATTTTTAAAAGAATGATCCCATTGGCGGGCATGGTGGCTCATGCCTGCAATCCCAGCACTTTGGGAGGCCGAGGCAGATCATGAAGTCAAGAGATCGAGACCATCCTGGCCAACATGGTGAAACCCCGTCTCTACTAAAAATACAAAAATTAGCTGGGCGTGGTGGCATGCACCTGTAGTCCCAGCTACTTGGGAGGCTGAGGCAGGAGGAGCACTTGAACCCAGGAGGCGGAGGTTGCAATGAGCCGAGATCATGCCACTGCACTCCAGCCTGGCGAAAGAGCGAGACTCGGTCTCAAAAAAAAAAAAAAAATGGCCAGGCACGGTAGCTCATGCCTGTAATCCCAGCACTTTTGGAGGCCGAGGCGGGGGGATCACGAGGTCAGGAGTACAAGACCATCCTAGCTAAAACGGTGAAACCCCGTCTCTACTAAAAAATACAAAAAATCAGCCGGGCATGGTGGCGGGCGCCTGTAGTCCCAGCTACTCTGGAGGCTGAGGCAGGAGAATGATGTGAACCCGGGAGGCGGAGTTTGCAGTGAGCCAAGATCACGCCACTGCACTCCAGCCTGGGCGACAGAGCGAGACTCCGTCTCGAAAAAAAATAATAAATAAAATAAAATAAGAAAAGAATGGTCCTGTTACTTAAAAGCAGACTTAGATTCGTTGTAAATGTATATCGCAAATTTTAGGGCAACCGCTAAAAAAAAGTGGGAAAAAAAAGAATAATATGCTTACAAAGGAGAAAAAACTGAATCATATTAAATGGTCAACTAAAACCACAAAGGGCAGAAAATGTAGAAAACAAAAATAAGAATAAAAAACAAGGGCAAACAGAAAACAGCAATAAATACAGTAGTTATTAATCCAACTATATCAAGAATTACTTTAGGCTGGGTGCCTGTAATCCCAGCACTTTGGGAGGCCAAGGCGGGTGGATCACCTGAGGTCAGGAGTCCGAGACCAGCCTGGCCAACATGGTGAAACCCCAGCTCTACTAAAAATACAAAACTTAGCCAGATGTGGTGATGTGTGCCTGTAGTCACAGCTACTTGGGAGGCTGAGACAGAAGAATCACTTGAACATGGGAGGTGGAGGTTGCAGTGAGCCAAGAACGCGCCACTCACTGCACTCCGGCCTGGGCGACAGAGCAAGACTCTGTCTCAAAAAAAAAAAAAAAAAAAAAAAAAAAACAACCAATTGTATGTTGGCTACAAAAAAAAAAAAAAAAACTTTAAATATAAAGACACATATAAACTACAAGTAAAGGGATGGAGAAAGTCCATGCTAATACTAATCAAAAAAAAGCAGGAATAGAGGAATAGCTATACTAATTTCGGACAGAGCAGACTTGAGAGCAAGGAAAGTTATCAAGGATAAAGCCGGGCATTACATAATGATAAAGGGGTCAATACTCAAAAAAGATATGACAATCCTTTATGTGTATATGCCTAACAAGAGAGCATCAAAATATGTGAGGCAGAAACCGATAGAACTAAAAAAGAAATAGATAAATCCACTATTATAGTAGGAGACTTCAACAAGCCTCTATCAGAAATGGACAGATCTAGCAGGCAGAAAATCGGCGAGGACATAGTTGAACTCAACATCATCAGTTGGATATAATTGACATCTAGAGACTACTTCATCCAACAAGAGCAGAATACACATTCCTCTCAAGCTCACATGGAACATTCACTGAGATAGACCATATTCTGGGCCATAAAACACACCTTAACACACTTAAAAGAATAGAAACCATACAATGTTTCAGTTCTTAGACCACAATGGAATTAAACTAGAAATCAATAACAGAAAGCTGAAAAACTCCCAAATATTTGGAGATTAATCAACACACTCTGAAATAATGCATGGGTCAAAGAAGAAAGCTCAAGATAATTTTTTTTAATTCAACTAAATGAAAATGAAAATACACCTTATCAAAATTTGTCCATTGCAATGAAAGCAGTACTTAGAAGGAAATTTACAACATTGAATGCATATATTAGAAAAGATGAAAGGGCCAGGCACGGTGGCTCACGCCTGTAATCCCAGCACTTTGGGAGGCCAAGGCGGTAGGATCATTTGAGGCCAGGAACTCGAGACCAGCCTGGCCAACATGGTGAAACCCCATCTCTACTAAAAATTCAAAAATTAGCCGGGCATGGTGGCACATGCCTGTAGTCCCAGGTACTCGGGAGGCTGATGCAGGAGAATTGCTCGAACCTGGGAGGCACAGGCTTAAGTGAGCCAAGATTGCGCCAGTGCACTCCAGCCTGGGCAACAAAGGGAGACTCTGTCTTAAAAAAAAAAAAAAGAAAAAAAAAAAACAATCCAGGCACAAACTGTATGATCTCATTTACATGTGCAATCTAAAATAGTTGAACTCACAGAAGTACAGAGCAGAATGATGATTACCAGAGGCTGGGGAGGAAGGGGCAAGGAATGGGGAGTTGGTCAAAGTGTAAAAAGTTTAGGTTAGACAGGAGGGGCTGGGTGTGGTGGCTCACATCTATAATTCCAGCACTTGGGAAGGCCAAGGCAGGAGGATTGCTTGAGCCCAGGGGTTGGAGACCAGCCTGGGCAACATGGCAAAACCCCGTCTCTACAAAAAAATACAAAAATTAGCTGGGTGTGGTGGCACATGCCTGTAGTCCCAGCTACTTGGGAGGCTGAGGTAGGAGAATCACCTGAGCCTGGGAAGTCGAGGCTGCAGTGAGTCATGATCGTGCCACTGCACTCCAGCCCAGGTGACAGTGTGTGGTGACCCTGTCTCATTAAAAAAAAAAAAAAAGAAAGAAAAGAAAATGAGGCAGTGTAGGAACACCCAGCATAGTATCTCAAACAAGTAGAAGCTCAAAGACTGTTCCTTATCCCATTCCATCTGTCCTAATGAAAACTTCCTGAAATTAGTGAGTTTTAGCATTAACATTTAACATTAATCATGTTGTAAAATGAAACTATGTTCCAACTTGGATTTCCAAGCATTACTTGGTTACTCTTCCAAAGTACAGACCAAAGAGTTGTTGCTTAACAAAACAGGAACTCTAAATTAAATTGCTCTTATATTAAGCTGAAATAAATAAATGTATATATTTATAACAACCAGACATATCACTATCAAAGAAAGCAGCTGTCATCTACTAATCAGCATTATCAGAAAAGTTATACATTCTAGCTAAAGCCAAAGGAAACTTGACATCATCTCATGCTGTATGACTTTTAGGTAATTATTCATTAATATATTATTTCCTTTAAGGTAGGTGAGTATTGAAAATAGCTTTTGGGCCGGGCACCATGGTGCATGCCATAATCCCAGCACTTTAGGAGGTCAAAGTAGGAGGATCACTTGAGGCCAGAAATTTGGCACCAGCCTGGACAACACAGCAAGACACCATCACTACAGAAAAATAAAATAAAATAATTAGCCGGGCGTGGTACAGCACACCTACAGTCCCAGCTACCTGGGAGGCTGAGGAGGGAGGATCACTTGAGCCCATGAGTTCAAGGCTGCAGTGAGTTATGATCACACCACCACTTCACTCCAGCCTAGGCAACAGAGTGAGACCCCAGCTCTAAAAATAAAAATTAAATTAAAAAGAAGAGAAGGTGGCTTTTGGCCCTTTATGAGCCAAAACATCCTTGTGGACTCCTAGAAACCAGAATTTTCTTTTTCTTTTTACACATTCATCATCATTGAAAATAAATGAGAACACAGATAAGCAAAAAGAAGGGGGAAAGAATCACCTATAACTCCACCACCAAACAATACCTGTTGTTAACCATCTGGTGTACACCCTTCAAATTTTAAAAAATCATATATGTAAACCCATATACAACATATATTTGAACCACTTTTAAATATATACCACCAAATTCCATATATCGATAATCTTCAAATGAAATTCTCTCTATATAATAAATTCATAAAGCCAACATTTCTTAGCTAAAATGAAATGTACAATGAATAATAAATGCCAGTTCATACCAAAGGCTGGACACAGTGGCTCACACCTGTAATCCCAGCACTCTGAGAGGCAAGGTGGGAGGATTGCTTGAACTCAGGCGTTCCAGACCAGCCTGGGCGGCACAGTGAAACCCATCTCTACAAAAAAATACAAAACTTAGCAAGCCATGGTGGCACACACCTGCACTCCCAGCTACTCAGGAAGTTGGGAGGATCGCTTGAGCCTGGGAGGCAGAGGTTGCAGTAAGCTGAGATCACACCACTGCACTCCAGCTTGCGCAACAGAGTGAGACCCTGTCTCAAAAATTAATACATAAAATGTAAAAAGTTAATTCCTTAAGGAAAATCTCCGCTATTCTTAAGATTGACGCTCAGGACAGAAGTTACTGCTTATTTTGCAATCTAACATGTGATAAACAAGGCCGGATGTGGTGGCTCACGCCTGTAATCCCAGCACTTTGGGAGGCCACGGCGGGCAGATCACTTGGGGTCAGGAGTTCAAGACCAGTCTGGCCAACATGGTGAAACCCCATCTCTACTAGAAATACAAAAATTAGCCAGACGTGATGGCAGGCACCTGTAATCCCAGCTACTCAGGAGGCTGAGGCAGGAGAATTGCTTGAACCCAGGAGACAGAGGCTGCAGTGAGCCAAGATCATTCCACTGCACTCCAGCCTGGGTGACAGAGCAAGACTCCGTCTCAAAAAAAAAAAAAAAAATTAAATAAATAAATAAAATGTGATAAACAATAAGGCAGATGAAAATCTATTTACTAGACTCTTAGCATAATTTTTAAGTTCATAACTATATTTATCAAATACTGCTTTTTGATAATGTTTGATCACCAAAACTTTTCATCATTTCCTATATAATTTTTGTATCTTATACTTTGTTGTTTTTAAAAAAGGATTAGCAGTCCCAATATAAAAATACACTTAGGGTAAAGTTTTATTTGTTTGTTCGAATTAATAAGAGCAAATACCTAGGCCTTGGGGCTGCCAGCAGGAGTGCCATGGTGAGAGGCACTGGCAGGGAATGCGGAAGGGAGCACTGGTCCCCAGCCCCAGGCCAAGAGCCTTGGTTTGCCCACTAGGATTGTTTTAAGAAAATGGCAGACAAACCAGACATAGGGGAAATCGCCAGCTTCAATAAGGCCAAGCTGAAGAAAACAGAGATGCAGGAGAACACCCTGCTGACCAAAGAGGCCATTGAGCAGGAGAAGCGGGTGAAATTTCCTAAGAGCCTGGAGGATTCCCTACCCCTGTCATCTTCGAGACCCCAGTAGTAATGTGGAGGAAGAATCACCACAAGATGGACACAAGCCACAAACTGTGACGTGAACCTGGGCACTCCGTGCTGATGCCACCAGCCTGAGGGTCCCTATGGGTCCAATCAGACTGCCAAATTCTCTGGTTTGCCCTGGGATATTATAGAAAATTATTTGCGTGAATAATGAAAACACAGCTCATGGCAAAAAATAAAATAAAATAAAAATGTACTAGTTAGTTGGGAAAAATTTAGTAATTCCCTCTGGGCTTCCTAGTAGATAAAAGCAAAAAGGAAAACACTTGGGTTATATACACACAAATTCAGAAAAAAAAAAGACAAACATTTCCCTAGGACTGAATACTAGGAAGAATCTGCGAAGATCCTGATGTAAAAGAATATTGACTAATTTAATAGAAACTATCTTTGACTATAACTTGAGAAAAAATAAAACGTTCTATTGTCCCTCTTAAAATGCATTACACTGTAACTCACCTGTCTTTCAGTCACAAGGATGGAGATTATAGATGTAAAGGGAAGAGAAGAGTACTATAATCTATTGGTAAATGCTGGATAGCATCAACGGATTCTTAGTTGAATCCTCAGAGTGTCTCAAATAGAAAAATATGGTGGCAATAGATGCAGACAGCACAGCTCTTTCTGGGAAAAATTAGAAGCCTGAAGTTCTTTTAGAAACACATTTCCACAGTGGTAGTCTGCAAGGAAAACTGCAAAAAAGCTTATCTTTGCTTTCAATATACTTTGAACCTGCTTCAGCATTATAAGAAAGGCTCAAAAAAGACCCTCAAGTAACTTGCCTTGATACATGGGAGAAAAATTTTTGGTTTTAAAAAAAGTTAAAAGCTTCAGGCTTTTGTTTTTGTTTTTGGCAACATAAAGAGTAGAAGTTGCTTCACTTAATGCATATTAGGAGCAATTCCACTGTGTGAAAAAACATTCAAATGTAAGTAAGCCTTAAAAAAAAAAAAAAGGTTAGGTTAATAGTATTTCATAGCGCCTGACATTGAAATTTCACTTACCAAAAGACTACAGTTGGGCCGGGCGCAGTGGCTCACGCCTGTAATCCCAGCACTTTGGGAGACCAAGGCGGGCAGATCACCTGAGGTCAGGAGTTCAAGGCCAGCCTGGCCAACATGGTGAAACCCCATCTCTACCAAAAATACAAAACTTAGCCAGGCATGGTGGTGAGTGCCTGTAAGCTCAGCTACTCAGGAGGCTGAGGCAGTAGAATTGCTTGAACCCAGGAGGTGGAGGTTGTAGTGAGCCGAGATCATGCCACTGAACTCCAGCCTGGGCAACAGAGCAAGACTCCATCTCAAAAAAAAAAAAAAAGACTACAGTTATACTAAATCTAGCAGTTGCATCTAGAAGCTCTGAACAAGTATGGACAATCTGCAATCTTTTACACAACCATTTGTTTTGCAGATTGTATCTTGTTACAGAATTAAGAGCTGATAAAAGATCAACAAATGCTTTGAAAAGTCTTGTTTTAAACCATTTTCTCAACACAATTAAACAATGTAAACAGTGATTAATAGTGGAATTATTAAGCCTAAAACTCCCATTACTCTTATCTGATTCTGGAGAAAATTCTACAATCTGTTGAGAAAAACAGTTTTAAAGTACTATTTAACAAACTAATGGGTCTATAATTCTAAGATTATAGGGCCTTTCCATTATTTGTTTATTTTCTGGGGTTTTTTGTTTGGAGAGTTTTTTTCTTTTTCTTTTCTCTTTTTTATTTTTTATTTTTTTCCTTTCGTGTGCCCCACCTCCCTTTTTTTTTTATTTTGTTTTGTTTTTAAGATAAGGTAAGCTACACCTTGAGTCTCTAAAGATCACTACCTGAAGAGTAGTGATCTTCAGTAAGGGTAAACATTTTGACAAGGACAGGAACTGAATAAATCTGACAGCAAGAAATATCCCAGGTTCCAGGTTCAGTTCAATTTCACTAGGGAAAAAAAAAAGAGAGAGAGAGAGAGATTTCCCAAGGCCTGTTTCAACTTTAGGCCATTGGTCAGATGTTATAAAATGAATACAACTGTAGAATTTCAACCTGAGAGAACATAAGAATCAATAAAATACGGACAGGTGCAGTGGTTCACGCCTGTAACACAGCATTTTGGGAGGCCAACGCAGGTGGATCACGAGGTCAGGAGATCAAGACCATCCTGGCCAACATGGCAAAACCCCGTCTCTACTAAAAAATACAAAAATTAGCCAGGTGTGGTGGCGGGCGCCTGTAATCCCAGCTACTCAGGAGGTTGAGGCAGGGAGAACTGCTTGTACCCGGGAGGCGGAGGTTGCAGTGAGCAGAGATGGCGCCACTGCAGTCCAGCCTGGGCGACAGAGCGAGACTCTGTCTCAAAAAAAAAAAAAAAAAAAGAAAAAGAAAAGGAAAAAAAAACCTGGGCCGGATTACAATCACACCTGTAATCCCAGCACTATGGGAGGCTGAGGCAAGAGGACTGCTTGAGCTCAGGAGTTCGAGACCAGCCTGAACAACACAGTGAAACCCTGCCTCTATTTAAAAAAAAAAAAAAAAAAAGAAAGAAAGAAAAGAAAAGAAAAGAAAAAATAATAAAATAAAACTACGAAACCAAACTCTCATTCCCTATGACTTGTGGGAAACTTAAAAAATAAAAATTTTTTTAAAAGACCAGGTGCAGTGGCTCATGCCCGTAATGCCGGCACTTTGGGAGGCCAAGGCAGGAGGATCGCTTGAGCCCAGAAGTTCAAGACCAGCCCGGGCAACATAGTGAGACCCTGTCTCTAAAAAAAAAATAATAAAATAATAAATACATAAATAACCAAATTCTTGCCATCCAAAATGAGCTCCTCTTCCTCTGCATTTTATTTTAAAAGCATTACAAACCCTCAATCTTTCTGAATTAGAAGTCATCTTTGACTCCCCTCCTCTTCTGTCTTATCAGTTACCAAGTTATTTTGATTCCTCAAGATCAGGAAGCTGGTAGTGAAAGAAAAATGATTCAAATCGAGGTTTGTCAAATGCCAAAAGACAAGGCTCCAATACACCGTATGTGCTTTGAAAGGGAGAAATAAGGAGTGATATGGTTTGGTGTCCCTACCCAAATCTCATCTTCAATTGTAGCTCTCATAATTCCCTCATGTTGTGGGAGGGAACCGGTGGGAGATAAATGAATCATGAGGGTGGTTTCTCCCACACTGTTCTCATGGTAGTGAATAAGTCTCAGGAGATCTGATGGTTTTATAAAGAGAAACGCCTTTCACCTGGCTCTCATTCTCTCATCTGCTGCCCTGTAAGACATGCCTTTCACCATGATTGTGAGGCCTCCCTAGCTAGGTAGAACTGTAAGTCCATTAAACCTCTTTTTCTTATAAATTGCCCAGTTTCAGGTATGTCTTTATCGGCAGCGTGAAAACAGACTAATACAAGGAGATATTATAATATACCAGATACCCTAGACAAAACGGATCCATGAGGGCAGGAGAAAACAAAAGTTATGTTCCCAGAGATTCAATGATAATGGTGTTGGCAGTGGTGATACTACTACTCAGATCTGTTACTTACTGAGCTCTTGCTATTAATGAATGCCTGGTACCCTACCCTAAGGCTTTTATATATGTATTTTTTCTTATCTAAAGCTTATTACAAGCCTGCATAGTAGATACTGTTATTAATGTCCATTAATGTTCATTTGAAAGTTAAGGATATTGAGGCTCAAAGACCTGCCCAAGATCACCCAGCTAGGTTTGAATCTAGGTTCATGAATGCTTAACCATTGTGCTAAAACTGCCTTTGTTGTGTTTAACTGTGTAAGTGCCTTTTCTCCCGTGCTAGACAATAAGCTCCTGGGGGCAGTATCACATCTCGTTCTTCTTTATATCCTTCAGAATAACGAGCACAGTGTCTATCACATACTAGGGTCCCCAAAATGTTTGCTGAATGAGTAAACTCTGCTGTGCTATAGGCTGCTTGTATCTAAACTATATAGAACCAGAATACTGTGGTTTTTAAAAACAATTTTTTTTTTGAAACAGGGTCTCTCTGTCACCCAGGCTGGAGTGCAGTGGAGTGATCATAGCTCGCTACAACCTCAACCTCCCCGGGCTCAGGTGATCCTCCCACCTCACCCTCCCTAGTAGCTGGGACTACAGGCACACACCACCATACCTGGCTAATTTTTGTATTTTTTGTAGTGACAGAGTTTTTCCATGTTGCCCAGGCTGGTCTCAAACTCCTGGGCTCAATGAATCCTCTTGCCTCAGCCTCTCAAAGTGCTGGAATTAGAGGTGTAAGCCACCACACATGGACTAAAACAATTTTTTGATAAAATTTTTCTTTTATTCTTTGTTTTGAGACAGGGTCTCACTCTGTTGCCCAGGCTGGAGTTCAGTGGCATAATCAGGGCTCACTGCAGCCTGACCTCCCGGCCTTAAGTGATTGTCCTGCCTCAGCACACCCCCTGCACACCCCCTACCCCCGACACACACACACACAAAGTAGCTGGGACTATAGGCATGTGCCAACAAGCTCAGCAACTAATTTTTTTTTTTTTTTTAATTTTAGTAGAGACGATGGCTCACTAAGTTGCCCATACTGGTCTCAAACTCCTGAGCTCAAATGATCCTCCTGCCTCAGCCTCCCAAAGTGCCGGGATTACAGGCTCACGTAAGCCACGGCGCTCGGCCGAGATTTTTCTTTTGGCCATCATTGTTGTTCTCTGTTCTTTCCTGCAATATCAAATCAGCTGTCTTAATTTACACACAAGTCTAAGTCAATGGGCCAAGGAGAAAATTCTGTGAGATCTGAGACAATCCCCCACCTCCAATATCTCTCTCTTTCCCAGAAGTTGATTGGCCTTTTTTTTTTACTCTGAATTTTATCTCTTTCTAGGATGTTCATGGTCTCAAAAAGTCAGGCTCCGTATGAGTTACCATTATAGAATTCAGTTTATAAATGCCAACTACATAACAGGTATAACTAAAACATGTGCTTTAAACCAATATTCACCAAAAAAAGAAACAACAAGCCAAGTCCCTATTCACAAAATAATCTATTGAAAAAAATGTTTCATCATAGCCCCTTGAGTTTATCAACAGCATAAGAAGTTTCAAGGATAAGAGAGATTCACAAATACGTTTGCTGGTGTTTTAAAGAAAATGTTGGAATAAGTGACGGAAGTTATTATACATACACAATTTACCAGAGATTAATTAAATAGCACAGGTAGAAAGGGTTCTTTTCCTTTTAAAATCTATCTTGTTATAAAGACACTACTTTTAGACTTGAACAAACAAAAACGCTGTCCTTTATTGTGAAGGGGAAGGTCTGAGTTAACTGCATAAAATAACACCTTTATGTTTTTAACTTGTAAATAGTTTATTATTTTGTTTCAAGAAGTACTTCACATTTATGCCTAAATGCAAAAAAAAATACTGATTTAATTAAAATACACTGTAGTTATGTATTTTTTCTTTGACCAAGAGAAGCTCTCTCTTTCAACTAAGATTTTGTTTCTGGTAATAGTGATTATCCTAATACAGGATAGAAAAAGTGTATATTCCATTGTATAACCATACATAATTTTGTGGAATTGAACATGAGTCATCACATTAAGATTCCACAAGTATCTATTCAATTCACTCAAGTAAATAATCAAATGTCACATTTTCTGACATAGTTATAAAAGTAATCAGAAAAACACTAAATTCTAATACTGTAATTACATTTAAAACTAAAATTCTATCTCTGAATTAAGACTAATCAATATTAAGAAAGAACAAGCCGGGTGCGGTGGCTCAAGCTTGTAATCCCAGCACTTTGGGAGGCTGAGGCGGGTGAATCACCTGAGGTCAAGAGTTTGAGACCAGACTGGCCAACATGGTAAAACCCCGTCTCTACCAAAAATACAAAAATTAGCCGGGTGTGGTGGCGGGCACCTGTAGTCCCAGCTACCTGGCAGGCTGAGACAGGAGAATCGCTTGAATCTGGGAGGGGGAGGTTGCAGTGAGCCAAGATAGTGCCATTGCACCCCAGCCTGAGTGACAAGAGTAAAATTCCATTTCAAAAAAAAAAAAAGAACATTTTTAGGCCGGGCGCAGGGGCTCATGCCTGTAATCCCCGCACTCTGGGAATACGAGGTGGGCAGATCACTTGAGGTCTGAAGTTCGAGACCAGCCTGGCCAACATGGCAAAACCCCGTCTGCGGTGGTACACACCTATAATCTCACCTACCCGGGTGGCTGAGGCATGAAAATTGCTTGAACCTGGGAGGCAGAGGCTGCAGTGAACCGAGATCATGCCACTGCACTCCAGCCTGGGTGACAGAGCAAGACTCCGTCTCAAAAAAAAAAAAAAAAAAAAAAAAAAAAAGAACATTTTCATCTCCATATTTCTGAAATCTGTAAAAAAAAATCAAAGAACATTTTTGGTAGCAATAATTTATCAAATCAAGCCTTCTTGAGGAAATTAAGGTTTCTAAAGGAGCAATTTTAAATTATGCTTTAGTAAAGAGTCCACCCCAACAAATTAGTAATTAATCTTTTTCTGTGTCAAAACAAACCTAAGAAGGCTTAACTATTTTCAAAAATTTCTAATTTAAGTTACCCCCCAAAAAACCTGTAAGTTAATCACTTGCAATTTCAAAATGATTTATGTGAAAGCTATGTATTTAGTGAAGAAGTATGTCATGTCAGAAAACAGATAAACGAAAGATAAGTCAAGGGTTGCCAAAATCCCAGTTTATAGTTGTAAATTCCTGAGGTTTTAAAGCACAGCTACAGGCTAACTGCCCAAAGACCTGCTACCCACTGACTTTTGTGAAGGACTTGAGTTAATGGCAGGGCATGTCAATATACTACAGGCAGCTAATGGTGCAACTTTTTGACAAAAGAACTGGATCTGGTTACAGGCTGTTCCTATTATCACTGCAGTCTAGATTTATGGTTTCTAACACCGGCCCTACAAGAAATAATGGAAATGATGACAACAACAATCCCCACTAGACAACAGACTGCAGAAAAGCATGCAATAAACCACAATCTGAAGAAACCAGAAAACTAAACATCCTTGAAAATACCTCAAACATGAGGCAGGTGTCAGCAAATTACCCATTCAAATATTTCTACAACTTCTCAAATTTCAACACAAAAAAAATCTCAAATCAGAGTCTCTAAAGTAATCTAAAACCAAACAATATCTAAATATACTTACTATTGCCTACTATATATTAATTCTTTTAATGACCAAAGATGCCGTGTTTCATTTGAACAGATTTATGAAACTCTATCAAGTTAGTTAAAAATTAATACTGACTATATTGCTTTTCAAATAACATTAAAGAGAAAAATACTCCAAATAACATTTTAAAAAATATTTCCAAAGAAAAAAAAGCAACAGTTCATAGCAAAGGGCACATGTTTCCAAATGTATTCAAAGAGGAAGAGAACTGAAAAGAAGAAACACATTTGATTCAGCATTTAAAAATAAATATATAATCAAACCTTAAACCAGCTAAAACTGATGAAAGGTAGGAAAAGTGGCCAAATGTTAACCAAAAAAAACAAGCACTTTGTCAATACACTTAAAAAACTATGTCAAGGCTATAAGGTACATACCAAACAAATGGAGCTGTTTGTCTATAATTCGCCACCAGTTAATCTTTATGAGAAACAGAGGTTGCGAAAAATCAAATGTGTATTCTAAACACAACCAAAGAGAGCCCCGCAAACTTTTCTCTGAGAAATGAAAGCATCTTCAAGGTATGCCCTAGAATTGTAATATATCTGTCCCTTCTGAAGTTTACAACAGTACGTTACCACTAAAAGTGGGCACTCTCTTTCCCCTCTTAAAACAATTTGCTCCTATAAACTTAGGAAGAGGCAGAGCCATAGCCATAAACACAGGTCACAAGTAGTAGGTAATCAAATGCTATCTTCAGTTTCCCAGGTCTTTACTCACAGCTTATTCTATAAGTTTTAACTCTTCAAATAAGGAATTCATGTAGTCTAGGTCAAATGATCATGATATTAAGATGAACAGCACCATCATATTCACTGCTACAGGATCCTCAAATATTTCACTTTTCACACAATAAGATATCTCCATTGCTTATGTTAACACCTCTCCAGGCTGGGCGTGGTGGCTCACGCCTGTAATCCCAGCACTTTGGGAGGCCAAGGCAGGTGGATCACTTGAGGTTAGAAGTTTGAGACCAGCCTGAACAACATGGTGAAACCCCGTCCCTACTAAAATTATTTTTTAAAAAATTAGCTGGGCATGGTTGCGCACGCCTGTAATCCCAGCTCCCCAGGAGGCTGAGGCAAGAGAATCACTTGAACCTCGGAGGTGGGGGTTGCAGTGAGCCAGGATTGTGCCACTGCACTACAGCCTGGGCAACAGAGCGAGACTCCGTCTCAAAAAAAAACAAACAAAAAAAAACCCAGTATTATTTCTAAGGTTGCCAAGGTAACCCTAGAAATAGACAACATAATGACAAAATAAACAAAATCGCCTTTCTCATGAAAACCAAAGAACACATACACATTTCAAATCTTGATAGCTTCTAAAATTTTTTCAAGTTATTTTTAAGAACCACCATTGGCAGGGCGAGGTGGCTCACGCCTGTAATCCCAGAACTTCAGGAAGCCAAGGCAGGAGGATCACTTGAGGCCAGGAATTCGAGAACAGCCTGGCCAACATGGTGAAACCCCATCTCTACTAAAAATACAAAAATTATGAAAAATACAAAAATTAGTGGGCATGGTGATGCACGCCTGTAATCCCAGCTACTCAGGGGCTGAGGCACAAGAATTGCTTGAACCCAGGAGGCAGAGGCTGTAGTGAGCCAAGATCACACCACCGCACTCCAGCCTGGGCAACAGACAGAGCAAGACTCTCAAAAAAAACAAAGGCCAGATTCGGTGGCTCATGCCTGTAATCCCAGCACTTGGAGAGGCAGCAGAAGTGGATGGATTACCTGAGGTCAGGAGTTTGAGACCAGCCTGGCCAACATGGTAAAACCCCATCTCTACTAAAAATACAAAAATTAGCCAGGCTCGGTGGCGCACGCCTGTAGTCCCAGCTACTTGGGAGGCTGAGGCAGGAGAATCACTTGAACCTGGGAGGCAGAGGTTGCAGTGAGCTGAGATCGTGCCACTCTACTCCAGCCTGGGTGACAAAACGAGACTCCATCTCGGAAAAAAAAAAAAAAAAAATTAGCTGGGTGTGGCGGTACATGCCTGTAGTCCCAGCAACTGGGAAGGCTGAGGCAGGAGAATTGCTTGAAGCCAGGAGGCAGAGGTTGCAATGAGCCGAGATTGCACCTGCACTCCAGCCTGGGTAACAGAGCAAGACTCCGTATCAAAAAAAGAACTACCACAAACTCTTTTTATAAATGGTAACCAAAGCCTAAGGTACTTAGAGTCTAAAAAATGTACTTACCACTAAATTATACCAGTATTTATATAATGGTATAAATTATGCCATTTTAATCTAAGATAAACGCCAGTGGTTTCTTTTATCTATTTCCCCAAGACAAAGAGATCCTGAATATTAAGCCCCAAAGCCAGGGAAGGGTATAAACTCTTCCTTCAAAATTACCAACACGGCCGGGCGTGGTGGCTCACACCTGTAATCCCAGCACTTTGGGAGGCCAAGGCAGGAGGATCACCTGAGGTCAGGAGTTTTGAGACCAGCCTGGCCAACTAGGTGAAACCCCGTCTCTACTAAAAATGCAAAAATTAGCTGGGCATGGTGGCACACCCCTGTAATCCTAACTACTCAGGAGGCTGAGGTGGGAAAATTGCTTGAACGCAGGAAGCAGAAGCTGCAGTGGGCTGAGATCACGCCACTGCACTACAGCCTGGGCAACACAGCGAGAGCCCATCTCAAAAAAAAAAAAACATCACCAACATTTGCCATTTTCAAAATGTCCAGGTTTTTAGTTCCTGGAATCAACAATCAGTTCAAATTCTAAGGTATTATGTAGTAATTCTCAGACATTAATAATGGTTCTAAAATTATTAGGGATGCTTGATTTGCCCACTGCAAACTACAAAACACCTTCTGGCAATGACAGACTAATCTTTGCACCACAGCTCATAGCTCTAAGGCTGATAGCTGGCAGAGCCCACTTTGTTCTTGTATATCCTAAAAATCAGGAATATGACTATGAGGAGACAGTGAGACCTACCCTCCCCACCCCGAGAGGGTAGCTAATAGAGAGGACCTCCGATTTCCATTCACAAGTGGAATGAGAATAGAGGGAGAAAAATGGCAGACAGAATAACCAGGCAAAAAAAAAAAAAAGACTAGAGGTGACTAATAAGGCAAACAGCAGAGGATACTGCTGTATCCACCCGTGTTCCAGTTACTAGAGTTACAAAAGTCATTGCTATTAACCCCAAAAGAAAGGCAGTAAAATAGTCAAGTGAAACTTTTCTCTCGCACCCCCAAGAGCTCAAACTAAAATTGGGATTTGGCTCTTCCTTAAATGGAACAAGTGGCTACATCAAGTTAATTCAAAAGACTTGGTATTTACTCAGCCTTTTCAAGGCACTTTACCATCATTAATTATTTCTCAGTGAAGCAGCAAAGGATTACCCTGACCATTTCACTGATGCGGAAACAGACACCAACAGCAAAGGGAACAGGGGCAGGAAGAGGGGTGATAGGAAGCATCTGGGAGGAACAGGCAGGCAGCTAAAAAGGAACAAGCCCAAAAGAAAATAAGAGTCACATCTGGCTTATAGCTGAGGATCATAACCCTTATTTGTTATTTCTGAGCTCAGAGATTTCTGCAACATTTTGAAAAAACAAAGTGCTTTAAAATACCAGTTAAAACTTAATTACAGCTTAAACTACTTAGTAATAGAAATTGCTTAGTATTAAAAAATACCCAATCTTCAGAGCACATATTGATTTCCATTTATACCAGCAACTCATTTTTCCCCTCAAGCTTAACCAGTATGTTATCTATTTGAACCAGAAAATAATCTCATGAAAATATATAGCTTTATATAATCCTAACCAAAAAATCACAAAGTTAACATCACGTAAGTCAGAAATAGTTTGCAGCTACACTCAGAATTTTGTTTGGAGAATTATGACAAAAATACTGACTTCTCGAGTTCGCCCTTTGAATGAAAGGAATACTTGTTCTACATTCGTATTGATTTTTTTAGCTATAACTCCCTGAAATTTTCAGGAATAAACTATGGGTGGAAAGCCTTAAACACCCTGAAATTAGCACACGTAGTGGGCTCTGAATAAACTGAACTCCATAGTAAAGACAGCACAGGTGCTTAATAAAGATGTGTTGATGGAATCATAAATCAAAAGGACTGATCAACCACCTCATGAGAAAAACTGATACACCTTTTTTAGACTGACTGTAATGATTTTTGAACGTTATGACACTATCAACTTTAAAGCACCCGCACATATAATGCAGTAGAGTTACAGTAATCTTTTTTCCAACTACCAATTCCAAAGCAAATCAGGTTCTCTGGGGTAAACAAGTATACATCCTTAAGAAGTTCATATGGCTGCATGATGTATATATAAAGTTCATTCAAAACTTTCAAAGCCAGTTTAAATGGTGTTTTTTCTTTACATTCTATCAAACTGTTTTAAAGGTTATAGATAAAGCTAAACACAAGGCATCAGGTGAATACTCATAAACTCAATCTTTTCTCAAAAATCCCACTGGATTCATTTCCAAAAGCTTATTTTCACATTCCTCCCATTAAATAGAAAAAAAAAAAAAAAACACACAAACAGCCTGAAAGCACATTCGTAATTGGAAATATTTTATTTAATGAGTAATTAAGAAAAATAAAAGAAAGGCAAAATCGTCATTATTGAAAAACATTTCCCTCGCTGTTATTGAAAAGAATTAAATATGCGTTTATGAACCATTGTTATAAAACAATTGCTCATCATAGGCAGCTGTACTCCATAAATGTTGTACATCTTAAAATACTTTTCCCTCAAAACAGAAATATGAATAGCTCTGGGGGCATTAAAATGTAGCAGCATCTGAAGCTGTTTTAGGGAAAAAAACAACTATCTCCAATACTTTTGTAAATCATATGATCATAAGCAACTTATTCACTTTCCCTGCCTCAGTTTACCCCCACTAATCGATCCATTAACTTTCCAGAGAAGACCTAAAGTAAGTCATAAACGTTAATCTCCTAATTTACAAACAAGAAGCAAATTTCAAGTTGCAATCACACTTTGTGATGCTTGACAAATGTTTAACAACCTCTTTTTAAAAAATAAATAGTCTCAAATGGGAGCCTGTAAGTAAATACTTGTGCTGCCCAAACATTTGGGGTTTGGGGGAGCCGAATTACAAGTCGGCCCAGGAAGCTATCTATGTACAACCTTGAGGCGCAAAATCGAGCAAATTCGCCTAGACCCATTCTCCCTCCGGCTCTTCACACCTGGATGGGGCGCAAGCACGATACAGGTGGAAAAAGCGAGAAAGGTAAGAAACCATTTCGAGACTGTTTCTAAGTGACGGCAGCAACTTTTTTTCGGTCAGGCCGCGAGGCCGCCTCTCCGCCCCTCAGGAGGCTTAGAGCCCCTCCTCGCCTCCCCGCCAGCCCCGGACGGGACGCGCATTCCGGTCCCGCTGCACCGCTAGGGTGAGCCACCGGCGCCCCCAGCCCCCGCCAGGAGCCCGGCGGCGCGCACCTTGGCACCAGGATTTGCGCCCGCACGCCGCCACAGGCGCATCCTTCCGGGCCGACGTTTCCCTCCCAAACTCCAAAAGTTATCTCAGCCCAGACCAGGCAAAGTCTACCTCCTTCCTCCGCCCCGCCACCCACCGTGATGCCCCCCAGGCCCCAGCCCGGCCCTACCCACGGCAGGGAGGATGCGCCGGAGGGCGCTGTCGGCGCTGCAGGCGAGGGGACGGGTGGAAGCTATCGGCCGGGCGCCCAAACCCCGCGGCGGCGAAAAGGCCCCGGGGCGGCGTGAGGGGAAACGCGAGATCGGCTGAAGGGCGTCCGCGGAAGGCGCCGGGGGCGGGATACCCTATCGCGAAGCCGAACTGAGATGGGACATAGGCGGGATCGTAAGGGGGCGTTCCTCGCACGGGACGCGCGCTGATGGCTTCTACCCGCCCGCCCACGGACAACGGTCGGGGTCCGGGACACACCTCCGCCTCTCCATTCCTTACGGGGCCCGGAATCACCACGTACCTCCAGTCTCGTCGGTGAAAACAACGAAATTCTGTCCCACCGATCGCGCGAGCCGGCACCGAGCTTCACACCGCCGCCGCCATGTTTGAGAAGCCGCGCGCGGAGCCGCGCATGCCCCGCAACCGCCACTGCCGCCCCGCCCCCCGCGCGGCCGGCCCGCGTGCCCTGCGGTTGCCGCGAGCACGCCCTTTGACCGCCGCCGCGTGCGGGGCCCGAGCCGGGGTCAAGCCGAGCGCCACCGCAGGCAGTGGCGGACCATGAGACACTGTGAGCCCGGGAAAGCCCTTGGCACTTTGCCTCCTACCCCCCACGCCTACGCCAAATGAAAAACCAGTCGCAGCCCAAGCACCCGAGGCCGTGGGGAGCCCCTCGATGGGACCCCGGGTTCCACGTCAAGTTCCATCCCGGGAACTCGCTCCCCTTCACTGTCGCCTTCGAATCCTGGCCACCACCCACCCTGGCCACGCACCCAAAAAGCAGGCGCTTCCCTCGGAACTCAAGCAAGTTCGAGGAGCAGGGAGAAGCAGCTGGTTACAGCAGCTTGAGGAAAGCCACTGCTTGGCGGGTTGCAGCATAGTCCTTGAAACTGCTTTTTTTTTTTTTTTCCATGAGTTTTTGCCACGCATTCACCTCCCAGCTTCACTCTCTGGATTTCGTTCTTCCTCTAAACCCGGGGTTGAGCTAACGGGAACTAGATGAACCCGCAGGGGGAAATCACTTGCTTACTGACTCAGGAGCATCCCCGAGAGTGCGTTTTGGGGTCCCTTCTGCACGCTCCCTTTCCCACCGGGCAAGGCCCATAGCGCAAGTGGAGGTCGCACAAAGGAGGGGGCGTAAAAACAGCTTTAAAACGACCAGTGAATCTCTCAGCACAAATTACAGCAAACAGAACGCCGGAGAAAAACATCTGTCCCTCGTTCTCAGGTTAGGTATAAGCTGATTTCAAACTTTTGTTTGAAAAATAATACAATGTGCTATGTTAGCCAAAAACAAACCATTGCTAGGGCTTCTCTCTCTGGAACTCTTTCCAAAGCTGGATGTAGGTTTTGCATCTGTGATCACCTAACTTAGTGCAGAGGGCATGATATACTTTTTAAATCATGATTTGGAAATCAGAGCTTAAAACTGAGAACAAAAAACTCCTGTGGAATATATCCATTGTCTACAACGCAGGATAGAATTTTCCAGTTGCAGCTTCTGCAGTATTAAGCAAAAGTCAAAGTGTTTATTATATCTAAACATTGGCAAGTGGCACAGAATCAAATGGATCTATTATTTAATGCTTTAAAAATGAAAACCTAAATGTTAATGCCAAATTCAAGTAAACTTTAAGGCGAAAATAGAAAGACTAGGTTGATGATATGCAAATATTAAAGTGAGATTTGGTCCTATCAATTCTATAATGTATATCACATAGGAGAAAATGTTGGAGTGTCCTAAGATGAAGGTTCAAGCATGTTTTTTGAGACAAGAGTCTCGTTTTGTCGCCCAGGCTGGAGAGCAGTGGCACGATCTCGGCTCACTGCAACCTCCGCCTCCCGGGTTCAAGCGATTCTCCTGCCTCAGCCTCCTGAGTAGCTGGGACTACAGTCGCGTGCCACTAGGCCCGGCTAATTTTTTGTATTTTTAGTAGAGACGGGGTTTCATCGTGTTAGCCAGGATGGTCTCGATCTCCCGACCTCATGATCCACCCGCCTCTGCCTCCCAAAGTGCTGGGATTACACGCGTGAGCCACTACGCCCGGCCCAAACATGTTTTCAAAAGCCAGAAAGAGGCCGGACGCGGTGGCTCACGCCTGTAATCCCAGCACTTTGGGAGGCCGAGGCGAGTGGATCACCTGAGGTCGGGAGTTGGAGACCAGCCTGACCAACATGGAGAAACCCTGTCTCTACTAAAAGTACAAAATATTAGCCGGGCGTGGTGGCACGCGCCTGTAATCCCAGCTATTCGGGAGGCTGAGGCAGGAGAATCGCTTGAACCTGGGAAGCAGAGGTTGCCGTGAGCCGAGATCGCGCCATTGCACTCCAGCCTGGGCAACAAGAGCGAAATTCTGTCTCAAAAAAAAAAAAAAAAAAAAAAAGCCAGAAGGAGATCTTTAACAGAAAGAAATTAAACAGAGGTTTAATCTAAACAAACCTTATTATGGGCACCAGCAGGGCTGAGGAGGACATAAATTCTTAATTAGTGGCCACTGTCCTTCTAATCCCAATGCAATGGAAATATTTGAAATTCATCTCTACATTCTATGTATGAAAGATTTATTTGGGACTCCATCTCAAAAAAAAAAGAAAGATTTACTTTGGCTTGTCACATACCTTTTTTACGTCTATGGATTCTATTAAATTGTAGGAATTCTACTATGATTGCTGAATTGCCTGGCTCACTGATGCCTAATCTATTTTTCATATTTCTGTTAACATGAAATTACTGAAGCCCTTATTCTAAAAATGAAATTTGAATTATCTATCCTAGAACATCTTCTCAGTTACTATCCTCACCAAAGGATTTATAGATGTGTGACTCTTCGTTATATTAAATCTGAGTTATCGATAATAACAATAGCTACCATTTATTGAGCATGTGCTGAGAATCACGCTAGTCTCTTTAGAGATAAATTTCCAATATTTGCAATGTTCTTTCACAACTTTCCTATGAGGTAGGTACTCTCATTCCCATTTTACAGATGAGGAAAATAAATTAATACACAGCAAATAAGTGGCAGTTAGCTTTTGAATATATTAATATATTCAAATATGTCCTAATAATTCCTTCCACCCTTGTCATCAATTGTGCTTTTATCCACTACGTATATAAACTTTTCAATAATTATTTTATTATACCCTGCTTTTCCACCTTTGCCAAAATAAATTTGAGACAGTTTTTTCATAATGTTAACACAGGTTGGAACATCACCGTTTCTCTTACATTATATGTAAGTCTCTTGCCCATAGTAGGAATTTGGTAAATATTTGTTGAATGAGTGAATAGATAAATGGATAAATGAATACCTACTGTTATTATGTTCGATTAACTTTGCCTAGAAAACATGAAAATAAAGAAACTGTGAACTGAAAGAATAAGAACTAAAGCTGGTAAAATCCAAGTTTTCATGATTTATTTTTCAAGCCTCAGATTTGCTCCTGTGAATTTGCTCTTATAGTTCTCCTGATTTGGCACCAAACCTGTGACAACCTTCAAAAAAACACATCACCCCACCCAGTCCAAGTCCAGGGCAAAATACTCCTGTATTTCAAGTGTGTTTTATTGCTTCCTTTTGTACCTTTTTTAGAGTTCAATATTAGTGAGAGTGAAAAGATAATCTTCCCTAGATAAGCAAGTTTAATCTAGATCTTCATCAGTACACATGCTTATGTTGAAACAATATCGGCCAGGCGCGGTGGCTCACACCTGTAATCCCTCCACTTTGGGAGGCCGAGGCAGGTGGATCACCTGAGGTCAGGAGTTTGAGACCAGCCTGGCCAACATGGCGAAACCCAGTCTCTACTAAAAATACAAAAATTAGCCAGGTGGCGTGGCGGGCGCCTGTAATCCTAGCTACTTGAGAGTCTGAGGCAGGAGAATCGCTTGAACCCGGGAGGTGGAGGCTGCAGTGAGCCGCGATCGTGCCACTGCACTCCAGCCTGGGCAACAAGAACGAAACTTCGTCTCGGAAAAAAAAAAAAAAGAAACAATGTAATTTGCATACATAAAGTTAACGTTTTAGGATGAGTGAAGACTCCCTCTAGTTTTCCTACTAAATGGGCATCTTTCTCCCTAAAACACAGAAGCCTAACTAAGCCTGGCAGAGACTGGAGCTCCAAGTTGTAACTAGTAAACCCACTATTCATATTTTTACCTTAGTGTAAAAATCCATAGAATGGGTATTAAATAACTGATTGTTTAAAATAGTGACTTTACAAATATCTTCAGATCCCTGTTTCTAACAATTTGCCCTTTTTTCCCCATTAAACCAAGAGCACATATCTGTAAGATATAAATTGTTTTCAGTATTGTTATGGTTGCTTACAATAAACCTCTTCTTTTAACTTCAAAATAGTAACTTCCCTGGAAAAAGATCAAGAAGTGAAGTGCAATAGGAAGACAGAGAAGCTAGTCTAACAGGAAGGCATCGTATTCTAGCAAAAGGAGGACCGGCCCTGTCTCTCGTCTGGAATCTCAAGTCTATCATTAGTCTATCTCAACTAACTAACTGTATTTCTTTAGAACCTTTCCATGCCTCAGATTGTTTTAATTTTTTTAATGGGGATAATAAAATCTGCTACATTTACTTCACAGATGGGGAAAATACTAGTCAAATCTATCAGAAAACCACATGGTCTTTGCTTAACAAATCCCCACATTTAAAAAAGTAAAATTACATTAGCCTTTTACCAACAAAGTGCATGACACCTAAGCTGACTTTGGCCAAGTCAAGTGTTTTATATGCTGTGAAAACTAACATAACCTCAGTGAACACTACGCTACATTTGACCATTATTACATTCAGCCAGTCCTTCATTCAGTGATGTATTGAATGCTTATGTGCCACTCTGCCAGAAGTGAGAATACCAGGATGAATAAGACAGTTTGAATACTCCAGGAGTTTACACCCCATCCAAAGAGGAGAGACAGAGATAGATAGACGTATGTTTTAAGATCTTCAGAGGAACTAGGATCTATTACCACACCCTTCCCCATATCGAACCTTTTTAGATGTACCTATATTATATTTTTTGTATAACTAGATGAATGGAATTAGAGTTGACCAGCTGACAACTGGCCTTTTGGACATTTCACTAAAACATTTATCATTTTGATTTTCATGCCTGTAATCCTAGCACTTTGGGAGACCGAGGCAAGTGGATCACTTGAGCCCAGCAGTTTGAGACCAGCCTGGGCAATATGGCAAAACCTCGTCTCTACACAATAAATACATACATACATACATAATCCAAAAATTAGCTGGGCATGATGGTGCACGCCTGTAGTCCCAGCTACTCAGGAGGCTGAGGTGGGAGGATGGCTTGAGCCCAGGCAGGTCGAGGCTGCAGTGAGCAAGATCACACCACTGAATTCCAGCCTGGGTGACAGAGTGAGACCCTGTCTCAAACAAAAAAAAATTTATTTTACACCTTTTGTTCTGATTATTCTCCATTTGAGTCCTTCCCCCTCACCCATGGCCCTTTCTTCTAGGACCTCAGTCCTGGCAGTGACGGTGGCAGTGGCAGTACAATGACAGCTCCTGGCAGGGGTCCCCTTTTCACAACTTTGGTACTCACTGCGTCTTCAGGAAGGTGAGGGGTTGGGGGAGAAGCAGGTACACCTTCCAGCTTCCGCCAGTCCCTGGCTCCTTCAGCATCTTTTGCTAGTTCCCTGGAAGCTACCCACACCTCTGTAAATAACCCAGTAAATTCAAAATCACTTATAACTACATCTTCTGTTTCTGCTGGGACCATTATTGAAACAGTTTTCTTTTCATATTTCAAGCCAACCAACTGTGGGGCTGGGAGCCTCAAATATTTCTGTAAAGTGTTTGAGAACGTAGAGACCTGAGGCACTGTGTCCATAGCACTTAAAGATTTCACAGCCTGTTTTATGGAAGGCACTATAATACTATGAACTACGAGTGGATAAAATTGATTTGGAGAAAGTGTCTTAGAGTGAAGGTTAAAGAAGATAAGGTATGAAAAGCACCTAAATGCTGTCCGGTTGATAACAGACACTCCACAAGTGTTAGTTCCTCATGTGCCTATTTTTTAAGAGGGTAAAAGAAGTGACATTTGAGTTGAGAGGGGAAGAATGCAGTTTGACAGACACAGAAGTGCATAGAGAACAGCATGTGCACAAAGTAATGAGAAGTCACTGCAGCGGCCAGGCGCGGTGGCTCACGCCTGTAACCCCAGCACTTTGGGAGGCTGAGGCAAGTGAATCGCTTGAGCTCACAAGTTCGAGACCAGCCTGGGCAACATGGTGAAACCCCGTCTCTACCAAAAATACAAAAAATTAGCCAGGCGTGTGGTGAACGCCTGTGGTTTCAGCTACACAGCAGGCTGAGGCAGGAGAATTGCCTGAGCCTGGAAAGCAGAGGTTGCAGTGAGCTGAGTTCGCGCCACTACACTCCAGCCTGGGTGACAAAGTAAGACCCTGCCTCAAAAAATAATCATAATAAGAAGAAGGGGTCAATTTAGACAGGACTTGGAGTGCTATGCTAAGGTGTCTGAACTTCATTCTGTGGGGAATGGGGACCCATTGATGGTTATTAAGCAGAAAACTTGTAGAAACAGTTGCAGATCCCACCACCCCTCTAGCTGCTGCTACCACTCCAAGGGCTCTGCCCACCTCTCCTAGTGGAAACGTGATGTCTGCAAGAGCAGCCAGAGATGGGATGAGCACTGACAGGGGACCACTGGCTGGAGCGGGCAGAGGCTGGGAACAGTCAGGGCAGTTTGAGTTTCATGGTCACAGGGAGAGTGACGCACAGCACAGTAGGCAGCGAGCCAGCTGGATTAGCAATCCACAAGGCCAAGTGTGGTATCATCCTTTTTTTTTTCTTCAGTTGAGGTTTAACCTACACATAGTAAAGTGCAGAAATTATAAATCTACAGCTTAATTTTTTACATATGCATACAGCCACTTGTTGTCACCAACACCAAGTTATAAACATTTCTGGCTGGGCACGGTGCTTCACACCTGTACTCCAACACTTTGGGAAGCTGAGGCAGAAGGATCGCTTGAGGCCAGGAATTCGAGACCAGCCTGGGCAATATATCTCCCACTATACTTGGGACTACAGGTGTGCACCACCATGGCCAGCTCATTTAAAAATTAAATTAGCATACCTGTAGTCCCAAGCTACTCGAGAGGCTGAGGTGGAAGGATCCCTTGAGCCCAGAGTGCAATACTGCAATGAGCTATGATCACACCACTGCACTCCAGCCTGGGTGACAGAGCGAGACCCTGTCTCAAATAAATAAACAAACAATCATTTCGACTACCCCAGAAAATCTTCTCATGATGCCTCCTGCTCAGGTAACCATTATTCTGATTTCTATCACTATAGATTAGTTTTGCCTGTTCCTGGATATCTTATCAATAGACTCGCATAATATGTCCTCTATTGAGCCTGGCTTCTTTCACTAAACATTATGTCCTTGACGTTCATCCCTGCTGGTAAAGCATCACCCTCATTTTAGGAAATGTTGCAGACAACTTCCCTGTACCCCTCTTCTTTTTTGTTAAAGCTATTGTAATTTGCCTTCCAATTATTTTCTCCTCCTTCTTACAGTGAATTATCTTTCATTAAGGCCTCCAATTATATTAAATCTTAGTCATCTTAATAATGAAAACTTTGCTTTAATTCACAGCCAACAGCAGTTTTCACCTTACACCTGTGCAGGGTATTGTGTAGGTAAATTGTGGAGCCTTCCTCCCCTTAGAGTCCTCGGTCTAAATACAGATTTGAGGCCGGGCGCGGTGGCTCACACCTGTAATCCCAGCACTTTGGGAGGCCAAGGCAGGCTGAGGTCAGGTGTTCAAGACCAGTCTGGCCAACATGGAGAAACCCCGTCTCTACTAAAAATACAATAATTCATTGGGCGTGGCGGTACACCCCTGTATTCCCAGCTACTCGGGAGGCTGAGGCAGGAGAATCTCTTGAACCTGGGACACAGAGGTTGCAGCGAGCCAAGATCGCACCATTGCACTCCAGCCTGGGCAACAAGAGCAAAAATCCATCTCAAAAAACTAAAAATACCTGGGCATGGTGGCTCACGCCTGTAATCCCAGCACTTTGGGAGGCTGATGCGTGTGGAACACCTGAGGTCAGGAGTTCGGGACCAGCCTGGACAACATGGTGAAACCCCGTCTCTACTAAAAATATAAAAATTAGGTGGGCTTGGTGGTGGGCGCCTGTAATCCCAGCAACTCAGGAGGCTAAGGCAGGAGAATCGCTTGAACCTGGGAGGTGGAGATTGCAGTGAGCCGAGATCGTGCCATTGCACTCCAGCCTGGGAGACAAGAGCGAGACTCCGTCTCAAAAAAATAAAAATAAAAATAAAAATAATACAGACTTGTAAACCAGTGTGGTGGTTGGGAAGAAAAACATATTTAGAGGCCCTTTGCATTCCATGTATACCACCTATGTGGGCATTTTTATTCTGTTTGTTTGCCTCTGTCTTGCCAAAAACAAGCAAAAAAATAAAGCAAACAACCAAGAAAAATTGATTGGAAAGGCATAAAGTCAAATGAATATAGGTGATATAGTTTAGATGTTGCCCTCTTTAAATCTCATGTTATACTGTAATCCCTAGTGTTGGAGATGGGGCCTGGTGGGAGGTGGATTTCTCATGAATGTTTACACCAACCCATTGGTGCTGTCCTAGCGATGATGAATGAGTTCGCGAGATCTGGCTGTTTAAAAGTGTGTAGCACCTCCCTCTCTTTCTTGCTCCTGCTCTTGCCATATGATATACTAGTCCGCCTTTTGCCTTCCACCGTCATTGGAAGTTTCCTGAAGCCTCACCAGAAGCCTAGCCGATGCCAGTGCCATGCTTCCTGAACATCCTGCAGAACCATGAACCAATTAAATCTTTTTTCTTTATAAATTGTCCAATGTCAGGTATTTCTGTATACAATGTGAGAATGACCTAATACAATAGGCAATCATGGAAATAGGAAGCAACAGTATCTGACAAAGGGAAGGCTATAATTCAGGGAGCATGGGTTCAAAAGAACTGGAAAAGGGGGCAAAAGGAAGCAAAATGGTGAATGGAAGTGGGCATCTGTCTACTCTTCAACACCAAGGTGACCCAGAGCCTAAGAGAGGGCAAGTAGAACATTTGGCTCTATGAAACAAGGCACAATTTTTCTCCTTGACTGGTTCATTTCACTGTCTTTCTGTTCCCTGTATGTATTTGCTGATTTAACTCTTCCACTTTCCTAGAGCCTCACATCATTCATTTCCCTTCCAGCCTGTGTCTTTCCTGGGCTGGGCCCCTTATGTCTTCACCCATTCCAGTGCCAACTTGAAGAATGGTCCCTCTCACTTCAGTCCTTATAATACTCCCACTTTGGCTGTGTTACCACCCCTAGGTGAGACCAGCTTGGATTTCACCAACCTAGGTCTTCAGAAGTATTTTGGTTTATAGCACTTAGATGTAACTATTCTTTTTCGTGTGTATGTATTTGTGTTCAATTTTTAAAATACACAAAGAATGCACTCATCACTCAGCCCCAATAATTATGGTCAATTCTGCCCCTGCACACCTCTCTCTATTCTCCCCACTGCCATAGTATTTTGAAACAAATTCCAGACAACATATCATGTATTTTGTAAGTATTTAATTATGCATCTCTAAAAGATGGCTTTTTTTTTTTTTTTTTTTTTGAGACAGAGTTTCGCTCTTGTTGCCCAGGCTGGGGTGCAGTGATGCGATCTCGGCTCACTGCAATCTCTGCCTCCCGGGTTCAAGCGCGTCTCCTGCCTCAGCCTCCCGAGTAGCTGGGATTACAGGTGCCCACCACCATGCACGGCTAATTTTTTTTTAATTTGTATTTTTAGTAGAGACAGTGTTTCGCCATATTGGCCAGGCTGGTCTCAAACTCCTGACCTCAGGTGATCCACCCGCCTCAGCCTCCCAAATTGCTGGGATTACAGGAATGAGCCACTATGCCCGGCTGATGACCCTTTTTATAGCATAACTGTATTAGCTTTCTATTGCTGCTATCACAAACTTAGTGGCTTAAAATGACAGAAGTTGGCTGGGCGCTGTGGCTCACTCCTGTAATCCCAGCACTTTGGGAGGCCGAGGCAGGCAGATTGCTTGAGGTCAAGAGTTTGAGACCAGCCTGGCCAACATGGTGAAACCTCGTCTCTACTAAAAAAAATTACAGGCCAGGCGCAGTGGCTCACGCCTGTAATCCCAACACTTTGGGAGGCTGAGGCAGGCTGATCACCTGAGGGCGGATCAACTGAGGTCAGGAGTTCAAGACCAGCCTGGCAAACATGGTGAAACCCCGTCTCTACTAAAAATACAAAAATTAGCCAGGTTTAGTGGCACGTGCTTGTAATCCCAGCTACTCGGGAGGCTGAGGCTGGAGAATCGCTTGAACCCAAGAGGCGGAGGTTGCAGTGAGCCGAGATCACGCCACTGCACTCCAGCCTGGGCGACAGAGTGAGACTCCATCTCAAAAAAAAAAAGTACAAAAATACAAAACTTAGCCAGGTGTGGTGGTGTGTGCCTGAAGTCCCAGCTACTCAGGAGGCTGAGACAGGAGAATTGCTTAAACACAGGAGGCAGAGGTTGCAGTGAGCCGAGATTGTGCCACCAGCCTGGGTGACAGAGTGAGACTCCATCTCAAAAAAAAAAAAAAACCCGAAGTTTATCTTAAAGTTCTGGAGGTCAGAAGTCCAGAATGGGTCAGCCCAGTTGCATTCCTTTTGGAGGCTCTAGGGGAGAATCCACTTCCTTGTCCTTTCTAACTTCCAACTTCTAACTTGTCCTTTCCACCTGCATTCTTTGGCTTGTGGTCCTTTGTCCATCTTCAAAGCCAGCAATCTAACATCTTCAAAGCTCTCTCCTTTTTAAAAAAAAAAATTACAGGCAGGGTCTCACTGTGTTGCCCAGGCTTTAGTGCAGTGGTGCAATCATGGCTCACTGCAGCCTCCAACTCCTGGGCTCCAGAAGTCCTCCTGCCTCAACTTCCCATGTCACTGGGACTACAGAAGCATGCCACCATGCCCAGCTAATTTGTTTTACTTTTAATAGAGATGCAGTATCACTATGTTGCCCAGGCTGGTCTTAACCTTCTGGCTTCAAGCGATCCTCCCGCCTCAGACTCCCAAAGCACCAATATTACAGCCACGAGCCACTGCACCTGGCCCCAAAGCCCTCTTTCTTACTCTCTCTGACCTTTTCTTCCATTGTCACATTCCCTTCTCTGACTTTGACTCTCCTACTCTCTTCTTTCCTTCATAAGGATCCTGTGATTACATTGGACACAACCAGACAATCCAGGATAATTCCCCACTAGAAGGTCCTTAACATAAACACATCTGCAAAGTCCCTTCTGCCACATATTTACAGGTTCCAGAGATTAGGATGTGGACATCTTCGGGGGAGCTATTATCCTATGTACCACACAACATAACCATAATGCCACCTAAATAATTTAAAATAATTTTTTAATATCATAAGATACCACTCACTATTCAAATTTCCAATTTTCTGATAAAAATACAAATTTTTTGCCTGGCGCAGTGGCTCACGCCTGTAAACCCAGCACTTTGGGAGGCAGAGGCAGGCGGATCACGAGGTCAGGAGATCGAGACCATCCTGGCTAACATGGTAAAACCCCGTCTCTACTAAAAAGACAAAAACTTAGCCGGGCATAGTGGCACACGCCTGTAGTCCCAGCTACTCGGGAGGCTGAGGCAGGAGAATCCCTTGAACCTGGGAGGCGGAGGTTGCAGTGAGCCGAGATTGTGCCACTGTACTCCAGCCTGGGCGACAGAGCAAGACTCTGTCTTAAAAATATATGTATATACATTTTTTTACAGCTTTAGAAGAAAATATGGTCCATATGTTGCAGTTGATTGATAGGCCTTTGAAATCTTTTTTTTTTTTTTTGAGACAGAGTCTCGCTCTGTCGCCCAGGCTGGAATGCAGTGGCGTGATCTCGGCTCACCTCAACCTCTGCCTCCCGGGTTCAAGCGATTCTCCTGCCAAGCTACTCTCCTGAGTAGCTGGGACTACAGGCACACACCACCACGCCTGGCTAACTTTTGTATTTTTAGTAGAGATGGAGTTTCACCATATTCACCAGGCTGGTCTCAAAGTCTTGTCCTCAAGTGATCCACCCACCTTGGCCTCCCAGAGTGCTGGGATTACAAGCATGAGCCACATCACCCGGCCTGAAATCTCCTTTAATCTATGGGTTCCTCCTCCATCTCTCTCTTTCTTTCTTTTTTTGTAATTTGTTATTTGAAGAATCCTGGTTTCTCATGTTCTGGACTTGGCCAATTGCATCCCCATATGTTACTCTGTCTATATTTCCTACAAATTGGTAGTTTAGAGGTTTGGTAAGATTCAAGTTCTTTTTTTTTTTTTTTTTGGCAAGAATGTTTCCTAGATGGTAGGTAGTGTGTTTTTTCATCAGGAGGCACATAACACCTGGTCGTCTCTCCTTTCATGACATCAGCAGCTGTTGATGTTCAATGCCTTGATCCCTCAGGTCAGCGGTTCTCAAAGTGCAGTCCCCAGAGCGGCAGCATCTGTCTCACCTGGGTACTTATTAGCAATGCAAATTTCTTGGGCTTTGCCTCAAACTCACTGAACAGAAACAAGGGGGTAGGTCCAGCAATCTGTGTTTTAACAAATCTCCTAGGGAATTCTGATGCAGGTTAAAGTTTGAGGGCTAGGCACAGTGGCTCATGCCCATAATCACAGCACTTTGGGAGGCCGAGGCAGGAGGATAGCTTGAGGCTAGCAATTCAAAACCAATCTGAGCAACATAGTGAGACCCCATCTCTACCAAAAACTAAACAAATTAACTAGGGTTGGTGGTGTGCACCTGTAGTCCCAGCTACTCAGGAGGCTGAGGTAGGAGGATTGCTTGAGCCCAGGAGTTTGAGGCTGCAATGAGATGTGATCGTGCCACTGCACTACAGCCTAGACAACAGAGCAAGACCGTCTCTCAAAAAAAAAAAAAAAAAAAAGAAAAGAAAAAAAGTTTGAGAAGCTGTTCATCAACGGTTGCCAAAGGGTGACATTTAAGACTGACACTACATAAAGGGATTTAGGCAAAATAAAGTAAGAAAACCTCCAAAATAAAATAAAACCATGCTCAAAAGAGGCAGGCAGAGGAGCATAAACATATTTTTAAGTGAGTAATTGAAAAGGTGTAAATATGGAATCAACACCACTTCAGTGACAAACACACATTAGAGAAACTCAAAACCAAAGACTTACCATTTTAAAATATTTCAAATTGTGCCAGGTATGGTGGCTCATGCCTGTAATCCCAGCACTTTGGGAGGCCAAGGCAGGCGGATTGCTTGAGCCCAGGAATTCAAGACCAGCCAGGGCAACGTGGTGAGATCTTGTCTCAAAAAAAAAAAGTCAAAATTAAAAATCTCAAATTACTTTTTAGAAATGACAGGATAGGCAGGGTGCGGTGGCTCACGACTGTAATCCCAGCACTTTGGGAGGCCGAGGCGGGTGGATCACCTGAGGTCAGGAGTTCGAGACCAGCCTGGCCAAAATGGTGAAACCTTGTCTCTACTAAAAATACAAAAATTAGCCGGGCATGGTGGCTGGCACCTGTAATCCCAGCTACTCAGGAGGCTGAGGCACAAGAATCTCTTGAACCCAGGAGGCAGAGGTTGCAGTGAACCTTGATCACGCCATTGAACTCCAGCCTGGGCAACAGAGCACCAGAACTCCCGCCTGGGCAACATGACTCTATAATGACTGGAAAAGCCCACAGACATAAGCCCCTCTCAGAGCTGTTTCAGACCACCCAGCTAAAGCCAGCATCCAGCATTGTAATTCATCTGCATGAAACATCACGCACATTCATTCCACGTTCAGGCAGGAAGTATTTACTAAGCCTACCACACACCACGTCCTGCGATACATACATAATCTCCAGATAAATTAATAAGCAATTTTAATGGTCAGAGTTATCAATGAAGTTAACGCATTGCTCGCATTTCTCATAGGCACAAATAGGTATTCATTTGTTAAGCAAATGGACTCATACATGTTTATGTAAATGAACACAAATAGTCCTTCATGCAAAATCCTACAGACTTTGAGTATAGAGCACAGTGAAATTAGACAAGCTAACACGAAATTCACTCAGAGGACATTTTCCTCCTTTTCCTAAAGAAGTCGTTTAGCTCCTGAGTTTTGGAAATTTCCAATACACTCTGCTTCACACATTTTCAGCAAGTTGTCTTTCCAAACCTTGCCTCTAGGCATCTAGAGAGAGGGAGTCAGTCCACCACGTGGTCTAAAGACCTGGACCCAGCAGGCCTGAATACTACAGTACTCTCAATGGCTTCCCTTCTCCCCTCCAGTGGTGGGGACCGTCAACCCAGGTGCCTGAGAAAAGAAGATGGAAATCTGTGGCTCTGTGGGATGCTTTGTGTAAACTCACAGTGTTCAAACCTTTTTTATTATGTAGTGTTGGCTAGGATAGAGAAAGAAAAATATACCAAGCCTAAGCCTGCAAACTTCCAAAGCACGACATAAGACATTAAAGGTTTGGTGTCATGAACAATGAAGTCCTTGTCGTCTACCCATTTGCTAGCACAGTTTCCACAAATAACAGGCAAGCTCCAAATTTTCATAAAATGTTTTGGCAGGGCAGGATGGGCCAATTTTCTGGCAGTCTCTCTAAGGAAATGACTGCAAATGTTTTCTGGCGTGAACAGCCTTAAGTATTTCAACTCCTTGGTAAATAGAGTTGCCAACAGTCCCAAATATGTTTTGCTATTTCTGAATTGGACATTCAGAATTATTTTAGGGTGAATTTTTTTCAATAATAAAGATTTCAATAAATGAGTTACTCTATTTCCCTTTCTTAAATGTTGATGACTTTGGAAAAGTTTGTAAATGAGAAACAAACTTTAGAAACCAAATAGCAGAAGTTGAGATAAAGAAAATTTCCTAGAAAGCACATTATACAGACAACATGACTCGATTGAGGCTTCCAGGAATAAAGTACACCGCCCACAGTCTTTACTGTATGAGAATACTAGTTTCTTTTTCTTTTTTTTTTTTTTTTCTTTTTTTGAGACAGAGTTTCACTCTTGTTGCCCAGGCTGGAGTGCAATGGCACGATCTCGGCTCACTGTAACCTCCGCCTCCTGGGTTCAAGCAATTCTCCTGCCTCAGCCCCCCGAGTAGCTGAGATTACAGGCTCCCACCACCACACCCAGCTAATTTTTTGTATTTTAGTAGAGACGGGGTTTCACCATGTTGATCAGGCTGGTCTCGAACTCCTGACCTCAGGTGATCCACTCTCCTTGGCCTCCCAAAATGCTAGGATTACAGGCGTGAACCACTGAGCCTGGCCTGAGAATGCTAATTTCTAAATCAAAGATTTGAAAAACCAGCATAACTTACTAACCTGGAATGATTCTGGAGCACTTTCTTCAGCAAGTTATCCTGAAGAAGGTTCTGAATCTGGCTTTCCATATGGTAGCCACTAGCCACATGTGTCTATTTCAATTTGAATTTAAGTTTAATCTAAACGAAATACAATTTAAAATGTAGCTCCTCAGTCATATCTGCCTCATTTCACATGCTATATGACTACACATGGCTAGTGGCTGCCATATTGGGCCATGCAGAACATTTCCATCTCAAAGAAAGTTCTATTAGAATTGTTCTAAGTCCTTGCTACACAAAGCGTGGACTAGCAGCTTCAGCGTCATCTGGGAGCTTGTCAGAAAGGCAGAATCTCAGGCCCCACACCAAGCCTACTGAATTAGAATCTTCATTTTAACAAAATGCCCAGGCTATTTGTATGCATATTAAGGTTTGGGAAGCACTGGTCTAAGTCAATGTTTCCTAGACTGGTTTGATCATAAGAATCACCTAGGCCAGGCACAATGGCTCATGCCTATAATCCCAACATTTTGGGAGGCTGAAGCAGGCAGATCCCTTAAGCCCAGGAGTTTGAAAATAGCCTGGCCAACATGGCAAAATCCCATCTCTACAAAAAATAAAAAAAATTAGCCAGGCATGGTGGTGCAGGTGTGTAGTCCCAGCTACTCAGGAGGCTAAGAAGGGAGGATCGCTTGAGCCTGGGAGGAGGAGGTTTCAGTGAGCTGAGATGGCGCCACTGCACTTCAGCCTGGGTGACAGAGTGAGACTCCATCTCAAAAAAAAAAAAAAGTAATTGCCATTTTAATGGTACTGAAAGGTAGGACCTTTAAAAGGTGATTAGGACCTGTGGTTCTAGCTACTCAGGAGGCTGAGGTTGGAGGATTGCTTGAGCCCAGCGGTTCGAGCCTGTGGTGAGCTAGGATTGATTGTACCACTGCACTGTAGCCTGGGTGACAGAGTAAGACCCTGTTTCAATAAAAAAGAGATGCCGGGTGCAGTGGCTCATGCCTATAATCCCAGCACTTTGGGAGGCTGAGGCTGGTAGATTACGAGATCAAGAGACTGAGACCATCCTGGCCAACATGGTGAAACCCCGTCTCTACTAAAAACACAAAATTAGCTGCCTGTAATCCCAGCTACTGGGGAGGCTGAGGCAGGAGAATTGCTTGAACCCGGGAGGCAAAGGTTGCAGTGAGCCAAGATCGTGCCACTGCACTCCAGCCTGGCAACAGAGTGAGACTCTGTCTCAAAAATAAATAAATAAAAATAAAATAAATAAATATAAAAAAGAGAGAGGCGATTAGGTCATGAATGGATGAATGCTGTTACTGCGGGAGTGGATTCATTATCACAAGTAGTTTGTCCTCCTTTTTCTCTCTGTCTCGCACATGTGCCCCCTTGCCATGTGATGCCTTCTGCCATGGGATGACCCTGGCCAGATGCTAGCACTGTGCTCTTGGACTTCCTGGACTCCAGTACCATGAACCAAATAGCATTCTGTTGTTTATAAATTATCCAGTCTGTGGTATCTGTTATAACAACAGAAAATGGACTAAAACAGAAAATTGGTACTAGGAGTGGGTTGCTGCTGTACTAAATACCTGAAAATGTGGAAGCGGCTTTGGAACTGGGTGCTGCGTAGAGGCTGGGAGAATTTGGAGGAGCAGGCTAGAAAAAGCCTCTGTTACTGTGAATAGAGCATTAAGGGTGATTCTGGTGAGGGCTCAGAAGAAGACAAGAGCAGGCTGTGGTGGGCGAATCACTTGAGGCCAGGAGTTCAAGACCAGCCTGGCCAACACAGCGAAATCCCTTCGCTACTAAAAATACAAAAAAAAAAAAAAAATAGCTGGGCATGGTGGCACATGCCTGTAGTCCCAGCTACTAGGGAGGTTGAGTCATGAGAATCATTTGAAGCTGGGAGGACGAGGTTGCATGAGCCAAGATCGCACCACTGCACTCCAGCCCAGGCAACAGAGCGAGACTCTGTCTCAAAAAAAAAAAAAAAATTACAAGAGCTGTAGGGAAAGTCTGGACCTTCTTAGAGATTACAAAAGTGATTGTGATCAGAATGCGGGTAGAAATATGTACAATAAAGGCCTTTTTGATGTGGTCTCAGATGGAAATGAGTACAAGGTGTTAGAAACTTACCTTAGAGTAAAGACCATCCTTGTTATAAAGTTGCAAAGGCCTTGGCTGAATTGTGTCCACGTCCTAGGACTTTATAGATTGTAGAACATAAGAATGATAAACTAGGATATCCAGTGGAAGAAATATCTAAGCAGCAAAGCATTCCGGCTGCTGTGTGGCTACTTTTAATGGCATACAGTGAGATGTGAGAGCAAACACGCTACTTAAAGACAGAATTTATAATGATAAGGGAAGCAGAATAGAAAGATTTGGAAAATTCACAGCCTGGCCACGTAAAGAGTGAGAAAGCATGTTCTCAAGAGAATACTAAGGGTGTGGCCAAGCAACCATTTGCTAAAGAGACTAGTATGGGCAGAAGGAAGCCAAGTGCTGTTCATCAAAACAACAGGAAAATTACCCCAAAGGTGTTTCAAAGATCTTTGAGGCTGCCTCTCCCATCAGAGGCCCAGAGCTCTAGGAGGGCAGAATGGTTTTAGGGAACAGGCCTGAGGCACCCCCTGAAGGCTCACTGCCCAGGCCTGCCTTGGGTCTTATTCCACTGCAGCATCCCTTGGCCATCCCAGCTGTGTCTCAAGTGGCCCAAGTGTCCCAAGGCATGGCTTGGGCCCCCACTCCAGAGGGCACAAGCAGTAAACCTTGACAGCATCTACATGGTGTTAAGTCTGCAGGCTCACCGAATGCAAGAGCTGTGGGGGCATGGCTACCTCCACCTGGATTAGAAGGGATGTTATGGATAGCATGGGGGCCCAGGCAGAAATCTCTGCTTCACAGGCGGAGCCACCACAGACAGTCAGCATTAGAGTATTGCCTAGTGGAGGTGTGGGAGCAGGAATCAAATTTCAAATGTCTTGGTGGACCCTTAATTTTTTTTTTTTTTTTGAGACAGAGTCTCGCTCTGTCGCCCAGGCTGGAGTGCAGTGGTGTGATCTCAGCTCACTGCAGCCTCCGCCTCCTGGGTTCAAGCGGTCCTCTCACCTCAGTCCCCTGAGGAGCTGAGACTACAGGTGCACGCCACCACGCCCAGCTAATTTTTGTATTTTTAGTAGAGACGGGGTTTTACCATGTTGGCCAGGCTGGTCTCGAACTCCAGACCTCAGGTGATCCACCAGCCTCGGCCTCCCAAAGTGCTGGGATTACAGGTGTGAGCTACCATGCCCAGCCTATTTTTGTTTTTAATAGCATCCCTATAATGAACCCTTCTGTAAGGCAAATAATCACTGTGTTGCACATGTAATGATCTCCAATTTACATATTTAGTAAGTTTTTTTATTTTCAGCCACTCTCCAACCTCTCTATATATAGTATATATGACCTCCACATATAGATAGGCTCCCTCATATGAATAGCTATCCAGGGGATGCCCCACAACTCCCTTTCTCTCCCGACCTTGCCAGAGTAAGGTTTGCATTGGCTCAACCCAGCTTACCCCACCCCAGCCTGGCATCTCACTCACTCTTCCCTAGTCCCAGCTTCTCATCTTGAATCATTGCCTGTGCCAGTTTTCCTCTTCATCCCCAACAACCACATCCCCATTCCCTATTTTTTCACTCCAGAGATCCAGGACTATTCCTCACCTCTCTCAACGTACATTTATTTAATACCAGCCACTTTCACTCTGTGCAATGCACTGAGTTAGCTACAATAGAAGGTAAACCTAAGAAAGCCCTGGCCTCAAGAGCTTGCAGACCAGTGGAGGAGATGACATTTATACAGCAGAAACCATTATCAAGGAGAAAGGAATGTGCCAGGTTTTGCCCATACCCATAAAATCAACACTGAATCAAATCCCAGGATTGATCTAACCTAAGGCAAGAGACATTTAACAGACTCCAGCCCCTGGAAGGCCAGACATAAGCATCCAGCTACCCTTCCACATCATTTGATTCTGATATGGGACCTTAATTCTTACATCCAGAATTCTTACTTTGTCACTGCCCCAAGTACCTATTCTGGAAACTTGCTTAACATCTCAGTCTCCTACTGGGGGCTCTAGATCTTATCATTGGATTCTACCTTGGCCTTTGTCCCTCATTTTTGGTTCTAATAACTTTCACAGTCTATCTTTTCTTTAACCTGGGATCCCTGCATGAACTGGAGAGCTTCCCCGGAACTGCAGCTACTAGATGGCACCTTCTTCTTCGTCCTCCTCATCTTCATTCTCCTCCTCAACAACTTTATTGAGGTATAATCAACATAAGAAGAACTGCACATATTTCATGTATACAATGTGATGAGCTTGGACATATGCAAACACTAGTTGATAACATCACCACAATCAAGGTAATATACATGTCCAACACCTGCTAAAGTTTCCTTGTTTTTTTCTTTTTCTTTTTTTTTGAGATGGAGTCTTGCTCTGTCGCCCAGGCTGGAGTGCAGTGGCGCAATCTCGGCTCACTGCAACCTCTGCCTCCCGGGTTCAAGAGATTCTCCTGCCTCAGCCTCCCAAGTAGCTGGGATTACAGGCACCTGCCACCATGCCTGGCTAATTTTTGTATTTTTAGTAGAGACGGGGTTTCACCATGTTGGTCAGGCTGGTCTTGAGCTTCTGACCTCAGGTGATCCACCTGCCTTGGCCTCCCAAAGTGTTGGGATTACAGGCGTGAGCCACCACACCCAGCCCTGTTTTTGCTTTTGTAGTAAGAACACTTTGTCGGGCTCGGTGGCTCACACCTGTAATCCCACCACTTTGGGAGGCCGAGGCGGGCAGATCACGAGGTCAGGAGTTCGAGACCAGCCTGACTAACATGGAGAAACCCCCGTCTATGCTAAAAATACAAAAAATTAGCCAGGCATGGTGGCAGGCACCTGTAATCCCAACTACTTGGGAGGCTGAGGCAGGAGAATCACTTGAACCCAGGAGGCGGAGGTTGCAGTGAGCCAAGATTGCGCCACTGCACTCCAGCCTGGGCGACAGAGAAAAACTCCAGCTCAAAAAGCAAACAAACAATTTTTGTCTTGAAAAACAAGGAGCCTTTTTCCTGTGTGGGACTAGTTTACTTATAATTACCAGCTGATTGGACTGGAACCTATACACTTGTTTATTTAGCCTCCGATATCAATATAGCTCCCAAGAACCAATCCCTCATTATACCTTTAACTGCAACCGCCAGACACAAACGAGCCATCCAACTCCTACCCCTTTTGGTAAGCCTAGAAATAACAGCGGGAGTAGGAATGGGAGTTGGTGGGCTTGCAACTTCCCTGTCCTATCACCAATGCTTGTCCAAGGGTCACAGAACTCTCGCCCCACTCTGTCTAGTGGAGGGTGGCTTCTTGATGGCCGGTGGTAGGGTCTTCACCTGGAACTGGCTGGAAACCTTGTCGCAGGATCATCTGAAGCTTGATGGTCTCTAGGCAAGAGGAAATGAATTCGGTTAAGAGATTTAACAAAGATGGTCCAGGCCAGGCACGGTGGCTCATGCCTGTAATCCCAACACTTTGGGAGGCTGAGGTGGGCGGATCACCTGAGGTCAGGAATTTGAGACAAGACTGGCCGATATGGTGAAACCCTGTTTCCACTAAAAATACAAAAATTAGCCAGGCATGATGGCACGTGCCTGTAATCCCAGCTACTCCAGAGGCTGACACAGGAGAATTGCTTAAACGTGGGAGGTGGAGGTTACAGTGAGCTGAGATCATGCCATGGCACTCCAGCCTGGGCAACAGAGCAAGACTTCGTCCCAAAATAAATAAATAAATAAAGTCCAAAAACCAAAACCAAGACAAGTGTAATAATTAATAATTGGCCAGCCAGAGGAAGGAGCCATGAACTTAGCATTTTTGACCAGGAGCCCCATGACTCAGACAAGCTTTCAGACAGCTTGGAAGATACACAATCAAATAGACTCCTTAGCAGCAGTTGCTTTACAAAATAGAAGGGGACTGGATCTCCTAACTGCTGAAAAAGGTGGCTTATGTCTTTTCCTAGAAGAATGCTTTTTTATATCAATCAATCAGGATTAATAAGAGATGACACCAGAAAACTAGCCAATTGGGCCTCTAAGGTACGACAACAGCTGTCCAAGTCATGGGGCTCCTGGCCAAAAATGCTAAGTAGGGGTTCATGGCTCCTTCTGCTGGCTGGCCAATTATTAATGATTATACTTGTCTTGGTTTTTGGACCATGTTTGTTAAATCTCTTAACCAATTTCGTTTCTTCTTGCCTAGGGACCATCAAACTTCAGATGATCATGCAACAAGGTTTCCAGCCAGTTCCAGCTGAAGACACTACTGTTGGCCATCAAGAAGCCACCCTGTCTCCACTAGACAGAGAGCGGCGAGAGTTCTGTGATCCCCAATGGTAGGGACTACACCCCAAGTCAGCTGGAAGCAGTCACATAAGAAAGACCATTGGTCCCTCTGCCTCCCATAAAAATGTATGGGGATCACATCTCTCAGTGGGGAAATGAGGCAGGAGAATAGGGTCTGGAGGCAGGGAACCCAAGGCCAATTCACACTGACTTCCTAGTACTGAATCAAAAGGAAAACCCCACCTCTCCACACCCAAGTAACAAAAGGATCAGCGGCTACTCCCTTACCACTGCGTCACAGATGAAAAATGGAAAGCACCTCTGATTGGTCCCCTCCCGCGACCAATCAGACTGATTGCAGGCCAAGTTGTTTGTTTGTTTTTTTTTTTTTTTTGAGACAGGGTCTCACTCTGTCGCCCAGGCTATAGTGCAGTGGTGCGATCTCCGTTCACTGCAACCTCCACCTCCTAGGTTCATGCAATTCTCTTGCCTCAGCGCAGCCTCCCAGGTAGTTGGGACTATAGCGCGTGTTACCACGCCTGGCTAAATTTTGTATTTTTAGTAGAGATGGGGTTTCACCATGTTGGCCAGGCTGGTCTCGAACACCCGCCTCAGCCTCCCAAAGTGCTGGAATTACAGGCGTGAGCCACTGCCTTTGTAACTTCACTTCAGCCTCTGATTGTTCGCCTCCCATGACCAATCAGACTAGTCGTTGGCCAAGTCTTCATTTACATAGGGTATAACCAAGTAGCCAATGGGAAACCTCTAGAGGTTATTTAAACCCCAGAAAATTCTGTAACCAGTGCTCTCAAGCCACTTGCTTGAGCCTGCTGCCATTCTGGAGCATACTTTCGTTTCAGTAAATCTGTCCTTTTGTTGCTTCATTCTTTCACTGCTTCGTTTGTGCGTTTTGTCCAATTCTTTGTTCAAAACGCCAAGAACCTGGGCAACTCCAGTGACAGGACTACTGTGATTGATTGACATGCTGGCTACTTCATCCTGGATTACCTATCCCATTTCTGTCTGTAATTTGCTCTTAGACCCTGAGCCCCCTCATTTGTCCAGCCAAACTATCTCTCCAGCTCCCCAAAGAAAGTTGTCCCAAGCTAGGAAGGGATCAGTACCAAGTCTTTCCTCCTGGCTAGCTAGCCACTTATAACTACCTGATTCTGCCCCCACTAAATACTGGGATATGACTATAAGATGCTGGAACAGGTGTAGGTAAAGTATTTAGAGAGTTAAGCAGGCCAGAAGTGATGGCTCACACCTGTAATCCCAGCTCCTTGGGGGGCCAAGTCAGGAGGATTGCTTGAACTCAGGAGTTCGAGACCAGCCCGGGCAAAATAGTAAGCCCTCATCATGCAAAAAAATTTAAAAATTAGCTGGATGTGGTGGTGCATGTCTTCAGTCCCAGCTACTGGGGAGGCTGAGGCAGGAGGATCACTTGAGCCGGGAGTTCAAGGCTGCAGTGAGCTATGATCGGCCACTGCATTCCAGCCTGGGCAAGCCCCTGCCTTAAAAAAAAAAAAAAAAAAAATGTTGGGCAGGATGTGGTGGCTCACACCTGTAATCCCAGCACTTTGGGAGGTTGAGGCAGGAGGATCACTTGAGTCTAGGAGTTCGAGGCTGCAGTGAGCCATGATCAAACCACTGCACTCCAGCCTGGGCGACAGAGAGAGACTGTATCAAAACAAAAACAAAAGGAAAGAAAAGAATTTTGCAGCTTCTGCAGGAAGCCACCACCCATCACCACAGTGAGGAGGAAACTCACCGGATGCCTGCACAGGGAATGCCACGGGGCCAGTGCTACACTGCGCCCATCAAGTGAGTCCCAGCAGTGAGGAGAAACAAAGCAGCAAACAGGAAGCAGAAAAGTCCTTCAGTGCCCCCTATTGGCAGAGTATAACATGGAGCCGGCTGCCAAAACACAAAATGTAGGTTGCGCAGGTGCAGCTCCAGTATTACAAAGTAGGGAAAAGACTGACAATATCAGGTTCTGATAATGTGGAGCATAGGAACTGTCATATGCCTCGGGTGGGAGTGTAAATTAGTACAACTACTTTGGAAAACAATTTGGCATTATCTTTTTTAAACAACTTTTTAGGCCAGGTGCAGTGGCTCATGCCTGTAATCCCAGCACTTTGGGAGGCTGAGGCAGGCAAATCACCTGAGGTCAGGAGTTCGAGACCAGCCTGGCCAGCATATAGTGAAACCCCATCTCTGCTAAAAAATACAAAAATTAGCCGAGTGTGGTGGCACACACCTGTAGTCCCAGCTACTTGGGAAGCTGAGGCAGGAGAATTGCTTGAACCTGGGAGGCAGAGGTTGTAGTAAGCTGAGATTGCGCCACTGCATTCCAGCCTAAGTGACAGAGCAACACTCTGTCTCTAAAAAAAAAAAAAAAAAAATTTAAACAACTTTTTTGCCTGGAAGTCTCACACCCAAGTAACTGGATATGAGCTCAGTTTGGCATTATCTAATAAAGTTGAAGAGAGCATAGCCTGTGGGCAGTTCTACCCTATGTCTATGCCCCAGAGAAACATGTGTATGCACATTGTACATCAAGGTAAGTGTTTAAGAATCTTTCCAGGTGCAGTGGCTCATGCCTGTAATCCCAGCACTTTGGGAGGCCAAGGTGGGTGGATCGCTTGAGTCCAGGAGTTCGAGACCAGCCTGGGCAACATAGGGAGACTCTGTCTCTATTTTAAAAATACAAAAAATTAACTGGGTGTGGTGTCACATACCTGTAGTCCGAGCTACTCAGGAGGCTGAGGGAGGATCACCTGAGCCCAGGAGGTTGAGGCCACAATGAGCTGTGATAGCACAACTGCACTCCCACCTAGGCAACAGAACGAGACCCTGTCTCTAAAAAACAAAAAAAACTTCATAACGGCATAATTTATAATAACCCCAAATGGAAAACCCGAAGTCCATCTATAGTAAAACGCAAATTAAATTGTGGCATACTCGTTCAATAGAATGAATACTCTATAGAATGAAAATACACAACTATACATTGAGACATGGATGATACCTCAAAATCATAATGTTCAGCAAAAGGAGAGAGAGAGAGAACGAATCCAAAGGGTAAGACTCCATCCCATCCATACAATACTCAAATCCAGGATGCACACCTCAGTGTAAAACAAAAACAAACACATGTGAAAAACAAGAACTGGATTTATTATGAGTTAGGAGTTACCTCTGGGGAGGAGGTTAAGAGTCATGATCCAGGAGGTTACTTACATGTGGGGGAGTTCTGTAATATTCTGTTTTGTTGACATAGGTGACTTACATTAGATTGTTTCTTCCTTTAAAATAAAAAGTACATATGTTTAGTATGCATTTTTGTACATAGGTTATGTTTTGTAAGTTTTTGTGTGGTTTTTTTGTTTTGTTTTTTTTGAGACAGAATCTCACTCTACTGCCCAGGCTAGAGTGCAATGGCGAGATCTCAGCTCACCGCAACCTCTGCCTCTCGGGTTCAAGCAATTCTCCTGCCTCGGCCTCCCAAGTAGCTGGGATTACAGGTGGCTGCCACCACGCCAGGCTAATTTTTGTATTTTTAGTAGAGATGGGGTTTCACCATGTTAGCCAGGCTGGTCTCAAACTCCTGACCTCAGGTGATCCACCTGCCTCAGCCTCACGAAGTGCTGGGATTATAGATGTGAGATTACAGGGGTGAATCATATATCAATTTTTTAAATAAAATTTCAAAAGGAATGAATAGTATGAAAACAAATCATGTTAACTGAGTTTTAGGTAAAGATGACTACTTGTCAGAACCTAGGGGGCCGGGCATGGTGGCTCCATCTGTAATCCCAGCACTTTGGGAGGTGAAGGTGGGTGGATCACCTGAGGTCAAGGAGTTCAAGACCAGTCTGGCCAACATGGGGAAACCCTGTCTCTACTAAAAATACAAAAATTAGCTGAGCGTGGTGGTGCGTGCCTGTAATCCCAGCTACTCGGGAGGCTGAGACACAAGAATTGCTTGAACGTGGGAGGTGGAGGTTGCAGTGAGCCAAGATCACACCACTGCACTCCATCCTGGGCGACAGAGTGAGACTCTGTCTCAAAAAAAAAAAAAAAAAAGAGTAGACTATATTTGTGTGAGTCAATTTCTGAGCTCTCTATTCCATTCCATTGATCTATTTGTCTATTCTTATGCGAATACCACACTGTCTTGATTACTGTAGCTTTTTAGTAGATCTTGAAGTCAGGTAGTGTCAGTCCTCTAACACTGATCTTCAGTATTGTGGTGGCTATTCTGGGTCTTTTGCCCCTCCGTATAAACTTTAGAAGCAATTTGCTGATATCCACACAATAACTGACTGGGAATTTGATTAGGATTGTGTTGAATCTATAGATCAAATTGGGGAGAACTGACATCTTGATAATATTGAGTTTTCCTGTCCATGCACATGGTATATCTCTTCATTTATTGAGTTATTATTTGATTTCTTTCATCAGTTTTATACTTTTCCTCATATAGATGTCATACATATTTGGTTAGATTTATACCTAAGTATTTCCTTTTTGGGGGGTGCTAATGTAAATATTATTTGGGGGTTTTCTTTGCGGCAGGGTTTCACTCTGTTGCCCAGGCTGGAGTGAACTGGTATGATCGATGGCTCACGGCAGCCTTAACCTCCTGGGCTTAAGCAGTCCTCCCACCTCAGCCTCATGAGTAGCTGGGACCACAGGCATGCACCACCATGCCCAGCTACTTTTTAAAAAATTTTTTATAGAGACAAAAAGTTTTGTGTCTGTTGTAAGGTAATTTTGATGTTCTTTTGTTAGGCATATACACATTAAGATTGTTATACCCTCTTATAGTTTTGACTCCTTTTTCATTATGTAATGCTCCTCTTTATTCCTGATAACTTTCCTTGCTCTAAAGTCTGCTCTGCCTGAAATTAATACAGCTACTCCTGCTTTCTTTTGATGAGTGTTAGCATTGGATAGTTTTCTCTATCCCTTAACTTTCAATCTATATATGTCTTTATATTTAAAGTACATTTCTCGTAGACAACATATAGTTGGCCTTTGTTTTATCATCCATTTGACAATTTCTGTCTTTTGTTTGATGTGTTTAGATCATTTATATTCAAGGTTTTTTTTTTTTTTTTTTTTTTTTTGAGACAGGGTCTTGCTCTGTCACCCAGGCTGGAGTGCAGTGGCACAATCACAGCTCACTGCAGCCTCAACCTCCCGGGCTCAAGCAATCCACTCTCCTCAGCCTCCCAAGTAGCTGGGACTACAGGAGCACACCAACACACCCAACTAATTTTTTTTATTTTTTGTAGAGACAGGGTTTCGCCATGTTGCCCAGGCTGGTCTTGAATTCCTGAGCTCAAGTGATCTGCCTGCCTCAGCCTCCCAAAGTGCTGGGCTTACAGGCATGAGCCACCATGCCCAACCTAAAGTGATTTTTCTTTATCTAATTGGATTAATAGCTACCATATTTGTTACTGTCTGCTATTTGTTGCCCTTGTTCTCTGTTTCTACTTTTGTCTTCCATGCTTTTTCTGCTTTTTGTGGTTTTAATTGGGCATTTTATATGATTCCATTTTCTCTCCTCTGTTAGCATATCAATTATATTTCTTTTTACTTTTTTAGTGATTGTCCTAGAGTTTGCAATATGCATTTACAACTAATCCAAGTCCACTTTCAACTAACACTATACCACTTTACAGGTAGTGCAGGTACCTTAAAATAACAAAATAATCCTAGTCCTGTCCTCCCATCCATGATAGCCCTGCTGCCATTCATTTCACTTATACATAAGCAATATATGTAAGCACACACAATTGACTACATTGTTGCTCTTATTATTTTGGACAAATCTGTTAGATTGATTAACAATAAAAAATTTAAGTTTTTGGTGGGGCGGGGCGCAGTGGCTCATGCCTATAATCCCAGCAGTTTGGGAGGCCAAGATGGGTGGATCACTTGAGGTCAGGAGTTCAAGACCAGCCTGGACAACAAGGCGAAACCCCGTCTCTACTAAAAGTATGAAAATTAGCCAGGCGTGGTGGCGTGTGCCTGTAATCCCAGCTACCCGGGAAGCTGAGGCAGGAGAATTGCTTGAACCCGGGAGGTGGAGGTTGCAGTGAGCCGAGATCATTCCAGCCTGGGCAACAGAGGGAGACTCCATCTCAAAAAAAAAAAAGAAAGAAAAAGAAAAGAAATAATTATTAGATCACAACCTGCCTCCTTGTATTGCCCTGGCATTTTCTAGTGAGTAATGGGTTACATGGTAAATCTGTTTCTCTCCTCTAGGGCAAGCAGTGTGGCATAGTGGAAGAATCCAGTTGGCTTCAAGGACCTCTCCTTCCCCTGCCATCCACCAATTCTCTGACCTTGACCAGTCTGTTATCTTTAAATGTAAGTTGATTTCCCATTTAGAACAAACTGAACACTAACCAAAAAGCAGAGTCAGCCACCAAAGATAAATAGCACTCAGCCCGATATGCATTTGGCCAAGATTTTAAGACATGATAAAGCTTCAGCATCCATGAGATAAGGGCGTCAAGATCCAGAAGCTGCAAACACCAGAAATCATGGTGTCTCATCTGATATTTAAAAAGATCTCACATTCCTTGGCCTACTATCCAGCGACCTTGTGTGGTGTCTATGTGTTGGGCATGCAACTGCATTCTTCTCTCTTTTGTCTGCTGTAGCTTCTGCTAGGTTTGTGCCTCTCGCAACCACCTCCTTTGTCATTGTGTCACATGGTCCTGACAGTTTTCAAGGAACTCAATGACTGTGAAATTGGGATTTTTAAGCTCTGGAAATTTTGACATTGGTGCCATCATTATGTCATTAGTGGGAAGCCACAATGGGAAAGGTAGAATCCACTTCTATTTTTGCATCCACACACAATTAAATCTCAATGAGCAGCAGGAGCTGCTGTTTCTGTGGCTCTACCCTCTGAGTTTTGGTCGGTGTAAACACCCAGGCAGCTGTGGCCTGCAGTTCCAACATACTTCGCCCTCGCACCCAGGATAGGGTGGCCTGGTGAGAGCTAAAACATTATACCTGCAAATCTCCCATCAATGGGAGTAATGTTTGCTGGAAAGAGTCCCCCAGACAATATGAATTTTAAGACACAAATTCTAATATTCTACAGCGAGGAACTGCCTGAAAGTACTAGAAAAAAAACCTAAGTACAAGAAACATACAAAGCCAGCACTATCAGGTCCAACCTTGGACTATCAAGGCGTAAAGGTTCAGAGTAGGACCACAAGGTAGGAGTTTTAATTAGACAAAATTTGTAATTAACATAAAATTTAAATGCAATCCACCAAAGAGATTGGCCTGCAGAGATTTTATCCAGTGAGAATTCAAGCTGTTGCAGCCGATTTTAATTACATTCCTGAAATAGAAGCCTGCGAATGGGATTTGAAGAGATGGTTTAGATGAATCTTTGCTCCATTGGCAAACTTTACCGGCAATATTTTCAGTCTACCAAAATTAGAAGGTGATAACAATAAGTGGATAAAGGAGCATTCTATAGATGATCATCAAAAAAGAGATCCAAATCTAGTGTGTTAAAAAACAATGTAAAGGCCGGGCACAGTGGCTCACACCTGTAATCCCAGCACTTTGGGAGGCCGAGCCGGGTGGATCACCTGAGGTCAGGAGTTCGAGACCAGCCTGACCAACATGGTGAAACCCTGTCTCTACTAAAAATACAAAAATTAGCCAGGTGTGGTGGCACATACCTGCAATTCCAGCTACTCAGGAAGCTGAGGCAGGAGAATCGCTTGAACCCAGGAGGTGGAGGTTGCAGTGAGCCGAGATCGTGCCATTGCACTCCAGCCTGGGCGACAAGAGAGAAACTCCGTCTCAAAAAAAAAAAAAAATTAAAATTTAAAATTTTTTTGTTTTTCAGGAGAGTAGGTGCCGTAGTAAGGAAGTATTAAGTACCATTTTTGAATTTCTTCTTCTTTCCTTAGAATTTTAGATTGAATTTTCTGCTGAGTTCTCTTATCTCTTTAGCTTGCAAGATAAAAATGAATATCTGTATTAATGTAATATAGGATATTTCTATATATTTGGTAGAAAAGGTCAGGAACAGTGAAGAAGTCTAATTTCTAAATCACTTCTATTTCTCTCTTTTTTTTTTCCCAAAGGATCACCATGAAATCTTAGATCACATCTATTTCTACATCTTCTTTTAAATTGCGTGCCATGGAATGGACAGCTGCAGGTGGCTTTTAGATAATAATGCTGTATTAGGCCGGGTGAAGTGGCTCATGCCTGTAATCCCAGCACTTTGGGAGGCCAAGGCGGGTGGATCACCTGAGGTCAGGAGTTCGAGACCAGCTTGGCCAGTATGATGAAACCCCGTCTCTACTAAAAATACAAAAATTAGCCAGGTGTGGTGTCGCATGCCTGTAATCCCAGCCTGTAATCCCAGCTACTCGGGAGGCTGAGGCAGGAGAATCGCTTGAACGTGGGAGGCAGAGGTTGCAGTGAGCCGAGATTGCAGCATTACACTCCACCCTGGGCAACAAGAGTGAAACTCTGTCTCAAAAAAAACAAAAAACAAACAAAAAAGATAATAATACTGCATTAGTTTCCTATGGCTGCAGAAACAAATGACTACAAGCTTAACAAAAGAAGGTGGCTGGGCATGGTGGCTCATGCCTGTAATCCCAGTGCTTTTGGAGGCCAAGGCAGGAGGATCACTTGAAGCCAAGAGTTTAAGACCAATCTGGGCAACAAAGTGAGACCCCCCATGTCTACAAAAAACAAAAATATTAGCAGGGGGTGGTGGTGTACACCTGTAATCCCAGCTACTTAGGAGGCTGAGGTGGCAGGATTATTGGAGCCCAGGAATTCAAGGCTACAATGAGTGGTGATTGCACCACTGCACTCTCACCTGGGCCACACAGCGAGATCCTATCTCAAAAACAAAACAAACAAACCAGAAATGTATTATCTGACAGTTCTGGAGGCCAGAAATTTGAAATCACTTCAGTGGGCTAAAATCAAGGTGGCTCTCTCTGGGAGTCCTAGAGGAAAATCTATTCCTTGCCTTTTCCAGCTTCTGGTGGCTGTCGGCATTCCTGGGCTTGGGGCAACACCGGTCCAATCTCTGCCTTTGCAGTCACATTGCCTTTTCCTCTTCTGCGTGTGCATAATCTCCTTCTGCCACCCTCTTAAATCACAAGAACCCTTAAGGCCGGGCGCAGTGGCTCATGCCTGTAATCCCAGCACTTTGGGAGGCCAAGATGGGCGGATCACCTGAGGTCAGGAGTTTGAGACCAGCCTGGCCAACATGGCGAAACCCCATCTCTACTAAAAATACAAAAATTAACTGGGCATGGTGGCGCTTGTCTGTAATCCCAGATACTTGGGAGGCTGAGGCTGGAGAATCGCTTGAACCCTGGAGGAGGAGGTTGCAGTGAGCTGCGATCGTGCCATTGCACTCCGGCCTGGGTGACAAGAGTGAAACTCCATCTCAAAAAAAAAAAAAAAGAAAAGAACCCTTCTAGTTGCATTTAGGGAGAATCTGGATAATCCAGGATAATCTCCCCATCTCAGTCTCCTTTGCTTAATCACATCTGCAAAGTCTTTGCCATATAAGGTAGCATTCCCAGATTCCAGGGACTGGACCTGATATATTCGGGGGCATTATTTAGCTTATTACGAATGTAAATAATCCAAACAGCCAGCATTCACTGGGCTTCATCAACTGGGAAGTACTGGACTAAGCATGTACATTCATCTCATCTTTACCATCGCCCTAACGGGTAGATACAACTGTTACCCCATTTTACAGATGAGGAAACTGAGTCTTAGAGAGGTAACTTGTCTGTTACTACATAGCTGGCACCAATGCCCAATCTCTTGGTAATAGGGAAAATTAGGACCAGGAATAACTTAGTATATTTGTGGGTTTGTTTTTTTGTTTGTTTGTTTGTTTAGACAGAGTCTCACTCTGGCGTCCAGGCTGGAGTACAGTCGCAATCATAGCTCACTGCAGCCTCAACCTCCTGGGCTCAAGTGATCCTCCCACCTCAGCCTCCAGAGCTGGGACTACAGGCATGTGCCACCACACCTGGCTAAATGTATTTATTTTATTATTATTATTTTTTGAGACAGAGTTTCACTCTTGTTGCCCAAGCTGGAGTGAAATGGAGCAATCTAGGCTCACTGCAACCTCTGCCTCCCAGGTTCAAGCGATTCTCCTGCCTCAGCCTCCCAAGTAGCTGGGATTACAGGCACCTACCACCATGCCTGGCTAATTTTTGTATTTTTAGTAGAGATGGTGTTTCTCCATGTTGGTGAGGCTGGTCTCGAACTCCTGACCTCAAGTGATCCACCCGCCTTGGCCTCCCAAAGTGCTGGGATTACAAGTATGAGCCACTGCGCCCAGCCCTAAATTTATTTTTAGTTTTTGTGGAGATGGGGATCTCACTATGTTGCCTAGGCTGGTCTCGAAATCCTGGGCTCAAGCCATCCTCCCACCTCGGCATCCAAAGTGTGGGATTATGGGTGTGAGCCCACCATGCCCAGCCAACTTAGTATGTTTCATCATTACTCTTCTATTAGTAACAGTAACTAGAGCCTGGGTCCAGTTCATCGGCGAGTGTCAGGCCCACCTGGCAGGTTTGTAGCCCTGGCAGTCAGCTGAACTCCTCCCAGCATGAGGGATGGTATTGGGCAGCTGTTATTTGGGCCTGCCCAGCATCCTTTCAAGGATCAGCAAGATATCCATTTTTCCCATATTAGCACTCTATCTTCTCCAATGACCTCCAAAGTTAGTGGCTTGTAATAGCAAACATTTTTTAATCTCATCATTTCAAAACAATCAGGAATTTGGGGCTGGGTGTGGTGATTCATGCCTGCAATCCAGCACTTTGGGAGGCCAAGGCGTGCTGATCACTTGAGCTCAAGGGTTTGAGACCAGCCTGGCCAACATGGTGAAAACCTGTCTCTACTAAAAATACAAAAATTAAGCCAGGCGCAGTGGCTCATGCCTGTAATTCCAGCACTTTGGGAGGCCGAAGCGGGTGAATCACAAGGTCAGGAGTTCGAGACCTGCCTGGCCAATATGGTGAAACCCCGTCTCTACAAAAAATACAAAAATTAGCTGGGCATGGTGGCAGGCGCCTGTAGTCCCAGCTACTCGGGAGGCTGAGGCAGAAGAATTGCTTGAAGCTGGGAGGCGGAGGTTGCCGAGATTGGGCCACTGCACTCCAGCCTGGTTGACAGAGCGAGACTCTGTCTCAAAAAAAAAAAAAAAAAAAAAAATTAGCCAGGCCTGGTGGTGCGCGCTTATAGTCCCAGTTACTGGGGAGGCTGAGGCAGGAGAATCGCTTGAACCCAGGAGGTGGAGATTGCAGTGAGCTGAGATTGTGCCATTAGACTCCAGCCTGGGTGACAGAGTGAGACTCCGTCTCTAAACAAATAAATAAATAAGGAATTTGGAAGTGGCTTAGCTAGGTGGTTCTGAGGTGGCAATCCAAATGTCGGCTGGGACTATAGTCATGTGAAGGTCTGATTGTGGCTGGAGAATCCACTTCCAGCCTCACCCCCACACTGTCAGCAGGAGACCTCAGTGCCTTAATGAATGGATCTCTCCTAAAGGCATGGCAGTTGGCTTCCCCCGGAGGGCGTGATCCAAGGGAAAGACCAAGAGGCATTTGCAGTGCCTTTTATGACCTACCATCAGAAGTCACACACAATCACGATTGCCTTATTCTTCTACTGGTCACACAGACCAGCTTGATACCATTTGGGAGGACATTAGGCAAAGGCATAACTATCGAGAGAGGCAGGGATTATTGAGAGCCATCTTGAAGGCAGGCAACCAACCACAGTGCTTGACTCTGCTACTCCATCCCCTTGGCCACTGATTTGTTCAAGAGATGGGCACATGAACCCAGCAAGCCCAGTTAGACTGCATCTCTGAGAATCATATATATCAGTGCTGGAAATGAGAACCACTCTCATTTTCCCTGGCTCTCAAGCTGTGATGCCATAAGCCTGAAGATCTCAATGGTCATATTCCTGCCACTAGAGGAAGCTCTTATAAACTGGGAAAGAATGAGCACAAACAGAGAAAGCAGCAGAAGTAAGAGTTGGAAATAGAGAAAGCCCCGACAACAGTTTGTGGTCCCTGGATCCCTCCATGCCTGAAGTACACCTCTGGATTTCCCAATAACATAAGCCAATTTATCTCCTTTTTTTTTTTCGCCTTGCTTAAGCCAGTTGATTGGTTTTCTGACCTTGCAACTAAAAGGGCCTAGACTCATGCATGGCCTGAGGTGCCTCTTAGGAATGAACTCATTCTATAAGAGTAGAGAATCGGCCGGGCCAGTGGTTCACACCTGTAATCCCAGCACTTTAAGAGGCCAAGGCAGGAGGAGCGCCTGAGCTCAGGAGTTTGAGACCAGCCTGGGCAACATAGGAAGACCTCATCTCTACTAAAAATTAAAAATAAAAAAATTAGTTGGATGTGGTGGCAGGTGTGCTGGTATGCACCTGTAGTCCCAACTACTCAGAGGGCTGAGGTGGGCGGATTGCTTGAGTCCCAGAGGTCGAGGCTGTAGTGCGCAATGATCATGCCACTGCACTCCAGCCTGGGCAACAGACAGACCCTGTCTTAAAAAAATAAAAATAAAAATAAAAAAGTGTCCGAGCACTTTGGGAGGCCGAGGTGGGTGGATCACTTTAGGTCAGGAGTTCGTGACCAGCCTGGCCAACATGGTGAAACCTCGTCTCTACTAAAAATACAAAAATTAGCTGGGCATGGTGGCACGCACCTGTAATCCCAGCTACTTGGGAGGCTGAGGCAGGAGAATCACTTGAACCGGGAAGCGGAGCTTGCAGTGAGCCAAGATCATACCGCTGCAATCCAGCCTAGGCAACAGAGCAAGACTCCATCTCAAAAAAAAAAAAAAAAAAAAGAAAGTGAAAAGGCCATTTGGCCATTTTATTACAAACTCTGCAGAAGTTTGGGGCAAAAATAGTCCCAAATTTGTGCCCTTGTGACAATGGGTCACACCAAGTGGGACAAGAGGCACTTTCACTGCTTCTGCACAAAACACAGCCAGGATTTGCAGATTTGAGAAGCCTGGATGAAAGCCACAGCTGATGCTGTGTTGAGAGGGGCTTCCTGGTTGCTGTCAGCTTCACTGTGGCTGTGTCCAGGTGCCCAGATGTGGTGTGGCCTGTAAATGTTCCCACTAGAGCTGATTACTTTCCAGACTTGGGAAGGAGGGAGATGTCCCATCTCTGGCATCTTCTTCCACATGACATCAAGAAGCCCCTCTTGCCGGGCGTGGTGGCTTACGCCTGTAATCCCAGCACTTTGGGAGGCTGAGGTGGGTGGATCACCTAAGGTCAGGAGTTCAAGACCAGCCTGGCCAACATGGTGAAACACCCTCTCTACTAAAAATACAAAACTAGCCGGGCGTGGTGTCGCGCACCTGTAATCCCAGCTACTCCGGAGGCTGAGGCACGAGAATCCCTTAGAACCCAGGAGGCGGAGATTGCAGTGAGCCGAGATCACGCCACTGTACTCCAGCCTGAGCAACAGAGTGAGATTCTGTCAAAAAAAAAAAAAAAAAAAAAAAAAGGAAGAAAAAAGAAGAAGCCCCTCTGAGCTCTCTTGTGCCCTGCCTGGATTTTGTGCTGCTCCAGCCCCAACTCCCAGGGAGCTTTGCCTTGCAAAGGGCCAGGCTCAGAGCTTTGCCACCAACAGATGCTTCATTAATGAGGTGAAAGTCTGATTGAATTAAAACACCCTTTCTGGCACCATCAAATAAAGACATAATAAAAATCAAAACGTTGGATCATTAAAGTGCTCGAAGAAATTTTTTAAAACTTTATTTAAATTCTCCTAAGAACTTTTAGGCTCTTAAAAAGTTTTAGTTATATAGAACCTCAGAGGTATATTAGGAAACAAATAGTGAGGAACAAATAACTTGATTGTTCCTTCCAGAGGAGGACTTGCTGTTTCTTACAAAATAAATTATCAAGTCACTTTCAGGTGCCTGCTGCTTTTAGACAGTAGATGGCACTGGGGGACAACTAGAAGAAAGTGATTGGGTTTTTTGTTTGTTTGTTTGTTTGTTTGTTTTTTGAGACGGAGTCTCACTCTCTCTCCCAAGCTGGAGTGCAGTGGCGCAATCTCAGATCACTGCAACCTCCACCTCCCAGGTTCTGCTGATTCTCCTGCCTCAGCCTCCCGATCAGCTGGAATTACAGGTGTGCACTACCATGCCCAGCTAATTTTTGTATTTTTATAAGAGACAGGGTTTCGTCATGTTGGCCAGGCTGGTCTCAAACACCTGACCTCAAGTGAGCCGCCCGCCTCGGCCTCCCAAAGTGCTGGGATTGATTACAGGCGTGAGCCACCATGCCTGGCCGCAATTGTTTTTAATGTAGCTTGGAAGAAGACAAGGAAACAAAATCAAACACAATTTTCTGCTTGATCTGGACCTATTTAAAATCTACACTTCCAAGGTCAGAAGATTAAGAAATTGTCTAGATGAGGAAAGATAAAATTATCTTATGAAGGAAGAGAAAGAAGTTGTTTTTCTATGTATTAACTGAAAGCATGAAAAAAAAATGCATCCAGGAGGGCTATACTATAAGGGTCTCCTGCCCAGGCGTCTGTTCTACTCAGGTGTATCCCCTCGCTACTCAACGGTGACCCTTGGATCAGTGGCACTGGCATCCCCTGAGACTTGTTAGAAATGCAGTATCTCTGGCCCAGACCCCCTGAAACAGACTCCACTCACTGGGCGATGCCTTCTTGGAAGACCTAAATCTTTTGAAAATTTTCCAGTTATGTAGAACCCCAGTTCATCAGTGTTACAAAGTGAAGCAAAGCAAACCTAGTCAAACCAAACCAACCCAAACCTAACCTAACTCGACCTATTCCAACCAAGGAAACAAATCTCTTTCTCTTTAAGAAAAAAAACCAGAAACAACAACAACAACAACAAACAAACAAAAAAAACCCCCGCTCTTGTAAAATAACTTACAGGTACCTACGGCTTTCAGCCAGCAGATGGCGCTGTGGGATAACTATTAATATAAAAACTTATTTCAAGTAGCGTGGAAGGAAACAGACCTGATGGAACACAATCGGCTGCTTGATCCAGACCTGTTTATAAAATCTGTATCTCCAAGGTCAGAAGATTAGGAATTCTTCTGGATGAGGAAATATAAGATAAACTTAGAGGAAATGGTGGAAAAGAAGACAAGGACTCTTCCCCTAGAAGAGAAGGATAAGTTGCATTTAAATACATAAGCACTAGAAAGTCTCCCTAAAATGGTCTCTTAAAATCCAGCCCTTCAGATCACTTGAGGCCAGGAGTTCGAGACCAGCCTGGCCAACATAGTGAAACCCCGTCTCTACTAAAAATACAAAAATTAACCAGGCATGGTGGCAGGCGCCTGTAATCCCAGCTACTCAGGAGGCTGAGGCAGGAGAATCACTTGAACCCGGGAGGCAGAGGTTACAGTAAGCCGAGATCGCGCCACTGCACTCCAGCCTGGGCAACAGAGCAAGACTTCGTCTCAAAAAACAAACAAACAAAAAATCCAGCCCTTTGGATTACTGCTTTAAACATAAATGCTCCAGGAGGGCAACACATTTCACCATCATTAAGACCTTTCTGGGCATTAATTTGTCACCTTGCTTTGTAATACCCTAACAGTAAAGAAACTTCCCCAAACCAGAAAGACTTGCTAGGGAAACAGGGAGAGGATCAGGTCTGATGCTCAAGGGTAGAAGCCTGGGAAGGACCCCAGAGTCAGGCCTCTGGGAACTGAGGCCAGGGGGAGGGAATTTTGGAAGGGAAGGGACCTCCGCTCTAAAGGCAAATCCCCATTGGCCCACTCAGAGGCATTTGCCAATCAGTGGTAAGGTGGAGGGGAGGCTGGGTCCAGAGGTGCTGAATTTCAGATGGAAGCACATTCCTCAGCCTCCTCCATGGACATGTCTCATGTGACAGAGTCTTGCTCATAGCACCAGAGAGCTCTAGCCTCTATATTGTCATCATGTGACCACGGCCCCACCCCCTGTCAAGCCCTGTTAAAGACCCAATACGGGGTTACAGATGACCGAAAACTAGATCAAGGGGTATCTTAAGAACAGGAAAACAAATTATCATATAATATTTACAGGACCTGGGCAGGGCACAGTGGCTCGCGCCTATAATCCCAGCACTTTGGGAGGCCGAGGCAGATATATCCCTTGAGCCCAATAGTTTGAAACCAGCCTGGGCAACATAGTGAGAATCATCTCTACAAAAAATAAAAAGTTAGCTGGGTGTGGTGGCATGCACCTGTGGTCCCTGCTCCTTGGGAGGCTGAGGTGGGAGGATCGCTTGAGCCTAGGAGGTTTAGGCTGCAGTGAGCCATGATTATGCCACTGCACTGCAGCCTGGGCGAGAGTGAGACCCTGTCTCAAAGTTAAGTAATTAATTTAATTTAATTTAATTTAATTTAATTTACAGAACTCAAACCATGTTGGAGACATTATTTTAGAAATTCCAGGTGGGAGGATTACTTGAGCCCAGGAGGTCAAGGCTGCATTGAGCTAAGATCATGCCACTGCACTCCAGCATGGGCAATGAGACCCTGTCTGAAAAAAAGAAAAAAAAAGAGAGAGAAATTCCATTTCTAGGAGTCTCCCCAGGTAGAGTTGTCAGATTTAGCAAAAAACAAGCAATAAAAAAAAGGACAGCCAATTAAATTTGATATTCAGATAAATAATGAATGGTTTTTAATTTTTAAATTTTTAATTTGTGGGTACATAGTATGTTTATATATTTATGGGGTACATTTACTGTGATAGTCCGTTTTCATGCTACTGATAAAGACATACCCAAGACTGGGCCATTTACAAAAGAAAGAGGTTTAATTGGCCTTACAGTTCCACATAGCTGGGGAGGCCTCACAGTCATGGCGGAAGGCAGGGAGGAACAAGTCACGTCTTACCTGGATGGCAGCAAGCAAAGAGAGAGCTTGTGCAGGGAAATTCCCCTTCCTAAAACCATCAGATCTTGTGAGGCTTATTCACTATCACGAGAACAGTACGGGAAAGACCTGCCCCCATGATTCAATTATCTCCCACAAGGTTCCTCCCACAGCACATGGGAATTCAAGATGAGATTTGGGTGGGGACGCAGCCAAATCGTATCAATGAGATATTTTTATACAGGCATACAATGTGTAATAATCCCATCACGGTGAATGGGGTATCCATCACCTCAAGCATTTATCCTTTGTGTTATAAGCAATCCAATTATATGTTTTTAGTTATTTTTACATGTATGATAAATTATTGCTGACTGTACTGACTGTAGTCATCCTGTTGTGCTATTTGTGCAAATTTTTTTTTTTGAGACGGAGTCTCCCTCTGTCGCCCAGGCTGGAGTGCACTGGCACGATCTCAACTCACGGCAACCTCTGCCTCTCGGGTTCAAGCAATTATCTGCCACAGCCTCCCAAGTAGCTGGGATTACAAGTGCCCACCACCACGCCCGGCTAATTTTTGTATTTTTAGTAGAGACAGGGTTTCACCATCTTGGCCAGGCTGGTCTTGAACTCCTGACCTCCTGATCCACCTGCCTCGGCCTCCCAAAGTGCTGGGATTACAGGTGGAAGCCACTCTGCCTGGCTCCTGTTGTGCTATTAAATACTAGATCTTATTCATTTTATCTAACTATATTTTTGTGCCCATTCTATCCCACATCCATCCCACCCCCCTCCCACCCCCCACAAGCCTTCCCAACTTCTGGTAGCCATCATTCTACTCTCACAGTTTTTTAGCATAAATATGTCCCATGCAATATTTAAGACAAATGCATACTAAAAAATTATTTGGTGTTTATCTGAAATTCAGGTTTAGCTTGGCACCCTATATTTTATTTTATTTTGTTTTATTTTATTTTATTTATTTTTATTTTTTTTTTCTGAGCCGGAGTCTCGCTCTTTCGCCCAGGCCGGTCTGCAGTGGCGCGATCTCGGCTCACTGCAAGCTCCGCCTCCCGGGTTCACGCCATTCTCCTGCCTCAGCCTCCCGAGTAGCTGGGACTACAGACGCCCGCCACCGTGCCCGGCTAATTTTTTGTATTTTTAGTAGAGACGGGGTTTCACCGTGTTAGCCAAGATGGTCTCGATCTCCTGACCTCGTGATCCGCCCGCCTCGGCCTCCCAAAGTGCTGGGATTACAGGTGTGAGCCACCGCGTGCGGCCCAGCACCCTGTATTTTATTTGACAGCCCTGCAAGGGAAAATTGTCACACCTGGGTCCAGGGGACGTGCACACGCACATAAAGATTCTCACTGCGGCTGTGTTGTGTCATAGAGAAAAGGCAGAAACAACTTAATTAGGCCTCTTGTGCGGAGAGATACAGAGGCCCACCCAAACCGCAGCCTACAAGGTGGTAGGGGGTCAAAGGAACGATCTCATCTCACTTCCCATCTGCTGGGCCTCCCAGTGGCCCAGCCATCTGAAAACCAAAGGGCGAAGGAGCCTGAGGTTTGCAGTCTTAGCCGCCTGTGGTGTGCTGGGGCTGGCTCTTAGCCATGGTGGAAGTATTTATGCCAAAGAAATCAGCCAACACTACAAACCAGGATCGTTATTTTTTTCCCCACCTACTTGTTAACCATTTGCCGGCACCCCGCTGTCGGTTTCCCAGGCACAGAGCAGGGGGAAGAAGGATTGAGACAGTGTCTGGAAGGAAGAATAGAGACTGCCTAGCATTCATGGTTGCACCGCATTTCGTTGTATGAACAAGCCTCCAATTATGTATTCATTGTCCGAATGAGGCAGCACTCTCCCATAACTTCGCTTCTTGCTGGATTTCAGTAGCTGGTTCCCTCTTCTTGGTCCTTCAGGCTTAGGGATGAGAACTGTGTATCAATTTGGGGCCAATCAGGAAAGAGAAGCCACACAATCACTTGACCAGAGAAAGTTTAATATGAACAATGATTCATTGTAGCAGAGAGGGATTGGCTAGTAAGAAACTCTGGAGAACCTAGGATTAGCCGACAGGAGGAGCAGCTCCTGCTACCGGATGGTTGTGATGGAGCACGCAAGAAAGAGCCCTTCCCTGCTCCAAAGCTGAGATCCAGACCACACTGGGAGCATGCAGCCCTGGCTCACTAAAAGGCAGAGAAGGCACTGAGCTGCTGCGCAGGTGGGACTGCATATCTGTGCTCTGGAACTTTCTGGGAATCTTCCCTCTAGGGTGCCAGGCAAAGCGACTCACTAGAGGCTGCCAAACCACCTAAGGGGGTGGCAGGGGAACCTGCCGGCCGCAGGGCGATGCCGGCTGCTGTATACAGCAAGAGCCAAGCACTGGAGTTGTGAGTGCTACAGGAGCTGGCCCAGCAAGCATGCTGCCCAAACCCTTTCCTCCCGCAGCATCACTCCCTCACCCTCTACTGACGCTTTATATCATGCCAGCTGGCAAAGGCAAGATAGTTTTTTTTGTTAGTTGTTTTTTTTTTGCCAGATAGTTTTTTTGTTTGTGTTTTGTTTTGTTTTTTTTTTTTGAGACAGAGTCTTGCTCTGTCGCCCAGGCCAGAGAGCAGTGGCAAGACCTCGGCTCACTGCAACCTCCGCCTCCCAGGTTCAAGCATTTCTCATGCCTCAGCCCCCTGAGTAGCTGGGACTACAAGCGTGCGCCACCACGCCCAGCTAATTTTTGTATTTTTAGTAGAGATGGGGTTTCACCATGTTGCCCAGGCCAGGCTTCAACCCCTGACCTCAAGTGATCTCCCCGCCTCGGCCTCCCAAAGTGCTGTGATTACAAGCGTGAGCCACCGCGGCCGGCCCAAAGGCAAGATACTTAAAGGGCTGAGATCCATTTTCTTTTTTTTTTTTTCTTTTTATTATTTTTTTAAGGCTAATCAAGGGAAACAGTGGGAGTGAAGAAGGAACAAAGAAATCTACAGCTGGTTGTGATCAATTAATTGTAAACACCACTGTCTTCAGGCCAGCCCAGATCCATTTTCACAGAGCTGACAAGAAAGGATGAATTTGGAGCAAAGAGAATCAGCACAAAACCTTCCTGATGCTGCTAGTCCCTGGGCGAGTCACCATCATTCCTTATCGGTTCCCTTAAGCCTGCCCATATCTCTCACAGGAGCCCCTGAAATGAACTCTCCTTAGTTAAATCTGCTGGGTATATGCCATCTCATTCTTAATGTGACCCGAACTGATGCAACTGGTACAATGGATGACAGGCACAATGAATAAAGCCATCAATACGAAAAAAATCTCAAAACAAAACCTTTGGTTTGTGGCCAGGCACAGTGGCTCACGCCTGTAATCCCAGCACTTTGGGAGGCCGAGGTGGATGGATCACTTGAGACCAGGAGTTCGAGACCAGCCTGGCCAACACACGGTGAAACCCCATCTCCACTAAAAGTACAAAAATTAGCCAGCTGTGGTGGCACATGCCTATAATCCCAGCTACTCGGAAAGCTAAGGCAGGAGAATCACTTGAACCCGAGAGGCAAAAGTTGCAGTGAGCTGAGATGGCGCCACTGCACTCCAGCCTGGGCAACAGAGTGAGTCTCTGTTTCAAAAAAACAAACAAACAAACAAAAAACAACCTTTGGTTTAAAAGAAAAGGCACATTGGAACAGGACAGGTACATGTGTCTTTGTTTTCTTTTCTTTTTTTTTTTTTTTTAAGACAGGGTCTCTCTGTTGCCCAGGCTGGTCTCAAACTCCTAGGCTTAAGTAATCCTCCCACCTTTGTCTCCCAAAGTACTGGGATTACAAGTGTGAGCCACCATGCCCACCCTCTTAGCCTATTTTCTGTTACTTACAACAGAATACCTGAAACTGATTAATTTATAAATAAAAGGAATTTATTCCTTACTATTCTGGAGGCTGAAAAGTCCAAGGTCAAGGGGTTACATCTGGTGAGGGCCTTCTTGTTGATGGGGGCTCTCTGCAGAGTCCCAAGATGGCAAGGGGCACCATATGGTGAAGGGGCGGAGTGTGCTAAGATGCTAGCTCAGGTCTCTCTTCTTCTTCCAAAGCCCCTAATTCTTCTCTCATGATAACCCATTAATCCATGAAATCTATGAATAAATTTGTCTATTCATGAAGGCAGAGCCCTTAGGACTCAATCACTTTTTAAAGGCCCCACGTCTTGGCTGGGTGCAGTGGCTCATACCTGTAATTCTAGCACCCAGGGAGGCCGAGGCAGGAGGATCACTTGAGGCTAGGAGTTTGAGATCAGCCTGGGCAGCATAGAGAGACCCTTTCTCTTATTTCTTTTTTTTTTTTTTTTTGGAGACAGGGCCTCCTTCTGTCACCCAGGCTGGAGTGCAGTGGTGCCATCTCAGCTCACTGTAACCTCTGCTTCCTGGGATCAAGCAATCCTCCTGCCTCAGCCTCCTGAGTGGCTGGGACCACAGGCATGCACAACCATGCTCAGCTAATTTTTTTTTTTTTTGTAGAGATGAGGTTTTGCTATGTTGCCCAGGCTGGTCTCGAACCCCTGGGCTCAAGCGATCAACCTCTCAAAGTACTGGGATTACAGGCGTGAGCCACTGCACCCAGCCCAGTCTCTATAATATATTTTTTAAAAGGCCCCACCTCTCAATACTGCCACGTTAGGGATTAAGTTTCAACATGAGCTTTGGAAGGAACATTCAAACCATAGCAATATGATATCTGCATAAAATTTTAAAGCATACAGTTCTAGATATTATTTATGGAAATATACATATATAGTTAAAAGTACAAACATTCTTGGGAATGAGGACAGTGGTGGCCTCTGGAGAGAAAAGGGAGGAGCAAGTATATACATGGGTTGAGGGGAGGGAGGTAGGCTTTTATCCTCTGTTATGTTTTTATTTTCTTTCTTAAGATTTCCGAAGCAAATTTGGTTACATATTAGCATCTGTTAAACCTGGGAGTTGGTGGCATAGTTGTCCATTACATTGGTGTCTTTATTCTTCTATACGTTTGAGATATTTAAAAAGTTAACAATGCCAACTATTGTGCAGGTAGTTAAATATAACTTTTGATATATCAATGCTTGCTTGGCACTGAACATACAAAAATGTAGAGAAAATCGACAATTCGACATGCCAGTGCAAGAAATCTAGTGATGGCAGTAGAGGAATGAATCTCAAATGAGTGGTATTAAAAATATACTTCTATAAGCCGGGTGCGGTGGCTCAGGCCTGTAATCCCAGCACTTTGGGAGGCCGAGGTGGATGGATCACCCGAGGTCGGGAGTTCGAGACCAGCCTGACCAACATGGAGAAACCCCATCTTTACTAAAAATACAAAAATTAGCCAGGTGTGGTGGCACATGCTTGTAATCCCGGCTACTCAGGAGGCTGAGGCAGGAGAATGGCTTGAACCTGGGAGGAGGAGGTTGCAGTGAGCCGAGAATGCACCACTGCACTCCAGCCTGGGAGACAGAGCGAGACTCTGTCTCAAAAAAGAAAATAAAAAGAAAGAGGAAGAGTTGGAATGGGATGGGGTCTTGGAGGCTGGCTGGGATTTGCATAGTGAACAGAAAGAGGTTTAACACTCCACAGAGTGAAATTGAATTTTGGGAAGCACAGTGGAGCCAGAGTGCGGGGCCTCTGAATGGTCAGCAAAATGCATGAGCATGTCTGCAATTAGGGCTCAGGATGGAGAACAGGTGGGAGCGGGCTGCTGTTAAGCCCAAAGCTTCTCCCCACCTGGGCCGTTCTGCTCGTGCCTCTGTCCACCAGGCAAAGAGCAGCCTCGAAGAGGACTTCAGAGTCCCGTGAGGAGCCTGGATCTTTCTTTGTAGAGCGTGGGCAGTCACAAAGCTTTTCTTAGCTAGGCAGTGACACGATCCAAGCTGTGATTTAGGCAGATTAGCTTGGCAACTCCGTATAGGATGGACTGAAGGGAAGAGAGAGCCAGAGACAGAAGAAAGTGTTCCCGGGCCAAGGCCATTGTCGGAAGATGGGTGGAGGTAATGGCCTGAACTAGGACCATGGCCTCGCGAATGAAAATAAGGGAAGCAATGAAAACAAACTGGGAAATTGTTGATAGGACTTGGCTACTGTTGCATCCAGAAGACTACGGAGAAATTAAAGAGGGCTCCAGGGCTCGGGAGAATTGTGGTGTTGTAACTGAGCTCAGGTCTGAGCCACTCGTCACCTGAAAGCCAAAAACTTAAGAGATGAGCTTTGTTGAAAGGAAAGTTAGTTTTATCTGAGAAGCCAGCAACCTGAGGCAGGCATTAAATTAGCGTTGAAAGACCAGCTTTCCTACTTGTGCCTCTGGATCAGGGGTTTTTAAGAGAAATTAGGGGAAATGATGATCAAAACATTCTTGCGGACCAGGCGCGGCAGCTCATGCCTGTAATCCCAGCATTCTGGGAGGCCAAGGCAGGTGGATCACCTGAGGTCAGGAGTTCGAGACCAGCCTAGCCAACATAGTGAAACCCCATCTCTATTAAAAATACAAAAATTAGCCGGGTGTGGTGGCACGTGCTTGTAATCCCAGCTACTCGGGAGGCTGAGGCTAGAGAATCACTTGAACCCAAGAGGCGGATGTTGCAGTGAGCCAAGATCGCACCACTGCACTCCAGCCTGGGTGACGGAAACTCTGTCTCAAAAACGAACGAACAAAAATTCTTGCGAAACATGCATGGCCTCTGACAGGCAGTTAATAATTGCTTTCTTGGTCAACTTTCTGTGGTCTTCTGCAGGCACCATCAGCATATTCTTATCAGGCCAGTCAGCCCGTTCCCAGAGTTGTTGGTCTGCGTGTTTTCTTTCATCTTCGTTGAAAGCCCTAGTTTCCCGAGGCTGTTTCTAGTAAATAATCTACAAACTCAAGCAAAGCAATAATTATATTCAAGCAAGCAAACTTTTTTTTTTTAGATGGAGTTTCACTGTTTCACCCAGGCTGGAGTGAAGTGGCGCAATCTTGGCTCACTGCAACGTCCGCCCTCGCCTGGGTTCAAGCGATTCTCCTGCCTCAACCTCCTGAGTGGCTGGAATTATAGGCGCCTGCAACCATGCCCGGCTAATTTTTATATTTTTAGTAGAGACGGGGTTTTGCCTTGTTGGCCAGGCTGGTCTCGAGCTCCTGACCTCAGGTGATCCACCCACCTCGCCTCCCAAAGTGTTAGGATTACAGGCGTGAGCCACTGCATCCAGCCAAGCAAACTTGTTTCTTTTTTTTTTCTCTCCTCTTCAAGCAAACTTTTTTCTAACATAGAGTCAGTACTGTTACAGTGGCCTAAAGGACAATAAGGGACGTTGAGAGAGGCAGGCAGCTTTGGAAAGATTAGAAAAAGTTCATTGGTATAAATGTCAAGCCTGGCGGGGTTCAATGGCTCACACCTGTAATCCCAGCACTTTGAAAGGCTGAGGTGGGAGGATTGCTTGAGTCCATGAGTTTGAGACAAGCCTGGGCAACATAGCGAGACCACATCTCTACCAAAAATTAAAAAAACAGCCAGGCATGTTGGTGCACACCTCTGGTCCCAGCTACATGGGAGGCTGAGGTGGGAAAATAGCTTGATCTTTGGGAGATATTATATATTAAGAATATATAAGATTAGGTTTGAGTATTAGTGAAGAATGCACTGAGCTGGTAACTAGGTGATCACGACTGAAAGGGAGTCAGGATCATGCATGCATGGGTTTGGGTAAAGTGGCGGATTTTGAAAATCAGACAATAAAAAGCTACATTGGGGTTCTGAGAGAGAGAAGCTTGAGCAGATGAAAGTTAAGGCACTGGCGAACGCAGTGGCTCATGCCTGTAATCCCAGCACTTTGGGAGGCCGAGGTGGGCGGATCACTTGAGGTCAAGAGTTCAAGACCAGCCTGGCCAACATGGTGAAACCCCATCTCTACTAAAAATACAAAAAAAATTAGCTGGGCATGGTGGCGCATGCCTGTAATCCCAGCTACTCGGGAGGCTGAGGCAGGAGAATCGCTTGAACCTGGGAGGCGGAGGTTGCAGTGAGCCGAGATCACACCACTGCATTCCAGCCTGGGCAACAGAGCGAGACTCCATCTCAAAAAAAAAAAAAAAAGTCCAGGCACTGGCATTCCAAGCCTGGCAGCTGGGAATAGAGTGTGGCATGTGATGAGCTATTCAGGCTTCACCTGGGCTGGTGCGTGGCTATCATTGGTGTCAGTGGCCTGCAACAGAGCCAGAACAGTGCAGAAATGGTGGTGTTAGGTGATGTGTTCACATGGATATTGAACTCACAAGGGCCTGCCTGTGAATCACCATGTGCGGACTTTATAATATCAGCTGACACTTACTTACGGTGTGCCAGGCACCATTCTAAATCCTTCACATGTGTTAAACCACTCAATTCTCTCAACAAGCCCAAGAGGTAAGTGTGATTAGTATTCCCCATTTTGTAGATGGGTAAACTGAGGAAGGCAGCACTTAAGTAAGTTGCCCAAGGTCACACAGCTGGGAAGCGGATGAGCCAGAATTTGAATGTAAGCGGTCCGGTGCCAGAGTCCATGCTCTTAACCACTGTACTGCCTTTATACAAGCAGATGCCTGAGTCCAACCAGGATGATGGTCCTGGATCCTTCTCATTTGTCCCTGTCCTGTTTTTTTGTCTGAGTTTGGTCTCCCTCTGTGTGTTAACTCTTAGCTTTGCAAAAAAATATTGATCTTGTCTCCGGCCTTTGGAACACATGTTTGTATTTGGTCTTTCCAGTGGAGTCTCAGGTGGCCTCTGACTAGATTTGTCTCTCTGGGTCATCATAACCCACATTGCTCCAACCAGCATCCTGGGTCCGACTGCAGACACTCTTACTCTGAAACCGGCTTGCTCTCCTTTGATTCCAGCCTCCCAAGGCCCTATCCTTGACCTCCCATCTCTGGGGTTAGCTGGGTCGAGTAAACCCCCAGTGGGGAGGCCCAAGTGCATAGCAGCTCAGGGATCAGACCCTTGCCCCACCATGACCCCCTCTGATGGCTGATACAGGGAAGATTTGGAGACCTGGGGACTTGCTGTCCTGGCAGACACAGGTTTCAGCTGAGGCCAGGGGATGGAGGTAGGGAGACAGCAAGAAATTCGGTTTAGAATGCAGGGGAACTGGCCTCATCAGGCACCATAGGATGGCCTCAGGGATGAGGGGAGGGGGCAGGCTAAGTGAAGTGGGGTCAGGAATGAAAGCACAAGTGGTGACAGTGGGAAGGAAAAGCCGAGCCAGAGAGCCCCATTGCTAAGGAAAGCTGCGGTGATCGCGAGAGCCCTCTGCCCGCTGGAGTCCTGCTTGGGTGTGAGAGGGACCTGGGGTTCACTGTTCAGTCGCTTCTGCTGGACACAAGCCTTTTAGTCTCTCAAACAGAGGTTGTAACTCTTGTGAGTCCTGGCCTCTGAAAATCTGGTGAAAAACATGGACCATCCCCTAAGACAGTCGTAGGAGTGCACACAACCAATCCACATTCTGCATGTAATGTGGGTGAGCCATAGCTCCCTCTGGAAATAAACCCTGGATCTCAGGGTAAGAATTCCTGCTCTAGAACTTTTAACATCACCCCCATTCTTTTTTTGTTTTGTTTTGTTTGTTTTTGAGACAGAGTGTCACTCTGTCGCCCATACTGGAGTGCGGTGGTGCGATTTCCGCTCACTGCAACCTCTGCCTCCCGGGTTCAAGTGATTCTCTTGCCTCAGCCTCCCTAGTAGCTGCGATTACAGGTGCGCACCACCACGCCTGGCTAATTTTTGTATTCTTAGTAGAGACAGGGTTTTGCCATGTTGGCCAGGCTGGTCTTGAACTCCTGGCCTCCAGTGATCCACCCACCTCAGCCTCCCAAAGTGCTGGGATTACAGCCATGAGCCACCACACCCAGCCTCAGGTAGTTCTTTATAGCAACGCAAGAACAGACTAATACACAAAGTGATGCATCTACAAGCCAAGTAATGCCAAGGATTGCCAGCAAACCACCAGAAGCTGAGGAAGAGGCTCTCACAGCCCTCAGAAGGAGCCAACCCTGCGGACACCTTGTTCTCACACTTCTGGCCTCCAGAACTTCGAGATAATAAATGTCTGTTATTAAACTGCCCAGATTGTGGCACTTTGTTGCAACAGACTGAGCAGATGAATACAGTGGAGGAGCGCCTGTGGTTCTTGTTTGGGCACAGAGCTGTGAGTGCATACACTGGCTACTGCATCATACGAGGAAATGGAGAGAAGGCAGGAGGGAGGGAACATGAAGTACACTGAGGCCCAGGTCTAGAGGCCAGCTGGTTGTGGGCTAAAGGCGGCAGCAGACAGATTTGCTTGGTTTTAGGATTGAGCAGGTGTCAGAGCTGGGAAGTGCTGAGAAATGAGGTCACAGAGTGAAACAGGCAACAGCTCAAAGAAAATCAGATGAGGGCGGGGTGTGGTGGCTCACACCTGTAATCCCAGTACTTTGGGAGGCCGAGATGGGGTGGATCACTTGAGCTCAGGAATTTGAGACCAGCCTGGGCAACATGGTGAAACCCCGTCTCTACTAAAAGCATAAAAAGTAGCCAGGTATAGGTGGCTCATGCCTGTAATCCCAGCTACTAGGGAGGCTGAGGCACAAGAATTGCTGGAACCCAGGAGGCGGAGATTACAGTGAGTCAAGATTGCACCACTACACTCCAGCCTGGGTGACAGAGCGAGACCCTGTTTCAAGGAAAAGAAAAGAAAATCAGATGAGGTTTAGGTGGATTTGGTCATGGAAAGAAAGGCCTTGGGGCGAGGGAGGCTTGGATGCCACGAGTAATCTCTTCAGCCCTCACCTCCGTACAAACAACTTTAAATCAATATACAATCGCTTGAACCTGGGAGGCAGAGGTTGCAGTGAGCCGAGATTGTGCCACTGCACTCCAGCCTAGGGGACAGAGCAAGACTCTGTCTCAAAAAAAAAAGTAAATAAATATACAATTTAATTAAAAAGTGTGTTGATGTAAACATACAATCTTTAGGAGAGGTTGCATAGACCAAGCTGTTGTCCTAAGCCCCCTGTATTAGTCTGCTAGGGCTGCATAACAAAATACCACTGAGTGGGTGGCTTAAACAGTAGAAATTTATTCTCTCACGGTTCTCAGGGCTGGAAGTCCAAGATCAGTGTATCAGCAGGTTTAGTTTCTCTTGAGGCCTCTCTCCATGGTTTGTAGATGGCCACCTTCTTGCTGTGTCCTCACATGGCCTTTTCTCTATGGATGTGAACCCCTGCTACCTCCTCCTCTTCTTATAAGGACATCAGTCATATTGGATTAAGACCCTACCCTAAGTGCCTCATTTTTTCTTAGTTACCTATTTAAGGGCCCAATCTTCAAGTATAGTTACACTGAGGATTGAAGCTTCAGTATATTAATTTTGAGGCTGGGTGAAGTGGCTCACACTTGTAATCTGCAGCACTTTGGGAGGCCAAGGCAGGAGGACCGCTTGAGGCCAGGAGTTCAAGACCAGCCTGGGCAATAGAGTAAGAGCTTGTCTCTACAAAAATTAAAAGAAAAATTAGCTGAGCGTGGTGGCACACACTTGTAGTCCCAGATACTCGGGAGGCTGAGGTGGGAGGATCCCTTCAGCCTCAGAGGCAGAGGTTGCAGTGAGCCAAGATCATACAAATGTACTCCAGCCTGGGTGACAGAGCAAGGCCCTGTCTCAAGACACAATTCAGGGCCAGGTGTGGTGGCTCACGCCTGTAATCCCAGCACTTTGGGAGACCGAGGCAGGCAGATCACTTGAGCTCAGGAGTTTGAGACCAGCTTGGCCAACATTGTGAAACCCGGTCTCTACTAAAAAAATAAATAAATAATAGCCAACCATGGTGGCGTGTGCCTGTAATCCCAGCTACTCGGGAAGCTGAGGCACGAGAATCGCTTGAACCCGGGAGATGGAGGTTGCAGTGAGCCAAGATCAGGCCACTGCACTCCAGCCTGGACAACAGAGCGAGACTCCATCTCAAAAACAAACAAACAAACAAAAAAACCACAATGCAGTCCATAACACCCCTCTTATGAAAAATTCTGGGCCCATCTTTGTAAGGAAGAGAAAGAGCTGAAGAATTGCAAGGAGCATAACTTGTTTACTAAGGTAGCTTTGGAAAGGAGAGCAAGAGAGGCTAGCAGGGTGTATTAGTCAGGGTTCTCTAGAGGGATATAACTAATAAGATAGATGTATATGTAAAGAGGAGTTGGCCAGGCGTGGTGGCTCACGCCTATAATCCCAGCACTTTGGGAGGCCGAGGTGGGCAGATCATCTGAGGTCAGGAGTTCGAGACCAGCCTGGCCAACATGGTGAAACCCCGTCTCCACTAAAAATACAAAAAATTAGCTGGACGTGGTGGTGCATGCCTGTAATCCCAGCTACTTGGGAGGTTGAGGACAGAGAATTACTTGAACCCAGGAGGCAGAGGTTGCAGTGAGCCGAGATCACGCCACTGCACTCCAGCCTGGGTGACAGAGCGAGACTCCGTCTCAAAATAAATAAATAAATAATAAAGAGGAGTTTATTAAGGAGTATTGACTCACATGATCGCAAGGTGAGGTCCCACAATAAGTTGTCCACAAGCTGAGGGGCAAGGAAGCCACTCTGGGTCCCAAAGCTGAAGAACTTGGAGTCCAATGTTCAAGGGCAGGAAGCATCCAGCACAGGAGAAAGATGGAGGCCGGAAGACTAAACCAATCTAATATTTCCAAGTTCTTTTGCTGCTTTTATTCTGGCCGAGATGGCAGCTGATTAGATGGTGCCCACCCAGACTGAGGGTAGGTCTGCCTTTCCCAGTCCACTGACTCAAATGTTAATCTCCTTTGGCAACACCCTCACAGACACACTCAGGATCAATACTTTGCATCCTTCAATCCAATCAAGTTGACAGTATTAACCATCACACAGGGAGAAGAGAAGGTTGAACTAGGTGGAACAGTCAAAAAGGGAGAACTCATGTAGGTTAGTAGGTTATTTATTTAGGGTAATTTTTTTTAAATGGTCAGTGGAGACTGAGGGATTGAAAAATTCATGCCATTTGTGGGGTCGGAAAGCTATTGCAATGAGAGGAAAGGGAAAACTGGATTATATGAAGTATTGTGGGAGCTGCAAATTGATGAAGTGTGGTTGCTCTTTTTTTTTTTTTCTTTTTGGGGCAGGGTCTCACTCTGTCACTGAGGCTGGAGTGCAGTAGCATAATCTTGGCTCACTGCAACCTCCGCCTCCCGGACCCAAGTGATCCACCCATCTCAGCCTCCACAGGTTCGAGCCACCACGCCCAGCTGATTTTTGTATTTTTTATGGAGACAGGATCTCACCATGTTGGCCAGGCTGGTCTCAAACTCCTGAGCTTGAGCGATCCTCCTGCCTCGACCTCCCAAAGTGCTGGGATTACAGGCGTGAGCCACCGCACCCGGCCTGTAGTTGCTTTTGGAGGTCGGGCTGTGCTGCTTGAATGACTCTCAGCACGTAGAATGGATTATGGGGGGGTGCTGATTTCTATGTGGGTTACAAAAGAAGCAAAATGCACAGAACTGGGAAGAGGATGTGAGTCAGGGTCCTGCTCATGATTTACACATTTTTATAACTTGGGAGTCTGGGAATCTGAGAAACAGATACCAGTGCAACTGGATGCTTTCAACAGGACAAAATACAGAGCAAAAAAAAAGTGAATAGATTAAGCATTAAGTGTAGACAGAGGATTTCCCAGATGGTGTCAATTTGGCACCATTGTTCCCTCAAATTGTTTGACTCTGACTAATTCTTTCCCCCAATTTGACATTTTGAAAGAAACCTCTTGGAACCATATTTCATATGGAACAGAGGCAGAGAAACATTTCGGTTGCTGAGTAAATATAGGCCTGGTTGCGTTCATTTCAGTGGCAGTCACATTATGGTAATAAAACCTGATACTTTTGGAGCTCTAACTAATCTAAGGAAGGTACGATTATGAGGAAATCAAGACTTAAAGAGGTGAATGTGCTTGTTCAGGGTCACCCTGCCGGTGAGCAGCAGAACTCGTAGTAAAGTTGAGGGTAGATGGTACTGCAGGGCGGGCCTGCACACGGGTTTCCCTCATTGTATGTTGTCTCAGCCTATAAAATCTGCTGTATCTTAGTGAATGAAGGAAGGAATTTAATACCTGTTCTCTGAATCTCATATTTTTAGAAAATTGTAAAGATTAGGGCTGGGCATGGTCGCTCACACCTGTAATCCCAGCACTTTGGGAGGCTGAGGCAACCGGATCACTTGAGCCCAGGAAATATTCCTGTTCCTGGAAAAACCACTAGACATTTAGTCTCTTTTAGAAGAATAGTCAGACTTTGGCTTTCCCTGTATTTTGTCTTAAGAGTTATAAGGGTTTCTGGCCAGGCATGGTGGCTCACGCCTGTAATCCAAGCACTTTGGGAGGCCAAGGCAGGTGGATCACTTGAGGTCAGGAGTTCAAGACCAGCCTGGCCAACATGGTGAGACCCCCCCATCTCTACTAAAAATACAAAAATTAGCTGGGCGTGGTGGCAGGTGCCTTTAATCTCAGCTACTCAGGAGGTTGAGGCAGGAGAATTGCTTGAACCTGGGAGGCGGAGGTTGCACTGAGCCAAGATCGTGCCACTGCACTCCAGCCTGGGCGACAGAGTGAGACATCATCTCAATAAATAAATAAATAAATAAATAAAAATGTAAAAATAAAAACAAAAATACAAAAAGTAGACAGGTGTGGTGGCACACGCCTATAGTCCCAGCTACCAGGGTGGCTGAGGCTGGAGAATCACTTGAACCTGGAAGGCAGAGGTTGCACTGAGCCGAGATCGAGCCACTGCACTCCAGCATGGGTGACAGAGCAAGACTGTTTCAAAAAAAAAAAAAAAGTTATAAGGGTTCCTTCTGGTGATTAGTTGAATGAAGTCTGGGGCCACTGGGTAGGCAGGTGATTAGAAATGGGCACATCACTGTAACCATATGTCTCCAGGAAGAAGAATTGAGTGGCACAGAAGGGTCACTAGTCCCAAAATATCAGCACGAGATGAAATTGTTTTAGGGAAGGTGTAGGTTAGGAAGGCTTTTCCATTTACAGATTCGTCTGAGAGTAGTGACACTTTAGACATCATCCTCGCCAGGGCTGTCTGGTAATAACAAAGCTTTTTGGGTTAGTGGCAAAGTTAGCTCTCTGTGCTGATATCTTGCTAAATTATAAAATGCCCTTCAACTCCTCATTCCTCCTATCATGGTCCTCTTTCTCTATTGAAGATGAGATTAATTTTTAGTGAAAAAATAAAATATGAACTGAGACTTGTCACGGGTTGGGTTCTGCAGGAAGCAGACTCCGAGACGGACACAGGATGTTTATTAGGAAGTGCTCTTGGGTGAAGCTCTGTGGAAGGGAGGGGAGAGAAGCAGGAGTGGGTGACTTCTGGAGCTTCATCCTGGGTTCGGGCCAGATGGCCAGGCCTTTGTAACCTTGTATCTATCAGCCATCAGATGCAGGCCACCTGGATCAGGTGGCTGTACAGCTGAGATAACTCCTAAATGAGCCAGCATTCCCAGTTGCTAGGACAAGCCTTTCATCCAAGAGGACTTGGGCTGGTGCACCAAGGTATCCACCACGACACTCAAAGTGGATGATACATATGAATTGATAGCGTAAAAACAAAAAGCACACCTGCTTAAATTGATATTCCCACCTGCACGGATTCATTCTGCAGGAAGAGCAACAGCCTGCAATACATGGGCCAACAAGTTCATGTGCCTGTTGCTGAATATGGGGTCTGGACTGCGACCAAGACCTTTTCATTTATACCATGGCAGCCTCCAGCAGACATGCCATGGAAATAAAGAAAAAGAAAACTCTGCCTCACTGCAATATTTATTCATTTTTTCGAGACAGGGTCTCACTCTGTTGCCCAGGATGGAGCATAGTGATGCTGTCACAGCTCACTGCAGCCTTGAACTCCTGGGCTCAAGCGATCCTCTTGCCTCAGCCTCCCAAGTAACTGGGACCACAGGGGCACACAACCACACCTGGCTAAATTATAAACATTTTTTGTAGAGGCAGGGTCTCACTATGTTGCCCAGGCTGGAGTGTAGTGGCATGATCATGGCTCATCATAGCCGCGACCTTCCAGGCTCAAGCAATCCTCCCACCACAGCCTCACGAGTATCTGGGACCATGGGCATGCACCACCATGCCCAGCTAATTTAAAAAATATTTTTGCAGAGATAGGGTCTCCCTATATTGCCCAGGCTGGTCTTGACTCAAGTGATCCATCCACCTTGGCCCCCCAAAATGCTGGGATTACAGGTGTGAGCCACTGCTCCTGGCCCTGAATACTTTTTTTTTTTCTTCTTTTTGTGATGGAGTCTCACTCTGTCACCCAGGCTGGAGTGCAGTGGCACAATCTTGGCTCACTGCAACCTTCACCTCCCAGGTTCAATTCTCCCGCCTCAGCCTCCTGAGTAGCTGGGATTACAGGCACACACCACCATGCTGGGCTAATTTTTGTGTTTTTAGTAGATTTGGGGTTTTACCATGTTGTCCAGGCTGGTCTCGAACTCCTGGCCTCAGGTGATCCGCCCGCCTCGGCCTCCCAAAGTGCTGGGATTACAGGCATGAGCCACCGTGCCAAACCTTGAATACTTTTTTTCTTTTCTTTTTTTTTTTTTTTGAGACAGAGTCTTGCCCTGTCACCCAGGCTGGAGTGCAATGGCACACTGCAACCTCTGCCTCCCAGGTTCAAGTGATTCCTGCCTCAGCTTCCTGAGTAGCTGAGACTACAGTTGCATGCCATCACACTCGGCCAATTTTTGTATTTTTTTTAAGTAGAGACAGGGTTTCACTATGTTGGCCAGGCTGGTCTCAAACTCCTGACTTCATGATCCTCCTGCCTCGGCCTCCCAAAGTGTTGGGATTACAGGCGTGAGCCACTGCGCCCGGCCGAATACTTACTTTTAAGAAAATAGATGAATTCAATTATTTATTTATCCTGACTATAAAAGCAATTTATATTTGCGGTTTAAAACAAATGCATAGTACAAAAAAAAGGTATAAAAGCAGAGGAAAATCATCCACAAGCCCACCAACCAGAAGTAATCAGGTAATCATTGTTAACATTTTAGCATATTTTTCCTAAAATATATATTCCCATCCTTAGTTGAGCTCATGTTACACCTGTGGGAGGCAGCAGTGTGTTGTAGTTAAGAACATGTGCTCTGAAGGCAGAAAGACCTGGTAGGAATTCTGTCTCTGACACTTACTTGTTATGAAACTTTCATTCATTCATTCATTCACTCATTCAAAAAATAGCTATTGGCCGGGTGCAGTGGCTCACGCCTGTGATCCTAACACTTCGGGAGGCCGAGGTGGGAGGATCACTAGCCCAGGAGTTTGAGACCACCCTGTACAACATAGGGAGACCTCATCTCTATTTTTAAAAAATATAAATAATTTTTTAAAAATAGCTATCTATGATGTGGCCCTTGGTGCCAATGTACCTTCAGAACAGTAAAAAAGGGAGAAAAATGAAAAATATCATATGGCACTGGGAATATGAGTTTGAAAAAGGGAAGCAAAGCCTTTCCTTCATGAACTCGCATGTTAGCGGAAACTTATCCTTCTTTAAAGTCTTCACTTTCTCATATATCAAGTGTGGATAGCAATACCTACCCCATAAGGCTTCTGTCAGTATGATTGTCTCCTTAAAGAAGATCATGTATGTAAAATACCTGCACGTAGTCATTGCTCGAAAAATAGAAGCTGTTGTCATCACATATGTTTAGGTTTTTTTTTTTTCACTGAACGGTGTGTCGTAGTTTCCCCATGTCAGAAAGAAACCCCTTTGAACTGGCCGGGCGCGGTGGCTCACACCTGTAATCCCAGTACTTTGGGAGGCCGAGGTGGGTGGATCACGATGTCAGGAGATTGAGACCATCCTGGCTAACACGGTGAAACCCCATCTCTACTAAAACAAAAAAATACAAAGAATTAGCCGGGCGTGGTGGCGGGCGCCTGTAGTCCCAGCTACTCGGGAGGCTGAGGCAGGAGAATGGCGTGAACCCGAGAGGCGGAGCTTGCAGTAAGCCGAGATAGCCACTGCACTCCAGCCTGGGCGATGGAGCAAGACTCCGTCTCAAAAAAAGAAAGAAAGAAAGAAAGAAAGAAAGAAAGAAACCCCTTTGATGGGGTCACCATGGGGTTCCTGCAACATCCATGGGAATACAGGTGATTGGCTTCCTGCCAGGAGGCGGCAGCACGTTCTTCAAGAGCAGTGATTAATATTCCAGCAACTCCAGCAGCACAGCTTACCTGGGCTCAGGAAAACCCATTTTCCTTTTTTGCTTTCCGGTCTTAGTGGTGGTAAGGCTTCCTGTAATCAGTAATCTCTGGGGAACCCTACCTTTCCCCTTTCACAATTCCCTCCATTAAGTTATCTCTGCTTGCCACTTTGGGAGGCCGAGGCAGGTAGATCACCTGAGGTCAGGAGTTTGAGACCAGCCTGGCCAACATGGTGAAACCCCATCTCTACTAAAAATACAAAAATTAGGCTAGGCACAGTGGCTCACGCCTGTAATCCCAGATACTCAGGAGGCTGGGGTGGGCAGATCACCTGAGGTCAGGACTTTGAGACCAGCCTGGCCAACAGGGCGAAACCCTGTCTCTACTAAAAATACAAAAATTAGCTGGGCTTGGTGGTGCATGCCTGTAATCCTAGCTACTCAGGAGGCTGAGGCAGGAGAATCACTTGAACCTGGGAGGTGGAGGTTGCAGTGAGCCGAGATCATGCCATTGCACTCCAGCCTGGGTAACAGAGCGAGACTCTTAAAAACAAAAAACAAAAAACAATTATCTCTGTTGGCTACATCTAGAGCCTGTTCTCTTTTCCTGCTTGGACTCTGACAGAGACATTATTTCATTTTTAAACTTCCCGTTTTAAAAGAAACTAAGAAATAAAGGTCAATTGGATAGTTGTAAAAAGAATTCAGACTTGAAAATGGGACAGATGAAGAAAAGTTGCATAAGTGAACAGGCAAAAGGCTGAAGATCATCTATAAATAAAGGATTTAGGCAACTGAAAAGTAACTATAGGAATTTAACCATTTATTTACCATCTCCACTGAGAAAAGAACAGGAGTAAATCCTGTCAATACCAGAGAATAATAGATTATTTTTAAGGAAAACTTCCTTATTCTAAAGGCAGGGCCAACTTTGTGTGCAAGTCTGTGGTTCTCAGGCAGGGATGATTTTGTGTCCAAGGGGACGTTTGGCAAGGTCTGCCTTGTCTGGAGGCATTTTGGATTGTCACAATTAGGAGGAGGGTGTTACTGGCACCTAATGGGTACAGACCATCAATGGTGCCAAATATCCTACAGTGCACAGGACAGCCCCCATCCCCTAGAATAAGCCAGCCCAAAATGTCAACAGTCATAATGTTGAAAAACCCTGGTATAAACAAATTCAGTGGAATCTCTAGGCATTGTGAAGTACTATTACCAGTTCTACAAAAATGCCTCTTCTGCTTGTCTCACTGATTTTTGTAAATAATAACTTTACTGAAATATACAGTAATTCACATACCATGAAGTTCATCCTTTTAAATTGTACAATTCAATGTTTTTAGTATATTCACAAAGTTGTGCATTGATCACCACTATCTGACTCCAGAATATTTTCACTACCCACAAAGCAACACTCATTAGCAGTCACCCTTGTGCCCCCTACCCCGGCCCTACAGTGCCATCTGCTTTCTAAAAGCAGCAGGCACCAAAGATTGCCAAATGTTATAAGAGCAGCTCCTTTTCTAGAAGGGAAAGAAGATTGTTTCCTTACTTTGTTTTGTAACATTGATGAACTTACGTGGTTCTACCTAACTGAAAACTTTTGAAAAGCTTTAGATCCACAAAGAAGGCATGACTCAGTGAAATGGACTCCATTTCAGGGGCCTGGGCCCGAGATTCTGCATTTCTGAGCTTTCAGGTGCTGCTGTTCTGAGGAACACGTTTGAGTAGCATAGGGGTAGACCTGAGTAGCCCACAGGCATACGCAGGAGATTTTTATAGTATAACCCCCTCTGTATTCTCCTGGACTCATTTATTAAATAATTTTTTGAGATATAATTCATAACACATACAAGTCACCCATTTAAAGTGTACAATTCATAGAGGTGGCAGTGAGCTATGATTGTGCCACTGCACTCCAGCCTGGAGTGAGACTCCATCTCTTAAAAAAAAGAAAAAAATTAAGTATACAATTCAGTGGTTTTAGTGTTGACAGAGTTGTATAATCATCATCACCACAATCAATTTTTGAACATTTTCATCACCCCAATAAGAATCCCATATCCATGGCTGGGCACCGTGGCTCACGCCTGTAATCACAGCACTTTGGGAGGCCAAGGTGGGTGGATCACCTGAGGTCAGGAGCTCGAGGCCAGCCTGGCCAACGCAGTGAAACCCCATCTCTCCTAAAAATACAAAATTAGCCAGGTGTCGTGGCACACGCCTATAATCCCAGCTACTCAGGAGGCTGAGTCAGGAGAATCATTTGAACCCAGGAGGTGCAGGTTGCAGTGAGCCGAGATTGTGCCACTGCACTCCACTAGGAGTTTGAGACCAGCCTGGGCAACACAGCAAAACCCCGTCTCCAAAAAAATTTTTAAAAATTAGCCGAGCGTGGTGGTGTGTGCCTGTAGTCCCAGCTACTTGGGAGGCTGAGGTGGAAGGATCACCTAAGCCTGGGAGGCGGAGGTTGCAGTGAGCTAAGATCGCACCACTGTACTCCAGCCTGGGCAACAGAGCGAGACCCTGTCTCAAAAAGAAAAAAAAGAAAAAGAAAAAGAAAGAAAGAAAGAGAGAAAGAAAGAAAAAGAAAGAAAGAAGGAAAGAGAAAGAAAGAAAGAAAAGAAAAAAAATGAAATCCCATATTCATTAGCAGTCACTACCCGTTTCCCTCCAGCTCCCCCCTCCAGCCATAGGCAATCACCAATCTATTTTCTGTCTCTATGGATTTGCCTATTCTAGATATTTTATATAAATGGAACCATACAATGTGTGGTCTTTTTTGTCTGGCTTTTTCCATTTAGTATAACATTGTCAATGTTCATCCATGTTTAGCATGCATCAGTACTTCATTCCTTTTTATTGCCAACTGATATTCCATTGTATGGATAGAGCACATTTTGTTTAACCATTCATCACTCCATAGATGTTTGTGTTGTTTCCACTTTTTGACTATTATGAATAATGTTGGTAGTTTCACTGAATGTTGGATTTTTATAACTAGAGGTTTTGCTTCTGTCATATTGATTGGTTGATTAATTGGTCACTGTTAGAATGCCAATTGCCAGTAAAGATTACACACAACACATTAACATTATAGGCTGGTTTCAATGAATTTATCAAGTGTTTTTTTCAGAGCTACTTTTTTTTTTTCTTGAGATGGAGTCTAGCTCTGTTGGCCAGGCTGGAGTGCAGTGGCATGTTCTCAGCTCACTGCAACCTCTGGCTCCCAGGTTCGAGCAATTCTCCTGCCTCCCCTCAAGTAGCTGGGATTACAGACATATGCCACCACGCCCGGCTAATTTTGTATTTTTAGTAGAGACGGGGTTTCTCCACGTTGGTCAGGCTGGTCTCGAACTCTCCACCTCAGGTGATCCGCCCGCCTTGGCCTCCCAAAGTGCTGGGATTACAGACATGAGCCACCATGCCCAGCCTCTCAGAGCTACTTTTAAAGAGGAGAAGTTAGGAGATTCCTGGGAGTACTAAATCTGAGATCATAGGGAGGCTGGGAAAAAGAGTAGAAAGGGAGGCTGGGGCCCATAAAACCAACACTATTGCCTAGACCTTGCCTTGTGTAAATGCATTCATTACAGATAAAGTTTCCAAAGGAGCCTGAGATTTTGCAACCATTTAATTGGCATGCGTAGTTAGATAATCTTTTACTTGGAAGCCAATGAATTGACAATAAGACACATTGAAATTTCCTTCTCTGCAAAGTCTTTGCTTTGGTTTGAACATGTCCCTTTCATGTGTTGGAAATTTAATCCCCAATTCAGCCAGATGTGTTGGCTCATGCCTGTAATCCCAGGACTTTGGGAGGCCAAGGTGGGAGGATGGCTTGAGCCCAGGAGTTCAAGACCAGCCTGGGCAACATGGCGAAACCCCATCTCTACAAAAAAATAATTTAAAAATACAGAAATTAGTCAGGCGTGGTGGCACACACCTGTAGTCCCAGCTACTTGGGAGATGTTGCAGTGAGCTGAGATCAAGCCACTGCACTACAGCCTGGGTGACAGAGGGAGACCCTGTCTCAAAAAAAAAAAAAAAAAATTCCCAATGTAATAGTGTTGAGAGGTGGAACCTTTAAGAGGTCATTAGATCATGAGAGTGCTGCTCCCATTAATGGATTAATGCTGTTATCATAGGAGTGGGTTAGTTATCATGGGAGTGGATTCCTGATAAAAGGATGAGTTCAGCCCCTTTTCCCTCTCTCTCTTTCTCATGTGCTCTCTTGCCCTCCTCCTTTCCACCATGGGTGACTCAGCAAGAAGGCCCTCACCAGCTGCTGGATCCTCAACCTTGAACTTCTCAGCCTTCAGAACTATGAGAAATAAATCTCTTCTTTATAAATTACCCAGTCTCAGGTATACTGTTATACTAGCACAATCTGGACTAAGACAGTCTTGAAGTTACATATTTTACACTGGTGAAGTTAATTAGTAAAATAACAAACTTTTGTTTTTATTTGGCTAATCTATGTGATGTTTTCAGGAGTTGATTGCCTTATTGATGAATGAGTAAAGTAACAGCCTTTTTCCTTTTTTTTATATGATTACTTTTTGATTATGTCCATGTTTATTAGCAGTTTGAAGAATAAATAATCAGGAAAATGTAGCTTATGATGATTGGCTCCATTTGTGTATCCCCACCATGATAAGTACAGTGTTTTCTATATAACAGGTACTGATTAATCTTTGTTGGACAGATGAACTCAAGCCAACCTGGCCATTTGCTAGCAATTCTTGTTAAAAAAAAAAAAAAAAAAAGTTTTCATATGTGAGAGACTAACAGAGTTGGCTGAAGTGAAATAGTTGGATTATTGACAGATGTCAATAGGTTTCAAGGTCTTTCTCCTACTAGAACAGTAATATAGGTGTTTTCTTGATTTTGGAAGCTGAGGTGTGCAAATTCATGTTTTTTTTTTTGTTTTTGTCTTAGGCATTGTATCAGTTATCTGTTGCTGCATAACAAACTACCCCTAAAATGCAGTGGCTTCCCATTATTTTTATTTATTTAATTTTTTTTTTTGAGATGGAATCTCGCTCTGTCGCCCAGGCTGGAGTGCAGTGGCGCGATCTCCGCTCACTGCAAGCGCCGCCTCCTGGGTTCACGCCATTCTCCTGCCTCAGCCTCCTGAGTAGCTGGGACTACAGGCGCCCACCACCACACCTGGCTAATTTTTTTGTATTTTTAGTAGAGATGGGGTTTCACCATGTTAGCCAGGATGCTCTCGATCTCCTGACCTCGTGATCCGCCCGTCTCGGCCTCCCAAAGTGCTGGGATTACAGGCGTGAGCCACCGCGCCCGGCCAGTGTCTTCCCATTATTTATTTTGATTGTGAATTTGCAATTTGAGCAAGGTTTGGTGCAGACTGGCTATTTCTGTTCCATGTTGCATCAGCTGGGGTGAGTTGACTAGGGCTAAAGGAAACACTTTCAAAAGTGGCTCACTCACATGCCTGGCAAGTTGGGACTGGCTGTTGCTTCCTCTCGGTGGTGACCTCTCCATAGGGTGACTTGGGCTTCCTCACAACACAGCGACTGGGTAAAAACATTGACCACCCCAAGAGAACCAAATGGAATCTATACTGCCTTTTGTAACTTAGCCTTGGAAGTCACACAATGTCACTTTCACCAAGTCACAAGCCCACCCAGATTCAAGGGGAGGGAACATAAACCTTCATCTCTCAAAGGGAAGAGTGTCAAAGTCACGTTGCAAGAAGGACATATGGGGCCAGGCGCTGTGGCTCAGACCTGTAATCCCAGCACTTTGGGAGGCCGAGGCAGGAGGATTGCCAGAGTCCAGGAGTTTGAGACCAGGCTGGGCAGCATAGCGAAACCCCCATCTCTATCTAATAAAAAAAAGGACATGTGGGATGAGAGACATTGTTGCAGTTATTTGGGGGAAAATACAGCCTGCTGTGGGGATTATTTATTATTTATGATCCTTCTCCATGTCCCTAATTTCCAAATTCTAAAGGTACTTTCTATTTGTCTTTATGGTAATATTTTTCCAACTGCCTTCTCTAAACTTGGTGGGTATAACATCTCAGAAGGTAACATTCTTTAAAATAATTTATGTTGTGGCCGATTGATCTTACGGTGCACTAAAGGTACCAGCTGAGCATCTGTCTAGAATGGGAGTGTGTCCTGCTAGGTTTACTCATCCATATAATTCTAACTTTTGTCTGTTTTGGAGAAGAAAATAATACACAGGTAAGCATATCCCTAAACATATACATAAAATAAATGAGAAAAAATATATATACATATATTCCCTGGAAGCAGCTTTAAGTCAAGTTTTGGAAGGTTCTATGGTACAGGTGATGGATATAGGTGGATTCAGGGGAAAATCTTATTGACATGTATAGAATAATAAGTGGTCTCTATTTGGGGGTTATTATGGCAAGTGATCAACATTTTCAAAGTATTAAAAGTTGAATGAATTGTGCACTAAACATCCACATACCCACCACCTAGATTCTACAATTAACATTTTACTTTATTTGCTTCATCGCCTATCTATCCATTCATCAATCCTTCTATTAATCATCTTATTTTTTATACTTTTCAAAGCAACTTGCAGTCATCAATTGATGAAGTAAGCATATTTTGAGGTCTATTTTAAAATGTGGACAATTTCCTTCCTGTTTCAATCTATCTTATAAAAATTATATTTGATTAATATATAAAATCAGACGGGCTCAATATTTTCCATTATATTAAAAATTAAATCTATGAGAATTTGGTGGAGAAGTTGCTGGATTGTGCTTTGTGATGGGTATTCTTTTTTTTTTCTTTTCTTTTTTTTTTTTTTTTTGAGATGGAGTCTCTCTCTGTTGCCCAGGCTGGAGTGCAGTGGCACGATCTCAGCTGATTGCAACTGCTGCCTCCCAGGTTCAAGCGATTCTCATGCCTCAGCCTCCCGAGTAGCTGGGACTACAGGCGCATGCCACTATGCCCGGCTAATTTTTATATTTTTAGTAGAGATGGGGTTTCACCATGTTGGCCAGGCTGGTCTCGAACTTCTGACCTCAAGGAATCTGCCTGACTTGGCCTCCCAAAGTGCTGGTATTACAGGCATGAGCCAACATGCCCAGCCTGTGATGAGTATTCTTATTTAATATGCTTTTGTACATATCTTTGCCTTGACTTGAGAATGTACTAAAAACTTACATATTCTGAACTGAAAAGGAACAGTTGTGTCCCTTGAGGTGAGAGGATCACTTGAGCCCAGGAGCTTGAAATCAGCTTGGGCAACATTGCAAAACCCATCTCTACAAATGTATTGTATTTTACATATACATATAAAAATCTGTGTGTGTGTATATATATATATATATATACACACATATATATGTATACACATATATATGTGTGTATATATATATACACACACATATATATGTATATACATATATATGTGTGTATACATATATATATGTGTACACATATATATGTGTGTATACACATATATATGTGTACACATATATATGTGTGTATACACATATATATGTGTATACACATATATATATGTATACACACACACACACACACACACACACAAAATTTGCCAGGCATGGTGGCTTATGCCTGCAGTTCTATCCTAGATACTGGGGAGGCTGAGGCAGGAAGATCTCTTGAGCCTGGGAGGCAGGGGTTGCAGTGAGTCGAGATGGTGCCACTGCACTCCAGCCTGGGTGACAGAGTGAGATCCTGTCTGAAAAAAAAAAAGAAAAAAAGAAGACAGGAACTTTACTTTGATACCTTTTTGAAAGGCAGAAAGATGTCTTCCTTGCAGAGCTATTGTGGAATAAATGAGACAACGTAAGGGAAGTTCCTGGCACATAGTGGCATTCCGTACATGGTTTCTACTGCTGAGGGGAAAGAGCTTAAAGGTTGAGTTAGACTTCTTCCTGGGTCCTGGTTCCACTGCCTACTGGCTGGGTGAGCTTGGGCAGGTTCCTAAAACGTTATCTGTAAAATGGAGATAGGAACCACTTATATTAGTTACCCATTGGTGCGTCACAAATTATCCCAAAACTTAGTGGCTTAAAACAGCAAACATTTGTCATACCATAGTTTCTGAGTGTCAGGAATTCAGGAGGGGCTTAGCTGGGTGGTTCTGGCTCAGGGTCTCTCATGAGGTTGCAGTTAGGATGTCAGCTGGGGCTACAGCCATTAAGGGCTTAACTGGGGCTGGAGAATCTGCTTCCAAGATGGCGTACTCACATGGCTATTGGCAGGAGACTTCAGTTCCTCACCTCATGGTCTCTCCATTCAGTTCCTCGCATCATGGTCTCTCCATAGGCCATATATATCTTTTTTGTTTTGTTTTGTTTGAGATTGGGTCTTGCTCTGTCACCCAGGCTGGGGTGCAGTGGTGCTGTCATGTCATGGCTCACTGCAGCCCCGAACTTCTGGGCTCAAGCAATCCTTCTGCTTCAGCCTTCCAAGTAGCTGGGATTATAGGCAAGTGCCAGCATGCCTGGCTATTTTTTTTTTTTTTGTATTTTTGTATTTTATTTTTATTTTTTTCTGAGATGGAGTCTCACTCTGTTGCCCAGGCTGGAGTGCAGTGGCACAATCTCAGCTCACTGCAGCCTCTGTCTCCTGGATTCAAGTGATTCTCCTGCCTCAGCCTTCCCAGTAGCTGGGATTACAGGGGCCGCCAGCATGCCCAGCTAGTTTTTTTTGTATTTTTAGTAGAGAAGGGGTTTCACCATGTTGGCCAGGCTGGTCTCAAACTCCTGACCTCAAGTGATCCTCCTGCCTTGGTCTCCTAAAGTGCTGGAATTACAGGCGTGAGCCACTTTGCCTGGCCAAGGCCTCTTGAAACTGTCCTCATGACATGTGCTGGCTTCCGCCTTAGTGAGTGATTCAAGAGAGAGAGCAAGGAGGAAGCTGCAACACCTTCTATGACCTAGTCTCAGGTCATGACCATCAGTGATCAGTACTTTTGCCATATTTTGTTAGAAGTGAGTTATTAAGTGTAGCCCATGTTCAAAGGGGCTTTCATGAGTTGTTAAGCCAAGAGCTGATGGTTCCCTCTCCCCTCTACCTCCCTATGGTCAGAGAAGTTAGGCTTGGTGAGAGAACTGACCACACCTTCCAAGGAACTGGAGTAAGGGCCCATCACATCCCCTGGTCACTTTATGTTGGTCACTTTGGTCACTTTAGGTGCCATGAGCCACAAGCCTGACAGGTGATGATGGTGGGAAGTGGGGAAAGGGATTTAAATCAAACACAAGATTAGAGTTTTAAACGGTTGATTTTTAATAGCAGAAAACACCTAAATGTCAAAAAAAAGTATCCAAGATATGAAGGGACATGAAAGGTAAATTTACCATAAAAACATGTTTCAAAGTAGTGATTGGAGAAAAATAAACCACTTCATTTATACCCCATGGAATTGAGCCTGCTCAGTAACAGCTAATCTTTATAAAGTCCTTACTATGGGTCAGATACTCTTCTAAGTATTTCACAAATAGTCACTCACCTAAACCTATGAAGTAAGCACTATTATCATCTTCATCATCTCCAATTTTTTTTGAGACGGAGTCTCACTCTTTTGCCCAGGCTGGAGTGCAGTGGTGCAATCTCAGGCTCACTGCAATCTCTGTCTCCCGGGTTCAAGCAATTCTCCTGCCTCAGCCTCCCAAGTAGTTGGGATTACAGACACTCACCACCACGCCCAGCTAATTTTTGTATTTTTAGTAGAGACGGGGTTTCCCTGTGTTGGCCAGGCTGGTCTCGAACTCCACACCTCAAGTGATCCACCCACCTTGGCCTCTCAAAGTGCTGGGATTACAGGCATGAGTCACCGCGCCCGGCTTCATCTCCATTTTTACAGAGGAGGAAACTGAGGCATAGAGAAGTTGAGCAATTTGCCCAAGGACATAACTAGAGCTAGCATTTGAGCCCAGGCCATCTGACGCCCGAGTCTTAAAAGATATGATTGCAATGTAAGGTTTGCTCAAGGTACAGAAGAATATTGGTTAAAGTGTTAAGGCTGACATTTCTGTTCTTTCCCCACTGTTCCTGGTTAAACTCAGTGCCTGGAGGACAAAGATAGAGGCTTTGTTTCAAATGAGGAATTGGATTCAAATTTCCAAAATGAAAATTTTCCAAATGATATAAACTTTAAATGAAAACATGTAAGATCTGACGGTTTGATTTAAGCTCTGAGCAGGGCCGAGGAATAACTAATGCTCACCTCTTCCTGCAAACACTATAAATTTATGCACTGAGCCAGGCACCGCGGCTCATGCCTGTAATCCCAGCACTTTGGGAGGCTGAGGCAGGCGGGTCACTTGAGGTCAAAACCAGCCTGGCCAACATGGTGAAACCCCATCTCTACTAAAAATACAGAAATTAGCAGAGTGTGGTGGCGTGCGCCTGTAGTCCCAGCTACTAGGGAGGCTGAGGCAAAAGAATCACTTGAACCCAGAAGGCAGAGGTTGTAGTAAGCTGAGATCATGCCACTGCACTCCAGCCTGGGTGACCGAGCAAGACCCTGTCTCAAAAAAAAAAAAAAATTATGTGTTGATTGGATTCTTAAGCTTTTCTACCAGATCCTGATTGCATTATGAGGTCTAGGCCCAGATGGATACTTCATAAATGTTTTTTTGACAATGAATAGAATGCTTGTTTAGTCTTCTAGACTTGTCCCACATATATCAAGGATAAAAATGTCTTACTTTTTTTTTGTTTTGAGATGGAGTTTCGTTCTTGTTGCCCAGGCTGGAGTGCAATGGCGCAATCTCGGCTCACTGCAACCTCCGCCTCCCGGGTTCAAGCGATTCTCCTGTCTCAGCCTCCCGAGTAGCTGGGATTACAGGCACATGCCACCATGCCCGGCTAATTTTTGTATTTTTAGTAGAGACGGGGTTTCATCATATTGGTCAGGCTGGTCTCAAACTCCTGATGTCAGATGATCCGCCTGCCTTGGCCTCCCAAAATGCTGGGATTACAGGCGTGAGCCACCGTGCTCAGCCAAAAATGTCTTACATCTTGATTACCACTTGTTTATTGATTATTGAGACCCGTAATGAGTAGCACTCATAGGTTCTGACATCTGTAGTGGGATGCGTCTCTGGCATCTAATAGAAAGTCTGACTCAAACTGTCTGAAATGCAAGGAAAGGGCAGAGTTTGTTTAATGAAACAACTCAGTGACGTCATCAAGAACCCAGTTAAAAATTTTTTTTTCTATTTTTTGATTCTGCCTTATTTAGTGTGTAGGCTTTGACCTAGGGCTGGTTTTCCTCTTAGTCACGAAATGACTGTCAGTGGCAACAAGCGTACTTGCTTCCTTGTTCATCCAGCAGGGTAGACAGGGAAAACCTCTTTCAAACCATCAAATGTTAAATTCTTTCCTTCAGTGTAATTAGGCCACACATTGATTGACTGAGACTCTGGGTAGTGTGGAGCGGGTGGATGCCTGAACAGAGTTGGGGTTCTATTAGAAGGGCAAAAAAGCAAATCGATGCTGGGGAGGTTCTCAAGCTGTTTCTTCATCTGGAAAATGGTGAGAATTTCGCAGAGAATTGAGAGGATTAGAGATAATGTGTCAGATTTAGCAAATAAAAATCGAAGATGCTCAGTTAAAATTGAATTTGAGATAAACAGCAAATAATATTTTAGTCTAAGTATGCTCACCTCTTTCTACAAACACTACAAATTTATACATTAATTTGGTTCTTAAGCTTTTCTCCCAGATCCTGATTGCATTACAAGGTCTAGACCTAGAAGGGCATTTCGTAATTTTTTTGGCAATGGTTAGAACCTTATTTAGTTTTCTAGCCTTGTTCCACATGTATCCAGGATAAAAATACACATTTATACTAAAAATTATTCGTTGTTTATCTGAAATTCAAATTTAACGGGGCATCTTGTATTTTATCTGGCAACCCTAAATCTATGTGAAGTTCTTGGCACAGAGCAGGTATCCATTCACTGGCTAGTATTAGTGTTCTTTCTACATAAGTGCTCAGTTAAATGGCAGCATGGTACTTTTTTTTTTGGAGACAGAGTCTTACTCTAGCCCAGGCTGGAGTGCAGTGGTACCATCTCGGTTCACTGCAACCTTGACCTCCTGGGTTCAAGCAATTCTCCTGCCTCAGCCTCCTGAGTAGGTGGGATTACAGGTGCACGCCACCACTCCCGGCTAATTTTTTTCTATTTTTAGTAGAGATGGGGTTTCACCATGTTGGCCAGGCTGGTCTCGAACTTCTGACCTCAGGTGATCCACCTGCCTTGGCCTCCCAAAGTGCTGGGATTACAGGCGTGAGCCACTGCTCCCGGCGCATGGTACTTTTTAAACTTTTACTAACTTTCTAGAAAGGTTAGTTTTTGACCAAAAGACGAATTAACTAAACTGCAAGTGACTGCAAGAAATCCTTTACCACTACTTAAAACCAGATCAAAGCAAATGTCCCTAAGCAGAAGGTCATATTTGTGTATATGGGATGGCACATTATAAGGCATCTAATATTACTACTTAATACTAAATTGGACCTATATTAACAGATGTTCAGTTATTGTTTTTTCTCCATCTTCTCAATCTATACGGATAATTAATTTGTTACTTCCGGTTCACCAGGTCTAAATAAAATTTTAAAAAATTATTCATTTGAGTCAAAGGTAATGCTGCTGAAATTCCTAGTACAAAGGCTCTGATATACAGGGATGAAAATGGAGTGATTGCCCCAGGAGTTCTGGATCCACGTGGGTGAAGCTAGAGGTCACAGCACTGTTACTTTGCATCTGGAGGAGGCAGGAGACTCTGCGAAGCCCTCTGTTGTTGCCTCTGACTCCATTTTCCCTCTTTGCTAATTCATTGCTCCTACCTGTAAAATTTTCTAATATGCTTCCACTTTCATTTCCTCATCAAATATTCACCGTTATGAAAAAGAAAATCCTATTGGCTTGGTATCAAGTGGCCAAACTGAGCATGCTGCTACATATTGTTACCAGATTCACTACAGGAATAGATTAAGTGGATTTTATCCCAAATATCTATTTCCTATTACAGTACTGCATCTTTCTAATTTGGTGGCAGCTATGACCTCATACACTGCCTATTTTCCGTGCTTTTCCTAACCAGAAGAGACCCTATTTTTCTCCTTTGCTTGTTAAAGCGAAAATAATTATGCAGCTTTCCATAGATTTGTCCCCAATGTCTTTTTAAAAAAATTTTTTTTCTTTATTTTCTAAAAGTAGCATTGGAAATGTTATCTCCTTCAATTTCATCACCTCTTCATCCTCCTTGGAAACCCGATCCATGGTGGGTATTAAGATCTTTACATTTGTACTGGTTGGGCGATGACTTCATTGCTTTCAAGCCAGCTGGGGGATCTTGTGTGGCAGAGCATCGGACCGAAGCGGAGGTGTGGGTCGTTGCTGCTGCTGCTGCTGCTACTGCTGCAACAGCTCTTTGCACGCGCCCAGCTGCTGTGTAAGGAATCCTCAGGCTGCTAGGTCTTTGCGCCTAACTCACCCAAGGGACCGCAAGCTGCTGGATGAGTGTACGTGTGAGTGTGTGTTGTGTGTGTGCATATGTGCGTGTGTGTGTGCACACGCAGCGGCAACAGTTGGGCAGCAGCAGCAATGGACTTCGATATCATTTTTACCAACAACAGAGATAAACCATCCTCCATCCTGTATTTCTCAGCTCCCGCCCCGAGTATGTTCTCCCCCTCTTCTCCGACTTCCCCCACCCCAGCCCCCGGCACGGGTCCCTCCGGAGGGAGGGCAGGGTAGCTGCGCTGCAGGCAGGATTCCCTCTTTTTTCCGCAGTGACAGGCGGATTCCGGGGCCTCCTCGCCACCTCCTACCCCCGCAGCCACCCCTTTCTCAGTCACGATCTCCCCACCCCACCACCGTCGACCCTCTCCCTGCTTCCCCGCTCTACCCCCCGGCGTCGACTCCAGGCTCGGGCCCCGCCCCTCTCAGCCTCTCCAGCCCAGGTTGCTAGGGCTTGGCGGGGCAACCAAACCTGGCGTGCCAGGAGGCGCGGCGCGCGCGTGAGCGCGCAGGCGAGCTTGTATAAGGAACCAGCGTTCTTCGGCTTCGGAGACTCGAGCACGAGCGGCGCGAGCCCGAACCCCAGGACAAGCGCTTCCTCCTCATTGGCTCCTACCAGAAGGGGGCGGGGTAAAGGCGGGATCGGGCAAAACCTGAGGTGCTTTCCCATTGGTCCGAACGGGCCGGCTGGGGCGGGGCAGTTAGCAAAATAGGCTGCGCGTTCGCTTCTGCTAGAGGGCGGGGCCGGAGGTTTCGATTAGTTGTCTCTGCCGCTGGGGAAGGTAAAGCGGCGACGGCGTCCTCAGGAGCTGTGGGGTCCCCTGCTAGAAGTGGGGGACTCGGCGGGGTGAGTAGTCGCGCCGCCACCCGCCCGCCAAGCCTTCTTACCCTTACATCGGCCCCGCGTCCACCCAGCTTCTCCTGAGAGTGGAGACCCACCCAGTCCCCCCGGGCGGACAAGAGAAGGGGCGGGGGCGCCGGTTCCCCCGGAACGGGGCGACGCGGTGAGGACGTCCCAGCCCGGAGTAGCCCCTCCTCAGCGCTCCCCTGCGCCTCTGGAAGGGCTTCCCCCGAGGGGCTGGGGCTGTCTTTTGGGGTGTGGGGAGGCGAAAGGGTGTGAAAGAGGGGCGGCGGGTCGAGCCCGCCCCGCGGGGTTCCCCTCAGCGGCGGGTCTGCGGCGTCCCCGCCCCGCCGCTCCCGCGGCACGAGCTCCCCGGGGCTTGCGGCGAGGTAAGCCCCTTCCCGCCGGCGCCGAGGAGGGGCCTGCGCGCCCCAGCCCCCTGCCCGAGTTCGGAGGGAGCCCGAGACTCGCCAGGGGCCGTCAGTCGCGGCCCGGGCCCTTCTGACCTTGGCTGCCCGCGAGGGTGGGCTAGCGACCGGGCGCCGGCCCCGCGGCTCCGCAACCTCCCCCGGACAAGTTTCAGGCGATGCTGTGAAGTTCACGACTGGCATAGTGCGGGGAAGAAGAATGGCCCCTTCTCAGACCTTCATACCTTTTGGACCCTCATAGAAATCGGATTCTGGGATTTGGAACCGTCTCCCAGAACGAACAGGTCCTCCTTGCATTGACACGTTTTGTGCCCACGTTGGGGAAAAAAATAACCTGAACATATTTCAGTGTAAAGGCAGATCTTCCTTGAGGGTTTTGTTTTTCGCTTCATTTGAGTGTTAAAGAACAGATGCCTGAATAAGAAAAGCCTGACCTTAGTATCTCTACAGTGAGATTAGACGGGTGCTGTGATATTTAAGTAGTTGCAGATCAGTATTCTGTTAGCACAATCTATTTTAATTGGCTGGAATTTAAGCTGATTTTAGAAAGTATTGTTGACACCGAATGATTTCTTTCTGTGCATCTGAATTAGGTTTGTTTGAACGTAATGGTTATATAGTTAATGTAAAAGATTACACAAATTAATTTGTCTGAGAGCGTTTGTCAGAAACAGGAGACAGAGATGTGTATAGAACAGGATTATCGTTTTAGGTAACATCTGCTGGAACATTTCCAGCTTGTTTCTTTCTTGCTGTAGGGTTACAAAAAAGACATCTTCACCGAGGCTATTCGGAATTACATGTGAGTGACACTTAGATGTAAATTTGTTTTTATTTCCTTCAAGTGTTTTAAAATGTTTTGTTCACAAAATGTGAAGAGGCTATATTTACTTGTTCCTGTATGTTAGTGTTGAAGGTGATAGTATGATCTTATGATTAACAATCCAATTAGGGTCCATTAATAATAGATTTTTAAAAAAGGCGTGCTGCTTTTCGAGAATATGATAGGTTGAGTACCTAGCAAGACTTCTAATTTCTTTTTATTAAAAGTACTATTTTAGGATTGAGAATTTTTGGCGTTGACACTGAAACCAGGAATAAGGAAGCCTGCAGCAGTCTTAGCAGTTTGACACCACCAGTAGGTGTTTCTGTTGACAAATGCAGAGAAGAGAACATTTGGGAAGGAAATCTTTTTTTCGGGGCGGGGGTTGGGGGGGAGGTGAGGGTGGTTGAGGGGGGAAGGAGCCAGAAGAGAGAAGCTAATGCTGCCAGCACTGTATGCTGAGCATTTCACAAGTACAAGGAAACCTAATTAGGGAAAAATTCCGTTTGGCTCTATTAAATAATAGAACTACAAAAGAGGCATACTAAATAAAGTTAACCATTCCAAGAGTGTTAGATATTATCTGCCATTTCAGAGTAGTTGGGGGTTCCTCAATTGGAGAGGGTATCAAATCTCTTTGAATTGTCTTGCCTTTTTAACATAGTCAATGCAGCGATTAATTTGCTAGATGTATATATATCAAACAGTTGAGTATTCCAGTTTTGTTGTTTAGCATATTTCCTAAGCCTAAATTTTTTAAAATCAAAATCCGATATATTTTTTTTAAATTTGAAATAGAATTCTTTGTCCAGAGAGTAATTCCTTTTTTCCTGGCTCAGTCTTAAAATTTATTCATGATTTAGGGGTTTGTGATTGGTATTTTTTTACCCCTTTTTCTCAGGTTTTTGATTTTTACTTATGCAAGTTCCCTAAGTCTGCCTTTGTTTATATTGTAATTTTCTTGGAATTATTTAAATCAGAGTGTGGCATCTATTGTGTCCCCTGGGGTTTTAAAAGGAAAGGCTCCCATTGAAAGAAATTGCAGGGCCGTCTCGCATAGATGGGTAATAGAAGGTTGACTGATTGCGAATCAGATGTATTCGGTTGCAAATATGCTGCTTGGGGTTAAGGCAGTTTCAGTTAACGGGAACCAGATTTTACGTGGTGTTTCTACTTTGAAGGTACAGTATTGTTACATTACAAACTGAAAGACAGAGGTGGAGAAATTCCTTTAAGTATCACCCCTAGCCTTGTTTCACCACTGTGTCCAGGAATCTATGAGAGACTGTTAACAATAGCTGCATTGTTGGAAATGACAGTGGCTTCTCTTGCAGAAAGTTAACCTTTCATTATGATTTTCATTTCAGTTTACTTTGTAAAAGAAAATTTAGCTTTATCTGAGAAATTGGCTGTAAGAAATTTGCAAAGAGAGCAAGGAAAATAGGTTTTCTTCAACGTGTCTGTTAAAATTCACATTCTCTCCCCTTCCGTTTTGATAACTGGTGGTGATCTTTATTTCCTCTAGATATTAGGTATGCTAACACAGTACCTGATTTTTGGCAGTTACTGTGGGAATATGACTTTTTTATGTAATAAATTGATGTCAAATAATAATATGAGGCTTTTAGGAATAATTAATTCACATGCATAGATCTAAAACATGAGGGAAATCTTTTAGATGACCCTTCACTTTGGTACAAGAATAGCACAATTTGAAGTATTAAGTTGCTTTCTAAGTAGAAAAAGCTATTTACTCAGAATTGGGTAATTTTAGATTTTAAAGTTTTTTTTTTTTTTTTGCAACATCAAATAATTTGGCAACATCAAATTTCTTGTTAAAGGAGGCGACAGAATCTCACAGATTCTTTATCATCTGATCATGGCATCAGTTGGACTACATTTCAACTTAGGACAATAATGCAATTAAAAGACTACATTTAAACTTTCTGTTTGGAGGTTTTTCTAATTTGCTTTCAATCTCAAGCCCAATGTTAGAAATCTTTTGTTGGTGACGCACAATTTTAGTGTTCAGATTTTAGGTTTTGATCGTTTTTAGAATTTTTTTTTATGTGTGTAGAGCAGCGCATGGATGACTGAATTAATCAAAGATCTGGCCTCATTTCTCATTCAAGTTTGTACATTTCTTCACACTGAGATACGAGCTTGGGTGCAATTCTGTTGGTGGGCGTGAAAGCTGAGGGTAAGGACCTTCTACCTAGAGACTGATAACATTTAAATATTTCAGATTTGGGAATTAATAGAAAGTTATTTATTAGGTTAAAAGGAACTAGCCCATTCAGGTATTTGAAAATGATTGTCAATACTTTGAATTAAGCTCTTAGAAACATTGGGGTTTGAGACAATCCTAATCAGGGTCAGGTTTTGGGTGTGGTCTCTCTTTTGGGCAGTCTTCTCTGTAATAATTATAATACTCCATCTATTGAGCCTTACTGCATGCCAGACACTGTGACACGTAATTTATTTGCATGAATACATGTGTGTTCTCACAACAGCTCTATGAAGTAGGTCTTCTTACCTCCTGTATACATGTCAAATGGGCTCAGAGAAATAAAGTACTTTGCTCAGATTACCCAGCTAGTCATCAGAAACAGCAAAATTGCCATCCAAACTGGTCTGACTTGAAGCCGTGCTCTTCAAAACCATGCTTTCTGCTTCTCTTTAGGAAACTGATTTCCCAAGCATATTTATTTTTGACACCGGGTCTCACTCTGTTGCCCAGGCTGAAGTGCAGTGGTGTGATCACAGCTTGCTGCACCCTTAACTTGGCAGACTCAGTGGATCCTCCCATCTCAGCCTCCTAGTAGCTGGAGACTACAGGCACGTGCTCCCATACCAGGCCAATTTTTCTTTATTTTTAATAGAGGCGGGGTCTCATGATGTTGCTCAGGCTGGTCTTGAACTCCTGGCGTCAAGCGATCCTCCTGCTTTGGCCTCCCAAAGTGCTTGGACTACAGGCATGAGCCACCGCCAGGCCCACCCCAAGGGTATTTTGAGTTCCTACTGTATATTATGCCTCGGGTGTACTGAAGGTATATGTATGCTTCTTGGAGTTCATGGGCTACATTGGCAAGGCTGCTGGACCTTTAGTCACATGGGGGACTGAACTCAGATCCATCAGGACTGCTAGATAGGACAATTGGAAGTGCAGACTTTTCTAACCAGAGGGTCAGACTTTTCTAACAGAGGTTCTGTTTCTTCATAAATGAAGGCTGTACATAATCATGCCAAAAATGAGGTAGTTGTTTCTAATTAGCTACTTGGTATTTCATGTTTCTGGATATTGCATTATAACTTTTGATGGACTTTGATTACATTTGCTACACTAATAAAGGCTTCGAAGATACTCCTTGAATTCAATTTTGTGGCTTAGATATACCCTTGAAGTAAAATGGCAGCCATTATAATTTGCAGATGGGCACCTCTTGTGTAATTATGACCAGTGAAATAAAATCTGGAGGTAAAGTCTATAGAGATATATTATTGTGTGTGCGTGTTTTTTTGAGATGGAGTCTCGCTCTGTTGCCTAGGCTGGAGTGCAATGGCGTGATCTCGGCTCACTGCAACCTCCGTCTCCTGGGTTCAAACGATTCTCCTGCCTCAACCTCCCAAGTAGCTGGGATTACAGGTGCATGCCACCATGCCCAGCTAATTTTTTTGTATTTTAGTAGAGACGGAGTTTCACCGTGTTGCCCAGGCTGGTCTCGAACTCCTGAGCTCAGACAGTCCCCCCGCTTCAGCCTCCCAAAGTGCTAGGATTACAGGCATGAGCCACTGCGCCCACCGCTTGTTGTGTGCTAATACAGAGGTTGGACTCTGAAAATTTTTCTACATGAAAGTAGAACTTTCTGCTATTTAAAGCTTCTTGTGATTAAAACAAATTTTCTTTACATTTTTAATTTTTTTTTTCTTTTTTTTTTGAGATGAGTCCCCCACTCTGTTGCCCAGGCTGGAGTGCAGTGATGGGATCTCGGCTCGCCGCAACCTCCGCCCCCCAGGTTCAAGTGATTCTCTTGCCTTAGCCTCCTGAGTAGCTGGAATTACAGGCGCCTGCCACCACGCCTGGCTAATTTTTTTGCATTTTTAGTAGAGACGGGGTTTCACCATGTTGGCCAAGTGGTCTCGAACTCCTGACCTCAGGTGATCTTCCTGCCTCGGCCTCCCAAAGTGTTGGGACTACAGGCATGAGCCACCGCACCTGGCGGTGATTTTTTTTTAAAACAAGACCCATCATTAAGAGAACTAAACAGTTATGTGCCCTAAGGAACACTTAGAAGTCCATGTTAGGAAAAAAGAAAACTTAACATCTTTTTCTGTAATCGATTAAAATCACTTTTGTTACCTATTTAAGTTAGAAAGTGCTGATGAATACTGTAGAGCCTCAGGGCCAGAAATATCTTGGCCAAAGCAGGACCATATTTCTACACAGGTGGGACCTGTGTGTTAATTTTGTTGATTTCTTTTCTTTTTTTTTTTTTTTTGAGACGGAGTCTCGCTCTGTTGCTCAGGCTGGAGTGCAGTGGCGCGGTCTCGGCTCACTGCAAGCTCTGCCTCCCGGGTTCACGCCATTCTCCTACCTCAGCCTCTGGAGTAGCTGGGACTACAGGCGCCCGCCACCATGCCTAGCTAATTTTTTTTTTTGTATTTTTAGTAGAGACGGGTTTCACCATGTTAGCCAGGATGGTCTCGATCTCCTGACCTCGTGATCTGCCCACCTCGGCCTCCCAAAGAGCTGGGATTACAAAATTTTGTTGATTTCTTTATAACGTAATGGAGGTGTACTTTACATACCATAAAACTCACCTTTTTAGTGTATGATTCAATTATTTTTAAGTTAATTTATGGAGTTGGTGTGACTATCATTACAATCCAGTTTTAGAACATTTCCATCACCCCCCAAAATTCTCTCCTGTCAATGAGTTTTTTTTAACCTTATTTACTTGCTTCACCTAGACCTCTCCTTTTTTTGAGACAGGGTCTCACTCTGTTGCCTAGGCTGGAGTGCAGTGGTGTGATCTCACCTCACTGCAACCTCCACCTCCCAGGCTCGAGCGATCCTCCCACCTCAGCCTCTTGAGTAGCTGGAACTACAGGCACATGCCACTGCACCTGGCTAATTTCTTTCTTTCTTTCTTTCTTTCTTTTTTTTTTTTTTTTTGAGATGGAGGCTCGCTCTGTCACCCAGGCTGGAGTGCAGTGGTGTGATCTTGGCTCACTGCAACCTCTGCCTCCTGGGTTCAAGCGATTCTCCTGCCTCAGCCTCCTGAGTAGCTGGGATTACAGGCATGTCCACCATGCCCGGCTAATTTTTGTGTTTTTAATAGAGACAGGGTTTCACCATGTTGGCCAGGCTGGTCTTGAACCCCTGACATCAGGTGATCTGCCTGCCTCAGCCTCCCAAAGTACTAGGATTATAGGCATGAGCCATCATGCCTGGCCCACCTGGCTAATTTTTGTATTATTAGTAGAGACAGGATTTCACCATGTTGGCTAGGCTGGTCTCGATCTCCTGGGCTCAAGCAATCTGCCCGCTTCGGCCTCCTAAAGTGCTAGGATTACAGGTGTAAGCTACCGTGCCTGGCCAACCTAGATCTTTTTGTCATCAGATACTGACAAATGAAATCATGTAGATCTTAAAAGATGTCTTTTTTTTTTTTTTTTTTTGAGACCGGATCTCAACTCTGTCACTCAGGCTAGAGTGCAGTGGTGTGATCACGGCTCACTGCAGTCTCCACCTCCCCAGGCTCAAGTGATCCTCCCACCTCAGCCTCCTGAGTAGCTGGGACTACAGGTGCAGGCTGCCATGCCTGGCTAATTTTTTTGTATTTTGTAGAGATGGGTTCTCACAGTTTTGCTCAGGCTGGTCTTGAACTCCTGAGTTCCCTACTTTGGCCATTCCCCTACTTTGGCCTCCCAAAGTACTGGGATTACAGGCATGAACCACTGTGCCTGGTCTAAAAGATGTCCTTAAAAAATATCTTCTGGAGACCAGGCGTGGGTGGCTCACGCCTGTAATCCCAGCACTTTGGCAGGCCGAGGCGGGCGGATCATTTGAGGTCAGGAGTTTGAGACCAGCCTGGCCAACATGGTGAAACCCCATCTCTACAAAAAATACAAAAATCAGCTGAGTGCAGTGGTGTGCACCTGTAGGCCCAACCTCCTGGGAGGCTGAGGTGGGAAGATGGCTTGAGCTTGGGAGGCAGAGGTTGCAGTGAGCCAAGATCGTATCACTGCACTCCAGCCTGGGCAACAGGAGTGAAACCCTGTCTCAAAAAAAAAAAAGAAAAGAAAAGAAAAAAAATACACTTCTCGGCCGGGCCTGGTGGCTCACGCCTGTAATCCCTAGCACTTTGGGAGGCCGAGGCAGGCGGATCACCTGAGGTCGGGAGTTCGAGACCAGCCTGACCAACATGGAGAAGCCATCTCTACTAAAAATACAAAATTAGCCGGGCCTGGTGGCGCATGCCTATAATCCCAGCTACTCGGGAGCCTGAGGCAGAAGAATTGCTTAAACCGGGGAGGTGGAGGTTGCGGTGAGCCGAGATTGCATCATTGGACTCCAGCCTGAGCAACAAGAGCGAGACTCCGTTTAAATAAAAAAAAAAATTTTCACACACAGTATCATTTCATAATGCTTTTTGTATTTTCAAAAGTTCTTGCCTATGCATAATACATAGCGGAATTTAAAGGATCATAACTGCAAATGATATAAATTACCTTGTGTTTGTGGCTTAAATTTTATTTTCATTTGATCTTTTTTAAACCAGCAAATAAAATACAACATTCTTGGTGATATGTTGGGAATGCAGGGAAAATAAATGAAGGTAAAAGTAATGTAATTATTGTGCAAGAAAAAGTTACTTTCAAATGTAAGAGCACAGGGAAACAATTGGTTTTCTTGATTTTAAGCTAATGACATTGTGCATTTTGTTGTTTGGACCTCTAATCCCCCTTGACAGATCCATGCCTAATGCGCGTGTCGTAGAGCAGGCTTCATCAAATTTAGGTATTTAGACACTGTGTCTACTTCAGACTGGATTGTGATGGGATTTGCAAACAGCTTAACATGCAAGGTACTGTAACTGCCTTTTCCTGCCTGCATCATTTTCTTCTTAGTTACCTTCTAGGGTGGGCTGAGGAGTAAGGCCAGCTTAGGAACGGGAAGTCTCATCAGCACAGGCTGATCCCCACTTGTGCAGGTTTCCTCCTTTGCTCAGTGTATTGCTTGGGTAGACGGACACTGCTTAGGGATGTTATTTTTTTGGGTACATATAGGAGAGGAATGTAATGGTTTGGTTAGAAGTAAAGTGTTTTGGAAAATGTATCTAATTTTCTTTGCTTTTAGATGAACATTTCTCTATGGAAAGTGACCCTTATATGTACCAGGCAGGTAAATCAATAACTCCTTGTGTGGTTGGTTGTGTCTGGATTTTTAATGGCAAACAGGTTAGACACACGGCACTGGTCTGATATTAATATTTTACTGTCAGTTCAATCGTAACTGGTTTGAAATAGGCATAGGTAACATGAAGTGCCAGTGTAACTTGATTTTGATAGTAAGAACAACTTTGGTTTCTGGAAATTAACAAAACATATATAAATAATATATATTGTTTAAAAGGATTATGTTATTTTAGGTAAGTTGCAATTTTAGATATCAGTTTTAAACTGTGTATTTTGTATTATGGGCCAGGCATGGTGGCTCATGCCTGTAATCCCAGCACTTTGGGAGGCCAAGGTGGGCGGATCCCTTGAGGTCAGGAGTTCGAGACCAGCCTGGACAACAAGGTGAAACCCTCTCTCTACAAAAAATACAAAAATTAGCTGAGTGTGGTGGCACGCACCTGTAATCCCAGCTACTCAGGAGGCTGAGTCGGGAGAGTCCCATGAACCTGGGAGGCAGGGGTTGCAGTGAGCCAAGGTCGCACCACTGTACTCCAGCCTGGGCCACAGAGTGAGACTCTATCTCAAAAAGGAAGAAAAAGATTTTGTATTATGTTTAAAGATTAGGTTCTTGGAAGTATGAGATTGTATTTTGATAATTAAAGTAAACATATACAGTCTCATGAGGAAGATATGACAGATAAAAAAAGGTGGTGAGTAATAGTTGAAGAACAACTTACTGACCCGGATTTACCTGATTACCCTGACATTGCTGATTTTAGAAACTAATTTCCTGATGAGTAGAATCTTTCAAAGATTACCAGAGGCTGGGTCAGATGTGACATATCCTAGAATTTATCCACACCCTCAGACACACACCCCACCAAGGTTTGTCAGCCGCTTATGGGATATATTAACTTTAATTGCTAGTAATTATTATTCCTAATATTACCACTAAATTCAAGTTTAGCAATGCAAATGAAAAGAAAAAATTTGATTTTAATTGTACTTACTGAAAATAGTTGGGGTAGACAAAAGCTAATTTTGTGCAAATAATTATTTTATACTTTATCAATTATTTATTTCTCAAATAACCTGTCCTACATCCTGAGGATCTGTCCTTCATTCATTTAACAAATATTACTTAATGATTCTGTATTGTGTGCCAGACTTTGCTGGAGACTACATGGAGTGATAAAATGTAAGTAGGCCCTGCCCTCAAAAAATTAATTAATTAATTTTTGAGACAGAATCTCACTCTGTCTCCCAGGCTGGAGTGCAGTGGTGCGATCTTGGCTCACTGCCACCTCCGCCTCTTGGGTTCAAGCGATTTTTGTGCTTCAGCCTCCCAAGTAGCTGGGACTACAGGTGCGTGCCTCCACACCTGGCTAATTTTTGTATTTTCAGTAGAGACGGGGTTTCACTATGTTGGCCAGGCTGATTTCGAACTCCTGACCTCAAGAGATCCACCCACCTTGGCCTCCCAAAGTGCCATGATTACAGGTGTGAGCCGGCCAAAGAATTTAGTCTTGAGATGGAGGCAGAGGAGAACTGCAGAACACTATGGGAGTGTACTTGACCCTTGAACAAGGTAGGGGTTAGGGTGCTGACCCTCACGCAGTCAAAAATCCAAGTATAACTTTTGACCCCCCCAAAAACTTAACTACTAAAATGGCCTACTGTTGACTGGAAGCCTTATTGGTAATATAAATAGTCAATTAACACATTGTTTTGTATGTTATATGTATTATGTAGTATATTCCTACAGTAAAGTAAGCCAGAGAAGAAAATGTTATTAAAATCATAGGAAGAGAAAAGATACTTACTATTCATTAAGAGGAAGTGGATCATTATAAATGTGCTCATCGTCTTCACATTGAGTAGGCTGAGGAGGAAGAGGGAGGGGTTGTCTTGCTGTCTCAGCAGGGGCAGAGGTGGAAGAGGTAGAGAAGGTGGAAGGGGAGGCAGGAGAGGGAGGCACACTCAGTGTAATTTATATTGAAAAAAAATCTGGGTATAAGTAGATCCATGCAGTTCAAACCTGTGTTGTTCAAGGGTCAACTGTATGTAACAGGGTAGGGTTGGAGAGTCTGTCCTTGGGGGAAGAGGTGGGAAGGTCGCTCTGAGGAAGTAACATTTAAGTGAGACCCGAAGAATGAGAAGGACCTGGTCTAGTTGGGGAAATAAGTTTTCCAGACAGAAGGTGCAAATGTGATGAGGCAAGGTGAGAGAGCTGGGGTTTTTGCACAACAGAACCTTTTAAAGAACTGAAAGAGGGCTGGGCATGGTGGCTCACACCTGTAATCCCAGCACTTTGGGAGGCTGAGGCAGGCAGATCACTTGAGCCCAGGAGTTTGAGACCAGCCTGGGCAACATGGCAAAACCCCATTTCTACAAAAATGCAAAATTAGCCAAGTGTGGTGGTATGTGCCTGTAGTCCCAGCTACTCCCAGAGAGTAAGCTGGGAGGATTGCTTGAGCCCAGGAGCTGGAGGCTGCAGTGAGCCGTGATTATGCCACTGCACTCCAGCCTGGGTGACAGCGAGACTCTTGACTCAAAAAAAAAAAAAAAAAAAAAAAAAGAACTGAAAGAAATCTAAAACGACCAGAAAATAGAGAAACAGGCATTGAAGCACAAGTTGGCAGCAGGGGCCAGGTCTTGAAAAGGTTTAGTAGGCCATTTTGCTGGGTTTTTGAACTTGTCCTAAATCTCCTGGGAAACGGTTGAAGATTTTAAGGAGGGGTGTGACATGAAATGAAATGCTACAAAACCCAAGAATTTTAGTTCAATGGAACCTTGGTAATTTACCAGAAAGGTCATAATCTCTGCAAAGTAAAATATTCTTCCCTTGTTTCATTAAAATTTTTGTAACTCCTTTCTTGATTGATTGTCGTCTGCGGTACTCCTTTCATTGTTTTTGTAGAAATTCCCTTTAATTTTCTAAAGGTACCTTTTCTTTTATCCCTCACTGTTCTGTTAACCTTATATAGGAATGTCATTTCTATTTATAACTGAATTAGAATATTTTTTCTAACAGCTTTAGCTCTCTTCCATATTTAAACTTAAAATTCTTTGCTGTTTTTTTCCCTCCAGACACCTTTAATCTGCTCGAAGTATTTAATGTTTTAACGAAATGTTTCATTAAGTTTGCTTTATTCTTTTGTTCTTCCAAATACAGTGTCTTAGATCTAGTTTAATATTTCTCAGCATTTATGCTATTTCATGTTTTATGAAATCACATGTGAGCACCCAGAATGTTTTTAGAAAATTTTGTTACTATTGTATAGGAGCACTACTCTTCATCAGGAGCACCATTTTCAAATCTGGTTCACATTCTGTGGCCTTATCTTTTACATTAAATTGGTCTCTGTTAAACATTTTATGTTCAGGTGGGCTTATGTATATATAAGTGCTATAAAGGTGTTATTTTTTATATCCTGATTTGTTTCTTTCTCCGACAATAAATGCCCCTACATGCTGAATTCTTTTTAGGAAATCTTTGCCATACTAAGTTTGTGATTGCCTTGGTGATTGTGTGAGCATTCATTCAAGTCTTTCTTGGTGTAAAGTTGTTAGCTCATGCCTGTAAAGAATACTTTTGCCCACTGTTCCTCTCCACATATACGAAGAATAACTGCAGCATCACCTCTTTCAAATAGTTCCTTGGAAATCTACATAGTGATTCAGGCTTGAATTGAGTTCGCTTTTGCCATGAGTTATTTTCTTTCTTTTCTTTTTTTTTGAGACGGAGTCTTGTTCTCTTGCCCATGCTGGAGTGCAGTGGCGCAATCTCGGCTCACTGCAACCTCCGCCTCCCGAGTTCAAGCGATTCTCCTGCCTCAGCCTCCCGAGTAGCTGGGATTACAGGCATGTGCCCCCACGCCCGGCTAAGTTTTGTATTTTTAGTAAAGACGGGGTTTCACCATGTTGGCCAGGCTGGTCTCAAACTCCTGACCTCATGATCTGCCTGCCTTGGCCTCCCACAGTGCTGGGATTGCAGGCTTGAGCCACCATGCCTGGCCTGAAGAGGTACACTCAACAGGCACTTAAGGGGACTGGGAAAGGAAATGACTCTTGAGTGCTTGTGAAGAGTCTTAAAGGAAGTCCAGAATGTCAGGTGCAGGTAAAGGGTTTACAGGCAGAGGGTGCATTAAAAGACAAGGATCTGGCTGGCCGCGGTGGCTCATGCCTGTAATTCCAGCACTTTGGGAGGCCGAGGCAGGTGGATCACGAGGTCAGGAGTTCAAGACCAGCCTGGCCAACATGGTGAAACCCCCGTCTCTACTAAAAATACAAAAATTAGCCGGGCGTGGTGGTGTGTGTCTGTAGTCCCAGCTACTCAGGAGGCTGAGGCAGTAGAATCTCTTGAACCCTGGAGGCGGAGGTTGCAGTGAGCCAAGATTGCACCACTGCCCTCCAGCCTGGGCGACAGAGCGAACCTCCGTCTCAAAAAAAAAAAAAAAAAAAAGACAAGGATCTAAGGATGGGCATATAAAGCTGGGAGAATTGCAAGAAGTAATGTTTATTTATGTATTACATGCTTTGCTTTGATGCTTGTACCCTAGCTATATCCCAGGATCTTTTCTACTGTAAGCTCCGTGGAGGCAAGGAGTGTTGACTGTTGTACCCTCAGTATGTGGCACATTGCCTTGCACATAGGAAGTGCTCAATAAACACTTCCCTTATCAAAGGTGCCCCTTTTTGCCCCCCCCCCCGCCCCCCACCATTTCCTCATGTCTGTATCTTCTTCCTTGTGCAGTGGTATATCAGGTGCCTATCCAGTGGATCCTCCTCTCTGCTTACCCTATAGTTATGCCTGTCCTGTGTCTAGTTACCTGTGTAAGATATGTAATTGTTATAATTGGATCCACACTGGTAAATGAGTAGGTGCTAATAGCTCTCTGTGGGGCTCCAGAATCTTTTCTACCAACATTTATGGTATGGCAGATGAAGGGGAAGCCAAAGGTGACAACTACCAGAGTGACATATCTGAGCTTTTTTTCATGATTTATTGCATGAATTCATTGAAATGCTGAGTTCTATTCCATAATAGGTGTGTGTGTGTGTGTGTGTGTGTGTGTATGTGTATCTACATTGTACAATACAGGCATACTTTGGAGATAGTTTTGGTTTTAGACCACCACCATAAAGCAAATATTGCCATAAAGCAAGTCACACAAATTTTGTGGTTACTGAGTGCATATAAAAGCTTTGTTGGCTGGGCGTGGTGGCTCACGCTATATCCCAGCACTTTGGGAGGCCAAGGCAGGCAGATCACCAGAGGTTGGGAGTTCGAGATCAGCCTGGCTAACATGGTGAAACCCCATCTCTACTAAATATACAAAATTAGCTGGGTGTGGTGGCTCCCACCTGTAATCCCAGCTACTCGGGTGGCTGAGGCAGGAGAATCGCTTGAAGCCAGGAGGTGGAGGTTGCAGTGAGCTGGGATTGCATCACTGCACTCCAGTCTGGGCGACAGAGTGAGATTTGGTCTCCAAAAAAAAAAAAAAAAGCTTTGTTTATACTATACTGTAGTCTATTAAGTGTGCAATAACATTATGTCTAAAAAAAAAAAGCACATACTTTAATTAAAAATAATTTATTGCCAAAAAATGCTAGCAATAATTTGACCCTTCAGTGACCCATAACCTTTTTGCTGGTGGTGGGTTTTGCCTTAGTATTGATGGTGACTGACTGATCAGGATGGTGGTTGCTGAAGGTTGGGGGATCTGTGGCAGTTTCTTAAAATAGGACAGCAATGAAGTTTGCCATATCTGTTGACTGTTCCTTTCATTGTAGGTTCTTCTGTAGCATACGATGCTGTTTGATAGCGTTTTACCCACATTAGAACTATTTCTCCAAGCCTGCTGCTGCTTTATCAACTAAGTTTATAGAGTAGTGTATTTTTGAAATAGTCATTTCAAAAATGTTTAAGGCATCTTTACCAGTAGATTTCATCTCAGAAAAACAGTTCCTTTGTTCTTCCATAAGCAGCAACTCCTTTGTCCATTCATGTTTTATCATGAGATCACAGCAATTCAGTCATATCTTCAGGCTCCTCTTGCCTTGGCCTCCCAAAGTGGTAGGATTGTAGGTGTGAACCACTGCACCTGGCCATATCATTTTTTTGTGTGTGTTTTGGGTTTTTTTAGACGGAGTTTTGCTCTTGTTGCCCAGACTGTAGCACAATGGCACTATCTTGGCTCACTGCAACCTCTGCCTCCCGGGTTCAAGCAATTCTCCTGCCTCAGCCTCCCAAGTAGCTGAGATTACAGGCATGTGCCACCACACCTAGGTAATTTTGTATTTTTAGTAGAGACGGCGTTTCACTGTGTTGGTCAGGCTGGTCTCGAACTCCTGACCTCAGGTGATCCACCCACTTCAGCCTCCATATAATCTTTGTGTCTTTAAATGGGTATGTCTTTCCTTCTGCTAGGCCGTTAGTGCTGGTATTTGAGTTAATCTAGTTAGGAATTGGTGTAGCCAAGTCCAAGGTTGTACTACTCACCAAATGACAGCCAATAAGTTAAGAGACAAGGTGTTGGCGCAAAGAAAGCAACCTTATTTGGAGAGCCAGCAACCTGAGAAGATGGTGGACTAGTAATGTCCGAAAGAACCATCTTAATATGAATTTTCGCCTCCTTTTATGTTAGAGGAAGAGGGAAGAGGGAGGAGGTTGAGGTCAAGAGATGACTATGATGACCACAGACATCTAGGTGGCAGTGAGGGTCTGTGGAGGTTGTGAAACTTCTTTGTCCTTGGTCAGGTCACAATACTATAAATCTTTAACATGGCTGGGCATGGTGGCTCACTCCTGTAATCCTAGCACTTTGGGAAGCCGAGTCAGGCAGATAACTTGAGTCTAGGAGTTCAAGACCAGCCTGGGCAACATGGTGAAACACCGTCTCTATCAAAAATACAAAAATTAGCTGGGTGTGGTGGCACACACCTGTAGTCCCGCTACTCAGGAGGCTGAGGTGGGAGGATCACCTGAGCCCAGGAGGTCGAGGCTGCAGTGAGCCATGATTGCACCACTGCACTCTAGCCTGGGTGACAGAGTGAGACCCTGTCTCAAAAAAAAAAATCATTAACAACGTTGTTACTTGTGTGTACACTGCCCCTATCTCTTCAGGGGTTTTCAGAAGGGACTATTTGCTTTAAACTATAAACTGAATTTCTCCCATAGTTAGATGGTTTCACTGGGTGGTGGTGGGGGGGCTTAGAAGCAAAATGATGTTAGTCATGCTAGGCTTCCTTTTCACTGTTACATTGGGCTGGATTTGAGTTTTTTTGTGTTGTTATGGTTAACCTAGTGTACCCCAGTTTTCAAATTCTCTTAGAGATACTTTGTGATCAGGGTGGGAATTGGTTTACCAGAACAGTGTCTGTTCCAGTCTAAATTTCAGGTCTCCCCTTCGAAGTGTGCTTTAGTGAGGGTCTCTTTACATACTCTTGATTTTCTCCCGTCCCTTTCTCAGTGATATTCTGCTCTTACTGTTCCTGGAAGTTTGTTTGCTTGGAGGTGGGGAGGGGTGATAGGATGTGGTCTCTGTTCTTGATTAAGCCTCAGTTTCAGGCCTGACTCTCAGGATCTTGCCCCTTCCCTGGCTGTTGTATTGGGCTCAATGTGGAATCCTACCCCTCTCCCAGGACTTGGGCCCCCACCCCTCCTCCCTGCTGCTCTGATTTTTCACTATTGTCTTAAGGGTAGAAGTAACCATTGTCCTTTCTGTCACAGTGAAGGCTTGTCTTCCTGAGTGGAGATAGGGGAGAGTGATCTGAGGGTAGTGTCCAGCCTCTCAGGCTTAGCTGCTGCCCACCCCCAGGTTTGCATCACAATGAGCCTACCTCAGGACTCTTTAGAGCTCTGAGTGAGTGGGGTGGGGGAGTTGGAGGAGGAAGACCCTACAGGAAGTTGAGGTATCATATCCTCAATTTCTGTGACCCCCAGTGGTTTCACACTATCTTTTCAGCAAGCCACATTGGATTTCACGCATTTACTGACTCTTCTACCCGTTCTTTTTGGTGTCCAGCTGTACTCTCCAACAGGCGAGCACATGGTCGTCTCCTCTCTCCCTTCAGGTACTCTCCTTAGTTTTTGAGCCAACTGGTTGCTCTGTTGGTTTTTTTGTTTTGTTTTGTTTTGTTTTGTTTTGTTTTGTTTTGTTTTGAGGCGGAGTTTCGCTCTTTCGCCCAGGCTGAAGTGCTGTGGCGCGATCTCGGCTCACTGCAAGCTCCGCCTCCCGGGTTCACGCCATTCTCCTGCCTCAGCCTCCCGAGTAGCTGGGACTACAGGTGCCCGCCTCCACGCCCGGCTACTTTTTTTGTATTTTTGGTAGAGACGGGGTTTCACCATGTTAGCCAGGATGATCTCAATCTCTTGACCTCGTGATCCGCCCGCCTCGGCCTCCCAAAGTGCTGGGATTACAGGTGTGAGCCACCGCGCCTAGCGCTCTGTTGGGTTTAAAGAAAGTCTTGAATTTGAAATTAGTTCAGCTCTTTTTCATTGTAGTTCTCTTATTCCAGGGTTTAAGCCAGAAATTTGGTTACTCTTAAAATTTTAACATGAGCGTTTCCTTAAGTCTAAGCTTAATTATTATTCCTGTCCTCCTGAATAAGACCAAGAGTTTGGAATGATTTACTCCTTAACCGTCAGCCCCTCTTCCATGTTAATGTTATTTATGTGTTAGTTTTGCCTTATTTAAGCCACCTTACACCAATAAAAATAGTGAATATTTACTCATGTGCTTTTCAGGTTTCTTTGCTCACCATTCTTCCTTCACTCCATTTCTTCCTTCTTGGTTCAGTTTCTTCCTTCTTTATTAAAAAATGTTCTTAATTATTTCAGTAAGGGCCCCTTAATAGTAAATTTGGTTTTGGTGTTTGTGAAAGTGTCTGTACTTCACTTTTTCCCTTGAATGGTTGTTGAGCTGGGTCCAGAATTTTGGGTTAATTCCTTTCCCCGAGTACTTTGATGTTATTCTCTTGTGTTTTGACAAATTTGTAAATTTTTTTTAACTTTTAAGTTTGGGGCTACATGTGAAGTTTTGTTACATAGGTAAACACATGTCACAGGGGTTTGTTGTACATATTATTTCATCATCCAGGTAATAAGCCCAGTACCTAGTAGTTATCTTTTCTGCTCCTCTCCTTCCTCTCACCCTTCCCCTCAGGTAGAGGGGGATAGTTAATGTTATTCTTTTGTGTTTTGACAGATTTTTAAATTTTGTTTAACTTTTATTTTAGGTTTGGGGGTACACCTGAAGGTTTGTTACATAGGTAAACACATGTCTTAGGGGTTTGTTGTACAGATTATTTCATCACCCAGGTATTAAGCCCAGTACCCAATAGTCATTTTTTCTGCTCCTCTCCCTCCTCCCATCCTCCACCCTCAGGTAGTCCCCAATTTCTGTTGTTTCCTTGTGTTCATAAGTTCTTATCATTTAGCTCCCGTTAATTTTTAGTTTTTTGGTCTAGGCTGGTCTGGAACTCCTGGCTTCAAGTGATCCTCCTCAGCCTCCCAAAGATCTGGGATTACAGGTGTGAACCACTGCACCTGGCCTAGTTTTATTTGCTAATGACAAGTCAACAGTCAGTTTAGTTGTAATTTCGTTGTAGGTAAGTAATTCTCTCTCCTCTTGAGCTACTTTTAAGAGCTTTTCCTTGTTTATTTATTTATTTTTTATTTACAGTACTTTTGAGTTGCTGTTTATTTCCTTGTTTTTTTGATCTTCAGGGTTTTTTTTTTTTGCGATATCTCTAGGTGTGGATTTGTTTTATGTATCCTGCTTTTATTTGATGTATTCCATTAGTCTGAGGACCCCTGATGTCTTCAGCTGTGGGAGAAAATCTTAGCCATTATCTTTTAAAATAGTTTCGTCTCCATTTTCCATTTATGGAACCATTATTTAGATATGTTTTGGGATTTTTCATCACATCCTTCGTGTTGTTTAATTTACATTTCTATCTCTTCTGGCTAATCTCTTGACATCTATCATACGATTCACTAATTTCCTCTTTGGCTGTGCAGTTAATTTGTTAACTTATTGAGGGTTTCACTAAAAACATTTGGCTATATATAGTCAAATATATAAATATTGATATTTATACAAATATACAAATATATATGTGTGTACAAACATATATATACATGTTTTAAAGATAGGATCTTGCTGTGTTGCCCAGGTTGGTGTTGAACTCTTGGTCTCAAGTGATCCTCCCACCTTGGTCCCCCAAAGTGCTGGGATGTACAGGCATGAGCCACTGTGCCCCACCTCGAATATATTTTCAAATTTAAGAATTTCTGTTACATTTTCTTTCAAACCTGTATTTAAATTTTCTTTCAAATCAGCTTTTAAATTTTCATAAGAGCATTTTCTTTGGACATTTAAAAATATAGTTATGTTTAAGTCCTCTTTGGATTATTTTCTTAGCTGTAATTTTTGAGGAATGAAATCTCCCATTTGGCTTCCCTTCTTCCCTCCAAGATTTTTGCTGTTTCTCCGTGTGGTGTGCAGTATTTGACAATTTAACGATTGTTTGCCTATGCCCGGGTTGTGGAATGCTCTTTTGGTCTAGTTTTGCATTTGTCTCTGATGGGACCCTTTGGGTTCACTGCGTCTAGAGAGGTTTTGGTCTATTCTCAGATGGGTCTCCAGCACCTGGAAAGTAGTGTAAATTTTGACTCCATATTTGTGTAGAACAGACTTGGGGTTTTCCCTTCTGTTTGGGTCACTTTTTTTTTTTTTTTTTTTGAGACGGAGCCTTGCTCTGTTGCCTAGGCTGGAGTGCAATGGCACGATCTCAGCTCACTGCATCCTCTGGTTCCCGGGTTCAAGTGATTCTCCTGCCTCAGCCTCTTGAGTAGCTGGGATTACAGGCACACGCCACCACGCCCTGCTAATTTTTGTATTTTTAGTAGAGACAGGGTTTCACCATGTTGGTCAGGCTGGTCTCGGACTCCTGACCTCAAGGGATCTGCCCGCCTCAGCCTCCCAAAGTGCTGGGATTACAGGCATGAGCCACCGCATCCAGCCTGTTTGGGTCACTTTCTCTGCACAGCGCTGGGCTGGTGCTTGTAGCTTTTCTTTTTATTTTTTCACTCAAGGACAGTCCTTTATGTCTTTGTCTTTGTGCTAGTGGTTCACCTCCAGCTTCTTTCCCATGCACAGGCTTCAGGCAACTGATAATACTTTGGCTCAGTATCTCCACCCAAATCTGATCTCGAATTGTAATCCCCACATGTCAAGGGGAGGGACTTAGTGGGAAGTGACTGGATCATGGGGGCGGTTTCCCCCGTGCTGTTCCTGTGAGTTCTCATGAGATCTGATGATTTTATAAGGGGCTCTTCACCCTTTACACTCTGTGCCCTGCTGCCTTGTGGAGAAGGTGCCTGCTTCCCCTTCTGCCATGATTGTTAAGTTTCCTGAGGCCTCCCCAGCCATACGGAACTGGGGGTCAATTCAACCTTTTTCCTTTATAAAATAAATTACCCAATCTTGGGTAGTATCTTTAAAGCAGTGTGAGAATGGACTAATACAGGAAACTTCTCCAGTTTCCTGGTCCTGTAATCATTTGCATTTGCAGCCCTTGATTTAGAGGGCAGGGGTGAGCAGGTGTTTATCATATGAAGAATCTCATTTAATACGTTTTTCTGTCTTTGCAGCCACTCCTTTCTATTCTATTTTCTTCCTGACTGTTGATCAGGAAGTAGTTCTACCAGTTAAGAACAAGAAAGTAGGCTTGTAATCCCAGCACTTTGGGAGGCCGAGGTGGGCAGATCACCTGAGGTCAGGAGTTTGAGACCAGCCTGGCCAACGTGGTGAAACCCCGTCTCTACTAAAAATACAAAAAAAAAAAAAAAAAATTAGCCAGGGATGGTGGGCGGGCACCTGTAATGGGAGGCTGAGGCAGGAGAATCGCTTGAACCTGGGAGGCAGAGGTTGCAGTCCGTGAGCTGAGACCACGCCATTGCACTCCAGCCTGGGCAACAAGAACAAAACTCTGTCTCAGAAAAAAAAAACAAAAAAACAAAAAAACAAAACTGGGAAGTAGTTGTAACCACAGACAACCCCCACCTTGAACAGGTTATTTACCAAAAGTTCTTTTGGACATTGATTGTATAGAACACAGTTCACATTATCTGATAGGAACTATGTTATTTAAAAAATGGATTTGTTTCCCAGGTGAGCCTGAGGAGTCTGTTCTCTCCTTTATGCAGTTGAAATTCATATAGACTTGTGAGTTCTTTGGGACTGTAATCAATATACAGTATGTGATTTCTGTGGGAAGGTATAATACATTTTAACGTTCTCAGTGAAGAAGGGAGTATGCTGTTTTCCAACCCCAGTCGGTATTCCCTGGTGTGACCTGCCAGCTACCAGACCCCAACAGTTGTTACAAACTCTAGCCACTGTTTTCAAATCTGCCACTAAATATCACCACTCATACTCAGCACATGACCTTGCCTCCACTTCACTGAGAACTTTGAGCCATCTGGTTGATTTTCTTCACACTTCTACCAGTTTGTCATCCCTGCTTCTCCAGAGTTGCCCTCTCCTCCTGTCTCAGGGGATGAGATGCTTCTTCTGCTGTTTGAGGCAGTCCTTTGCCAGGAGCCTTAGGCTTCACTGCTGCTTCTTTGGCAGTCTTTTCTCATCAGTTATTCCCCTTCATTCTCCCCATTCTGTTCCCAGTGGCTGTCCACTTGGGGAGGAGGGGTGAAGATTTTGCCTCCAGGAGACATTTGGCAGTGTCTGCAGACATTTTTGGTTGTCACAATTGGGGGGTGGTGGTGATGCATGTGCTGCTAGCATCTAACGGGTAGAGGCGTGTAGATATCCTACAATGTACAGGACAGCCCCATGACAAAGGATTACCTGGTCCACAATGTCAGTAGTGCCTGGGTTGAGTAATGTTGCTGCATCCTCAGGGTCTCACTTTTGACTCCTTCGTTTTTCTCTGCCCATTATCTTATGCCTAAGATTCTCATCCTAGGAAACCTTCCCTGAACCACATGTCCAATCCTCTCCTAGCTACCTAACTTCTCCCCTTCTCACTGAAACTTCTGAAAGAGCGATTTACACGTAGTCTCTCATTCACTCTTCAAATTTTAGCTGTTGCTTTCTGGCTTCCCACCCCCACCGCTGCTTAAACTGTTTTTGCTGAGAATGCCTGTGACCTCTTGTGTGCTGCATCTAGTGGATTCATTTAGTCCTAATTTTACTTGACATTTTTGTTGCACCTGACACTGTTAATCACTATCCCCTTGAACCAATGTATTCCATTGTCATCCTTGTTCTCCATGTCCTTCTCTTGTATTTCTTTCCCTCCCTCCTGTGTGGGCTTCTTGATGATCTACTTACTCCTTACACACTGCTGTTACCTGGTTTTGACTTCTTAGCCAAGAATTATCATAGGTCATTGTCTCCATGAAGTACCTTAGTTACCCCAAGGATTTCAGTTGCACTTATATACAGATGTTTTTCTAAATTTCTAAATTCTTTTTTTTTTTCTTTTTGAGACAGGGTCTCACTCTGTTTCCCTGGCTGGAGTGCAATGGCATGATCACAGCTCACTGTATCCTCACCCTGTAAAAACGGGGTTTCTCTGTGTTGCCCAGGCTGGTCTCAGAACTCCTGGTTTAAGCGATCCAACTGCCTTGACCTCCCAAAGTACTGGGATTACATGCATCAGCCACCATGCCCGGCTTAAATTCTTCCATGACTTTTCCCCTCCAGGCTTTAGTGTCTCTTGTAATCTGCTGGAAATCTACACCTGAATATTCTATAGGTACCTTACGCTCAGCATGTCTAATGTGAAGTACATCTTTTCCTCAAACTTCGTTTTCTGAGATCCACCTGGGCTCCCAAGACAGATAGTGGGGTCTTGTCCAGTTCATATATTATCTACAGTTGCCAATGTGATATAAAATATGATTTAGGTCATATCACCTACTTGAAAGTCTGCACTGGTGCTGTCTTGGTAACAGAAAGAGAAAGACTGAATTCCCTTATTTTGCCCATCAGGCTCTCCTTGATATAGTCTCTGCCCACCCACCTCTCCAACCTCACATCATCTCTCTTCTGCCTCATACGCTATGCTCCGGCACGTATAGGTTCCTATACAATTTTGTTTCATACTTGATGTCTTTACTTTTTGTCTTTTGCCTGGAATGCAGTATTTTTCTATTGAATATGTGGGTTGCTTGCCTTCTGAGTGGTGAGATTCCCCATTCCTCATGGAAGCTACAGTTAATTGGCACCTTGCCCCACTTCTGTGGCCTCAACATTATGAGGAGTAAGGATGTCTGAATTATTTCAGAGAGCCAGGGCTTGGTAAATGCTGCATTAGTCTTGTTGAAAGAAGGTAGGGAGGGGACATTGGCAAGGGTGTTTCACAGCTCTTCAGTTGTTTCTTTCCTCAGTCCCTACTTCCTCTATTTTATTACCTTTCAGGGGTTCTTCTGGAAAAATGTATCTTTGGAGGGAGAGCCTCTTTTCTTTATTTTTTTAAATTTATTTATTTATTTTTGAGACGAAGTCTCACTCTGTTGCCCAGGCTGGAGTGCAGTGGCACGATCTCAGCTCACTGCAACCTCTGCCTCCTGGGTTCAAGCAATTCTCTGCCTCAGCCTCCTGAGTAGCTGGGATTACAGGCGCCCGCCACCATGACTGGCTAATTTTTTTGTATTTTTAGTAGAGGCAGGATTTCACCATCTTGGCCAAGCTGGTCTTGAACTCCTGACCTCATGACCCACCCGCCTTGGCCTCCCAAAGTGCTGGGATTACAGGCGTGAGCCACTGCGCCCGGCCTGAGAGCCTGTTTTCTTTGGGTTTTGCCATCTATTTTAACTTGCTTCAGTGCTCCTTGGAATTCCTCACTGATCTATGTGCTGAGAGCATCTCCTAGATTCTCAGGGCTGCTCTGGATTAATTTTTTATTTCTTTCGCTTATTTCACTGAGTTTTGGTGTGGGAGGAAAGGTAAATGTGTGTTTGGTCAGCCATTTTAAAGTAGAGCTTCAGTGCCCTGTCTTCGTGGGTTTCCCCCTTTTCTCTATTGCAGACATCATGGCCGAGAATGTCTTTTAAAGTGAATCATTGTGTACACCTTTGATCATTTTATTAAGATACTGGCCTTATATCCTGCCCTTCCCCCCTGCCGCCCCCCAGAATCACTGGGTGGTGATGGTAGATGATTCACATGGGAATGTGCTACACTTGTGAAAGATGTAGAGGAAATACTGCTGATTCTCCTGAAGGAAAAGTCTGTTAATTTTTCTCTGTTGGCCATTCTGGCCGCATGGTTTCTCCTTATTGTTTTTTTGTTGGATTTTAAAAATTACTAGTAAGATTGAACATTTATAAGATTCATTTGTTGCCCATTTATATTTTTTCCTGCATTTTCTTTTCATGTTAATAAAAGTTTTTTCCCCTTAATACGATTCCCTTAATTCTTTTTTTTTTTTTTTGGAGACGGAGGCTCACTCTGTCTCCAGGCTGGAGTGCAGTGGCGCAATCTTGGCTCACTGCAACCTCCACCTCCCATGTTCAAGCGATTCCCCTGCCTCGGCCTTCCGAGTAGCTGGGACTACCGGCGCATGCCACCACGCGCAGCTAATTTTTGTATTTTTAGTAGAGTCGGGGTTTCACCATGTTGGCCAGGATGGTCTCGATCTCTTGACCTCGTGATCTGCCCGCCTCGGCCTCCCAAAGTGCTGGGATTACAGGCATGAGCCACTGTGCCCGGTCCCCTTAATTCTTTTGAAGTGAAATAAGCAGATGCTGCCAAATGTAAGATATGGCCCGGTCCCCTTAATTCTTTTGAAGTGAAATAAGCAGATGCTGCCAAATGTAAGATATGTTGCTCAGTTTTTAGTGTAGATTTATTATGTTCTGATTCTTGGAAAATGAAAATCTACTCCTGGTTTTTTGGTTAATACATACCTCATGCGGTGGCTGTGAAAATTAAACTAAATAACATAGGTGAAGTGCCCAACACAGTACTTGGTACATAATAGGCAGCATTAAATACTAGTTCCTGTTATTCATTCTTTCTTCTTTGCCAGATTATTAAAATGACTACAGTACTCCACACCTTAGACAAAAAGTTGTTTTTACTGAACCCTTGTTCGATGAAGGACAGTATGCCAAATACCTTGAGGGATACAGAGATGTTTTAGGCTGCTTCCTGTCCAGGGATAAATATTAGCATACTATATATATAGTTACATTTTGAGGCTTTTTTTTTGAGACAGAGTTTTGCTCTTGTTGCCCAGGCTGGAGTGCAATGGCGCAGTCTTGGCTCACTGCAACCTCCGCCTCCTGGGTTCAAGCAATTCTCCTGCCTCAGCCTCCCAAGTAGCTGCAATTACAGGCATCCGCCACCACGCCCGGTGTTTTCTTGCATTTTTAGTAGAGATGGCGTTTCACCATGTTGGCCAGGCTAGTCTCAAACTCCTGACCTCAGGTGATCCACTTGCCTCGGCCTCCCAAAGTGCTGGGATTACAGGTGTGAGCCACTGTGCCCGGCCTTTTTTTTTTTTTTTAACATGCTGTTGTGAAAACCTTTTGGTCTTTTAACTGTTACTTTATTTGAGCACAGAACACTTTAAAGTTTGGTTGCCACATTTAATCCATGACACCTCTGTGAGAGTAGTTATTAGTTCCATTTTATAGATAGGGTCCCTGAAGGGTGGCAGGAGTAAAAATAGGGTATATTGGGATGTAGAAGAATGCTAACCATTATTGTTTCCAACCTTGGTAGGTATAGAGTAAATACTTGTTGAATGAATGAATGTTCTTTTATAAGTTGTGTATTAAGCCCATACCTAAATCTTATCTCTACTTCTTTTCTTTTTTATTTTTGAGCCGGAGTTTTGCTCTTGTTGCCCAGGCTAGAGTGCAATGGCATGATCTCGGCTCACTGCAACCTCCATCTTCCGGGTTCAAACGATTCTCCTGCCTCAGGCTCCCGAGTAGCTGGGATTACAGGCGCCCGCCACCACACACCGCTAATTTTTGTATTTTTAGTAGAGGCGGGGTTTCTCCATGTTTGTCAGGCTGGTCTTGAACTCCCGACCTCAGGTGATTCACCCGCCTTGCCTCCCAAAGTGCTGGGTTTATAGGCGTGAGCCACCACACCCAGCCAATATCTCTACTTCTTATAGTTTTATTCAACCCCTTCTATGTTTAATTTAATTGATTAATTTTTGTGAGACAGGGTCTCACTCTGTTGCCTGGGCTAGAGTGCAGTGGCATGATCTTGGCTCCCTGCAGCCTTGCCTCCCTGGTTCAAGCAATTCTCCAGCCTCAGCCTCCTGAGTAGCTGGGACTACAGGTGTGCGCCACCATGTCCTGCTAATTTTTGTAATTTTTGGTAGAGATGGGGTTTTGCCATGTTGCCCAGGCTGGTCTCAAACTCCTGATCTCAAAATGATCCACTTGCCTCGGCCTCCCACAGTGCTGGGATTACAGGCCTGAGCCACCATGCCCGGCCCCCTTTTATATTTTATCTGGCAAAAATAAGCATTAATGTTTAGTGGTTGATAGGGAGGACATTGGAAGTCGGAAGAGAGATAACCCACACTGTTTTATACATAATAAAAAGGCATTAAGGGAAGGTATATGTGCTGATACTGATTTAACTTTTTGCCCTTGTTCTGATTCTTTGCAAGACTACTTTTCTGGTTTCTGTAACAACTGCAAAGGGCTTCCCAAGTTTGGGGCTAGGGTAAATGGCTCAATTTGTTGCACTCTAAGGATGATTGTATTAATAGATTTTTCATTCTAATCTCTGGTAGAGTACGGAAAATCAATTATAATTAGGCTCAGACTCAAGGGGAAAACTTTAGGTAGATGAATTTCATAATATACAAACTTTAATAGAATAAGTGATTACTGTCTCAGAGTTTACTCTGTATTTAGCTGTCTGTAGTTGGTTGTCTTAGATAGTGAAATATGGTCTTTTAGTAAAAATGGTAAGACCCCTGTATAGGATTTGAAGTAGGACATCTATGAGCTTATTTCAGGTAGTAAGTAGTATTAACACATCGCTTTCACTCTCCACATGGAACACTGCATTATTTTTTTTTATTTTTTTTGAGACAGAGCCTTACTCTGTCACCCAGGCTGGAGTGCAGTGGTGCAATCTTGGCTCACTGCAACCTCCGACTCCCGCATTCAAGCGATTCTCCCACCTCAGCCTCCCAAGTAGCTGGGATTACAGGCACACGCTACCACGCCCGGCTAATTTTTGTATTTTTAGTGGAGATGGGGTTTTGCCATGTTGCCCAGGCTTAGGTATTCTTTTTCTGTGTTTCTCCTCAAGTGTATGGTTCTCTAGTTTGTGAATTCACTGGGTGGTTGTGATGTCCAGTCAGTAAAATGATAAACATGAAAGCACTTTGAAAATGATTTAATGTCATTGCATGGAAATGTTATAGTATCATTGCATCACTATTTATAATAGTTCTCAAGTTTTTTTTTTTTTTTTTTTTTTTTTTTTTGAGACTGTGTCTCGCTCTGTCACCCAGGCTGGAGGGCAGTGGCACAATCTTGGCTCACTGCAATCTCCACCTCCTGGGTTCAAGTGATTCTCGTGCTTCAACCTCCCTAGTAGCTGGGATTACAGGCGTGCACCACGACGCCTGGCTAATTTTTGTATTTTTTTGTAAAGATGGGGTTTTACCATGTTGGCCAGGCTGGTCTCGAACTCCTGACCTCGTGATCCATCCGCTTCAGCCTCCCAAAGTGCTGGGATTACAGGCGTGGGCCACTGGGCCTCAAGTGTTTTTAACCACGTTTGAGTGCCCTCTTCTTTTTGGTCACACAACTTTACTGTAACCCCACTAATTTTTTCAGATGTAGTTCATATACTATCTCCTGTATAAAACATAACCTCTTCAGTCTGAAAGGGGTACTGTTTCCTTTGAACATTTATAGCTATTTTGATTTGTACAGTTCATTTGGTCATCATGAGTCTGAATTGTCACATCTTGCCTTTTGTCTTGATAAGTTAATAATGTAGGATCTTAAGATGTTTATCTCTTAGTGAGACCAGCAAACATTTATTAGGACAATAACACCTATTGTCCTAATCTCTGGACATAAAGTTTTTGTGTATTAATTCCAGTGTTCACAACTGGATTGTAAGGTACTTTAAAGAAAAGACCATGATGTGTATGTACTTCCTGGTTTCATGAATGTTTTCTTTATATATAATAAAATGTAGCAGTGGGTAAGATTAGTGGATGTATCATTAATGTTAAAATTGAGTTTTAACATTTTCCTTTTTAGAACCAGTCTAGCACTTCTCTGGGGTAACTGAATTTTTGTTAAAATTGGTCCATATATATTTCCTGTCTTTTTTAGTTTGTTTCACATACTTTGACTTATTTCCTACTTATTTCTCCTCCATTAAGGTATAAATTCTCTCCTTAAATTGCTTAGCCTTGGATTTTCACAGATTCTTTTGAAAAACCTACGTTTTCATAGGCGTGTTGTCTTTGTAAGATCTAACTCTGCAGTGATTTATTGAGCTCGTTTTGTTTTACTTATTGAGCATCAAGATTGAAAGAGGAAAGTAATGTAATTTTCATTATTTATAATGCATTTGGCTTTTTAAAGTGTTTTGAGGTTAAAACCAATAGCAGTCTAGCACTAGTTGAAGGTATTTTGAAGAGGTGGTTAGTATCCTTGGGGCTGTTAATCAGGAGGTAGCCTTTATGTAGAGACTTGAAGGAATAGTGTTAGCAGGGTGTTCTTGTAGGAGCTCCCCTTATTCGATGGTTTGGAGTCCATAATTGGAAAATTAATTTTAAAAATTGGTAAAGCTCTAAGCAATCAAATACGAATGCACATATAACTATTTTGCCATAAAGCATACTTTTCTTTCTTCTTTCTTTTTTTTTTTGAGATGGAGTCTTGCTCTGTCGCCCAGGCTGGAGTGCAGTGGTGTGATCTCGGCTCACTGCAACCTCCGCTTCCCAGGTTCAAGGGATTCTTGTGTGTCAACCTCCCGAGTAGCTGGGATTACAGGTGCCTGCCACCATGCCTGGCTAATTTTTGTATCTTTAGTAGAGACATGGTTTCACTGCGTTGGCCAGGCTGGTTTCAAACTCCTGACCTCATGATCTGCCTGCCTCGGCCTCCCAAAGTGCTGGGATTACAGGTGTGAGCCACCGTGCCCAGCCTAAAGCATACTTTTGATTACCAGTATTTGTTTGTTTGTTTGAGGCGGAGTCTTGCTCTGTCTCCCAGGCTGGAGCGCAGTGGCGTGATCTTGGCTCACTGCAATCTCTGCCTCCCAGGTTCAAACGATTCTCCTGCCTCAGCCTCCCGAGTAGCTGGGATTATAGGCGCACACTACCATGCTGGCTAATTTTTACATTTTTAGTAGAGATGAGGTTTCACCATTTTGGCCAGGCTGGTCTTCTACTCCTGACCTCAAATGATCCACCTGCCTCATTATATCATTTGAAAATGATATAATGTCATTGCATGGAAATGATATAATATCATTGCATCACTATAATAGTTCTCAAGTGTATTTTTTTTTTTTTTTTTTTTGAGACCATGTCTCACTCTGTCACGCAGGCTGGAGGGCAGTGGCATGATCTTGGGTCACTGCAACCTCTGCCTCAGCCTCCCAAAGTGCTGGGATTAGAGGCATGAGCCACCATGCCTAGCTCATTGCCACTATTTTGACGTATGTCTAGGATCTTTCTCAGTTGACTGAAGTTCGGTGTCATCTTGTATAATCCATCCTATGTGTGCAGTAGGTTCAGTTTCGACGACTTGAAAGTAGAGCAATAATTTAGATAACCTATGAAACTAGTGCAGAATAATAGATTTTTATAGTTGTCTCCTGTCTTTTAACATAATCTAACCCACATCCGATTTGACAGGCACATTTTTTAAGTGACTCATCACCTTTGTTGAATCTTGCCAAAGCATCCAATGTAATTTTTACAAAATTGGCACTTTCTTGTAATTGGTTTGCACACTATTTAAATGAAAAACATGTAATGATTGTTACCAGAGGAATTGACAGTTTTGGGTAAGAAATGCAACTGACTTTTGGATACAAAGCATCCAGCTTAATATAAGGGAGCAGAAGTGTGAAGTTGAACTAGATAGTTAACCATTAGCCAAAAACATTTGTACTGATGGCAACAGCCAGATCTCTGTTTTCCAGAGGTAATGAGGAGTTTGATGAGGAGTTTGGTAACTGTTAGGTTGAGGACTGTTAAGAGGCCTGCTGGAGGCCAGTATGGCACTTCAGTGCACAGTGCAAACCCGCTTCTGTAATGCATTTTATACTTTTTAAAAATTCCATTTCCCATGAATAACATGCTTTTTTATGTAACAGAAGATAATCGTAACAATTATCATGTAACAGAAGATAACTGTTATTTGGAATGCTTGGAGAAAATCACTGTTTAAGATTTCTGTAAAGCCTTTTCCTGTCCAAGATTTCTGTAAAGCCTGTTTCTGTCATTGCCTGAAACATCATTATGCAGCACGTGACTACCTTTATTTTAGCACTTCTCATTTGGAGTTAACCCTTTCACCTTTACTATGAGGTCTTCCTCTGAAAAACTTTTGTATACAACATCTGATCCACAGTTGATACCCAACAAACTGAATGAAACAGAAGTTCTGGCCACTTAAGTAGATGTCACAACCCAATCTTTTTCTTTCTTTCTTTCTTTTTTTTTTTTTGAGACGGAGTTTTGCTCTTGTCACCCAGGCTGGAGTGTGGTGGTGCTCACTGCAATCTCCGCCTCCCAGGTTCAAGTGATTCTCCTGCCACAGCCTCCTGAGTAGCTGGGATTACAGGTGCCCACCACCACGCCCAGCTAATTTTTGTATTTTTAGTAGAGACGGGGTTTCACCATGTTAGCCAGGCTGGTCGAACTCCTGACTTCAGGTGGTCCACCCACCTTGGCCACCCAAAGAGCTGGGATTTCAGGCGTGAGCCACCGCGCCCGCCCGTCACAACCCAACCTTCCGTCACAACCCAATCTTGATGTGGTGTAGTTTTCATTGATGTGCTACTGAAAAATAAGCTGTTATTATTTATAAACTCAGTTCAGAGAATATTTTAGGATAATTATACTCAGTTGAGTATATTATATTCCATATGTCAAAGATGCTGTGCTATGTCTACAGAGTTCTGAGCTTAATAATACATAGTTCTTGTCTGTGGACATGTATATTGTTGGTACAGTGGGAATATATGAGGAGGAGAGATTAATTCAAGCCTGAAGGAATTTGAGAGGATTTGAGAGTAGATAGGACCTGAACTGGACTTGGAATGGTAACAATAATTAGGATTTTTTGGCAGATATTTTACTGCTTTATGGCATTGGATAGTCTGGATCTCCTTCAAATTCTTTTCCCTTCTTTTCTGTCAAATACACCTAGTCTTCCTACTTCCATCTCTAGCCTTCTTCCTCTGCAATAATCTTTATTTTCCTTAACAATCTATTGCTTTTGGCCATTTTCCTCTTCTTTCTTGCCCTTGGTGTAATGCGTTATTGTTTTAACCCTAACCCTGTGCTTCTGGAAATATGCTTTTCTATCTTCTACATAGCCACAACACTTCATCAGTATCCTTCTTAGAGCATTTATCGTTTCTTTGCACTATAGTTACATACAGACTCCATCCTCTGCTGGACCTTAACTTCTTGAGGGCAAGTTGCACCTTTATAGTTCTTAAAGTATCTAGTATATAGTTTTCTAAGTAGTAGGCACCACATACTATTCTCTTACATTTAGCTTCTTTCCTCAAACTCAACTCCTCTTCTAGACTTGCCTTTTTCTGTGCATAGTACTAGAGTTCTTTCAATTCCCCATTCTGGTCAGTGAGTTCTGCTTCTGTCTTTGAAATGTTATTTGTAGCCCCACCATTTTTTCCACTGTCGTCATTGCATGCCAATTAAAAGATAAATATTTAGTGCATATTGTTCTAAGCACTGTGTAGGTGCTAGGAATACAAATATAACAGATCCAATTCCTTGTTCTTAGAATCCTAGTCGGGGATTATTTTGGTACTTTGTTGAGCAAATGTTTATTGAACACTTTCTCTGTGCGGAGCTCTATTGTAGGCATAGATGTATTATATCATTTTCCACAGGCTGCTCATCTTCAAGGGGAAAACATGGCTACTGGATTTCCTCTGTTCTAAGGTACACTTTTCTTCCCATTTTCTTCTAGCATCTCTGAAATCCAGATGCGTCTAAACCCTGGTATGTTTAATGTTTTTTTGTTTGTTTGTTTGTTTTTTTTTGACTGAGTCTCGCTCTGTTGCCCAGGCTGGAGTGCAGTGGTGTGATCTCGGCTCACTGCAACCTCTGCCTCCTGGGTTCAAGCAATTCTCCTGCCTCAGCCTCCTTAGTAGCTGGGATTACAGGTGCATGCTGCCATGCCCAGCTAATTTTTATATTTTTAATAGAGATGGGGTTTCACCATGTTGGTTGGGCTGGTCTCGAACTCCTGACCTCGTGATTGACCTGCCTGGGCCTCCCAAAGTGCTGGGATTGTAGACGTGAGCCACCATGCCCGGCTTTTTTTTTTTTTTTTTTTTTTTTTGAGATGGAGTTTCACTCTTGTTGCCCAGAGTGGAGTGCAATGGTGCGATCTCGACTCACTGGAACCTCCGCCTCCTGGGTTCAAGAGATTCTCCTGCCTCAGCCTCCCGAGTAGCTGGGATTACAGGCATGCGCCACCATGCCTGGCTAATATTTTTGTATTTTTAGTAGAGACAGGGTTTCACCATGTTGGCCAGGCTGGTCTCAAACTCCTGACCTCAGGTGATCCACCTGCCTCAGCCTCCCAAAGTGCTGGGATTACAGGCGTGAGCCACCGCACCCAGCCTGCTTAATGTTTTTTATTCCCCCTTCAAGAGCTGTTAAAGTGATGCTGCTTACAACTAGTAGTTGTAACTATAGTATAATTTCTAATTACTATACTGTATACTATAGTTGAACTATAGTATATATTAATGGTAAATATGATGGACATGTGTAGAATTGTGCTGTCAAATGTGGTAGCTTCTAGCTACATGTGGCTATGTAAATATGTTAATTAGACATTAAATTTATTAAATTTTAATTAAAACTAAAAGATTAACTTGAACCCAGGAGTTTGAGACCAGCTTGGGCAACATGGTGAAACTCTGTGTCTACAAAAAATCCCCCCCCACCCCAAAATCAGCTGGGTGTGGTGGCACATGCCTGTAGTTCCAGCTACTGTGGGAGTTATGGTGGAGGTGGGGCTGAGGATCATTTGGGAACGGGACATCGAGGCTGCAATGAGCTGTGCATTATTGCACCGCTGCATTCCAGCCTAGGCGACAGAGCGAGACCCTGTCTCAAAAAAAAAAAGAAAAAGAAAATAAAGGTTCAGTTCCTCAGTTGCACTGGCCACAGTTCAGATACCCAATAGCCACATTTGACTAGTGGCTACTGTATTAGACAGTGCAGATATAGAACATTCCCATCATTGCAGAGTGTTCTGTTAGGTAGCACTGGTCTAGAATGTGGTTCCACAGTTGTACCTGGAGGGTTGGAAAAGCTTTGGTTAGTTTACTTCCTGGCATTATTATTACCTGTATTTCCTTCCTTCAGGGAGGTCAGGGAACTTTTCTGTCTTTTCCTTCTGCCTTTAGTTTTACCAGGGCCTGGGACAGTAAGTGGTAGGTACGCAGAAATAAAAAACAACTGGAGCATTAAATAGTTTAGATAAAAAGGGGAAAGGCTATACATGTGCATAACAGGAAATAGCTTAGCTGGCTTTATTCAACGTGTATCCTGGTGTACTTTTTTAAGAGGGTTTTTAGAACAAATTTCATCACATTGAAAATTTAAGAACTTTTATCTAGGTTTGTATCAGTTTTGTTGTCGTGCTGCTATAAAGAAATACCTGAGGCCGAGCACCATGGCTCATGCCTATAATCCCAGCACTTTGGGAGGCTGAGGCAGGCGGACCACCTGAAGTCAGGAGTTCGAGACCAGCCTGGCTAAAACATGGCAAAACCCCGTCTCTACTAAAAATACAAAAAAAAATTAGCCAGGCATGGTAGTGGGCGACTGTAATCCCAGCTACTCGGGAGGCTGAGGCAGGAGAATCTCTTGAACCTGGGAGGTGGAGGTTGCAGTGAGCCAAGATCGCGCCACTGCACTCCGGCCTGGGCGACAGAACGAGACTGCCTTAAAAAACAAACAAACAAAAAAGAAGTACCTGAGACTGGGTAATTTATAAAGAAAAGAGGTTTAATATGTTCATGGATGGTTCTGCAGGCTTTACAGGAGGCATGACTGCTTCTGGGGAGGCCTCAGGAAGCTTTCTTTCTTTTTTTTTTTTTTTTTTTTTTTTTGAGATGGAGTCTCGTTCTGTCACCAGGCTGGAGTGCAGTGGTGTGATCTCAGCTCACTGCAACCTGTGCCTCCCGGGTTCAAGTGATTCTCCTACCTTAGCCTCCTGAGTAGCTGGGACTACAGGTGCATGCCACCACACCCAGCTAATTTTTTTTTTCTTTTTCCGAGACTGAGTTTTGCTCTTGTTGCCCAGGCTGGAGTGCAATGGCACGATCTCGGCTCACTGCAACCTCTGCCTCCTGGGTTCAAGCGATTCTCCCACCCCAGCCTCCCGAGTAGCTGGGATTACAGGTGTGCGCCACCATGCCTGGCTAATTTTGTATTTTTAGTAGAGACAGAGTAATTTTCGTATTTTTAGTAGAGATGGGGCTTCACCATGTTGGCCAGGATGGTCTCGATCTCTTGACCTCGTGATCCGCCCGCCTCGGCCTTCCAAAATGTTGAGACAGGCGTGAGCCACCGCACTCGGCCTCAGGAAGCTTTCAATCATGGCAGAAAGCAAAGGGGAAGCTGGCAAGTCTTACATGGCTGGAGGAAGCGGGGTGCCGTAGGGGGGACCGTACTACACACTTTTAAACAACCAGGTCTTTTGAGAACTCAGTATCACGAGAACAGTACCCAGGTAGATGGTGTTAAACTATTAGAAACTGCACCCATTGTCTAATCATCTCCCACCAGGCCCCGCCTCCAACATTGAGGATTACAATTGAACCTGAGATTTGGGTGAGGACACAGATCCAAACCATATCAAGGTTCTTTTTATTTATTTATTTATTATTTATTTATTTTTTGGAGACAGGGTCTCACTCTCTTGCCCAGGCTGGGGTGCAGGGGTGTGATCTCAGCTCACTGCAGCCTCTATCTATCCAGGTTCAGGTGATCCTCCCACCTCAGCCTCCAGAGTAGCTGGGACCACACAGGTGCATTCCACCATGCCCAGCTAATTTTGTATTTTTTGTAGAAGCGGGGTTTTGTCATGTTGCCCAGGCTAGCCTTGAACTCCTGGGCTCAAGTGATCCTCTCACCTTGGCCTTCCAAAGTGCTGGGATTATAGGTGTGAGCCACCATTCCTGGCTTATCTAGGTTTTTATCCCTTATTAAGTGGGATTCAAGGAGGCCCATCATGTCAGAATGCTGTGGGTTGGCAGGAGGCATCACAATGAAATTTTCCATGTTCCCAAATTTGATATTCACAGTACTACATATAATTTCTCAGGGAAGATAGGGTTGGACACGATGGAAATATTTTGGTGAACCATTCGTTCCCTTGGGTTTCTTTCTCATTTGGGGAGTGTGGTTTACAATGATTGGAGCAAAAGTTTCCTGAATCTTTTTCTTGTTTCCATTTTATTGCATGGTAAAACACAATTTATCCACTTTCTTGTCAATGAGTATCTAGTTAGATTCCTGTTTTTTGGCTAATTCAAATAAAACTATGAATGTTTTTGTACCGGTCTTTTGGTGGGCAGTTGCTTTCCTTTCTCTTGGGTACATACCTAGGAAGGAGGGAAGTTGCTGGGCCACAGCATGGCCAGTTTTCTAAAACAGTTGTAGCAATTTATGTTGCTTTCTTTTTGAAAGGACAAAAGATTAAAGTTTGCCATTAGGCATTTTTACTGTCCGAGTATTTCCATCAAGCCTGTGTGAGTTAAGTCATTAATTACCAAACATCACAGACCTTTGGGGTCACTTGCAGATAAATCTGAAAATAGTATAGACCTACCATATCATTCAAAAGACCTTAAAAGAATATAAAAACTAAGCATCTTATCTCTCCCTCTATTGTCAATCTTGATTTACTTTCAAGACACACGGTCTTTGAAGAAACTTGTTCATGCCTTTGTAAATGGATTGTGTTGAGTACTGCTTCCTGTTGCTTACTGTTATGGGAATGAGTGTACTTTGCCTGTCAGTGATATTACTAGCTACTATTTGAGGGCTTGCAGTGTGTAACAGAATAAAGGACAATGCCCTTTTGAAATTCTAGTTCAGCATAAGTCAGCAAGTTTCAAACTGAGTTCTTGATATTTGCAAGGTTCTGTGCTAGGCATCTCCATGTCCAAAGACCAATGAGAATGAATCTCCTAACCTCTTGACCTTGTCTAATGGGGATAGGAGGCACATACCATGATACAAGACCAACTATAATTGTCACTAGAATTGGAAATAAAGTGCTGCCGGGCTTCCATATCACAGCATATCACATTTTATTTGGGTTGCAGAGAGGGGAAGGTATCCTTGTAAAGTAAGCTTATCCAACCCGCGGTCTGTGGGCTGCATGTGGCCCAGGATGGCTTTGAATGTGGCCCAGCACAAATTCGTAAACTTTCTTAAGACATGAGATTTTTTTTGCGGTTTTTTTTTTTTTTTCTTTTTTAGCTTATTGGTTATCGTTAGTGTTAGAATATTTCCTGTGTGGCCCAAGACAATTCTTCCAATGTGGCCCAGGGAAGCCAAAAGATTCGACACCCCTGCTGTAAAGCTTCATGGAAGGGTTGTGGTCTAAGAGGTCCACCTTGAAAGGATTTCAGTCGCAGCTGCAATATATGCCAGGTGAAGGGAATTGCTTGATGGAATCATGTAGCAGGAACATATAGTCTATACCAAGTGGTTCTCAGAGTGTGGTCCCCAGACCAGCAGCATCAGCATCATCTGGAAACTTGTTAGAAATGCAAACTCTTGGGCTCCACTCCAGACCTACTGATTCAGAAACTCAGAAATCCCAGAAACCTGGGTTTTAACTAGTTCTCTAGGTGATTGTGATGTGTTAAAGTTTGAAAACCATTGGTCTAGACTTAATTGGTCAGAGAATAGTTGAAGTAAGGTTTGAGAAGGGAAGTTATGAGAACAAGAAGGCAGGGGCCTTACTGCAGAGACCTTGATTGAGTACTAGGGTGTGAGTATATGGGGCTGGGGAACCGTTAGGGTGAAGGAAAGGACATCCTTGGAGTTTACTTTAGGAAGAGTGAGCCAACAAACTTTTTTTGTAAGATGAATTAAAACTAAAAGATACTGGAGGCCGGGCGTGGTGGCTCACGCCTATAATCTCAGCATTTTGGGAGGCCTAGGTGGGCGGATCACTTGAGGTCAGGAGTTCGTGACCAGCCTGGCCAACATGATGAAACCCCGTCTCTACTAAAAATACAAAAATTAACCAGGCATGGTGGTGTGCGCCTGTAATCCCAGCTACTCAGGAGGCTGAGGCAGGAGAATCGCTTGAACCCAGGAGGCGGAGGTTGCAGTGAGCCAAGATTGCGCCACTGCACTCCAGCCTGGGTGACGGAGCAAGACTCTGTCTCAAAAATAAAAAATAAATGAAAAAAATAAAAGATACCGGAAGCTGGGAGTAGCAGCCTTGGAAAGTGAAAGGAGCAACACAGCTGGGATGAGTGAGCCTTGACAGCTGGCTGGTCAAGTGTCAGGAAAGAGGCCACAGCCTCAGAAGCAGCTATGGTTCTGAACCTGGGTGTTGAGAGGATGGTGGTGCCTTTAGAAGCAGTGCAGGCAGAAGACGCAAAGGCCACATGGTGCAGGAAAATGGGACAAGGGGGAAGAGGATGTTTTCTACAAATAATTGCTTCTTCCCCTGAATGTACAAGTTTAGTGTAAGAAATTCAGGTACTTGAGGGGACAGTGAAGAAGAATGCAGAATCGCCTCAAATCCCACTTTACAGAGATTAGCAAAACATTATTCTCTTTAAATATTTTGAGTATACATTTGTTTCTTTAAACTCAGTTTTGTATGCATGGAATTATACAATTCCGTAACAAATTTTCTCAGACAAATTGAATTTGAATACGTTAGTGTTCCACACATGAATGATCAGTGTGCGTTTGGAAATTGGTGGATTTTATATTTGGGAAACAGAATGTTTATACAAGCAGCTAATTGGTAAAGATTGCAATTTCATTATCCATGGTCATAAAAACATCCTGTCCACATTAGTTGTTACAGAGGAAATCTGGGGCAAAACAGTTTAAGATGCTTGGTGTGCTGTTAGTCTGGGGAGAAGAACTGCAACTAAGAAGAAAAAAGATGAAACATTTGTGGCTTTTATTAGAATAGCAAGTTTATTACGGTGTCTTACAAGAACTAATTAATATTGGGCATAAAATAGTCTCATTACATAGGTCAATACCAAGTTCCAAAGTTCTCCTTTAAAATAGGCAGCTAGCTCCTAGTGAATTTTATGAGCCACAAGCAAAGATGTGGAATAGTTTGCCCATTTCTTAGTTTTGTGACATGTATGACAGAATATACCATCTTCTTAAGTATGGTGTGTGTGTTTTTTTTGTTTTTGTTTTTGTTTTTTTTTTAAAGAAATTATGGGCAGAAACCTTTATATTTCTTCCTACCTGATTTGAATGTGAGTTCACATTTTCCCATACCTATGAGAGAGCACTAGATATTTTCCAGTTACTTTACTTATTACCAATCTGATAGGTTAAAACTGATTTCTCATTTTTGTTTTTTTTTTAATTTAATTGATTACTATTGCGATGGAACAGGGTTTTTCTTTTTCTTCTTTTTATTTAAAATAGAGATGAGGTCTCACTAAGTTGCCCAGGATGGTCTGTAACTCCTGAGGTCAAGTGATCCTCCCACCTCAGCTTCCTAAAGTACTAGAATTACAGATGTGAGCCATCATGCCTGGCCAGGAACAAACAGCTTTTATTAGATAATTGCATTTCTTTTGTGAAAGGACTGTTAATATCTCTTTGTCTGTTTTCTCTTTGGGTGTTTATATTATACTGATTTGTAAGATGCTAACATATTAAGGATATTCAGCTTCTGTCTTTCTCTTTTTTTTATTTTACCACTTTTTTAAATCAAGAGGTGTAGATACTCATTGGCTTTTTAAACTATGCCACAGTGAAGCATGGCAAACACTTCATAAGGTATAGGAGATATTCAGTGAATTATCACAAAGCCAAACCTTATGTAACTTGACCTAGGTGATGACATAAACATTGCAAAACCCCAAAAGTCAGTAGTGTACCTAAGGCTGGGGGTGAAAGGTGAGGTCTACCCCAGGTTCAGGCAATAACAAAGTGCATTTTCTTTAGGGAATTTAAAATCAGTAAAATTATTGACTAAGAGTTGGTCTGCTTTTTGTTATCATGTGTTGGCCATTTAAAAAATGTCAGTGTGTGTACATGTATATATAATATCTGCTTTGTGGCTGAACTGTTAACTTTCTTTTTGACAAATAGAAGTTCTTAATTTTAATATAGTCCAGTTTATCTGTCTTTTCCTTTATGGTGGGTGCTTGCTGTATCCACAAAGAGATATTCTTCTATATTATATTTAAGGAGCATTATTGTTTTGACTTTTATATTTAGGTCTGTAATCCACCTGAAGTTAGTATTTATGTATGGTGTAAGTTGGAGGTTAAGTTGAATTTTGTTTTCCCTTATGAATAGCCAAATGACAGTGTCATTTGAAAAGATCTGATTTGCAGTGCCAACTGTCTTGTACAGCAAGCATCCCTGTATGATCTATTTCTGGGCCTTCTGTTCATTCTTTTCATCTGTTTGTCTAGTGACTGAGCTTTATAATATGTCCTAATCCAGAGAGAAAGTCTTTTTGTTGTACTTCTTCAAGGACGTCTTGTTTGCCTTGGCTATTTGTATTTATGTATACATTTTTAAATCTTCTGCCGGGCATGGTGGCTTATGCCTGTAATCCCAGCACTTTTGGGAGGCCGAGGTGGGCGGATCACTTGAGGTCAGAAGTTCGAGACCAGCCTGGCCAACATGGTGAAACCCCGTCTCTACTAAAAATACAAAAAAAATTAGCTGGATATGGTGGCGGGTGCCTGTAATCCCAGCTACTCGGGAGGCTGAGGCAGGAGAATCCCTTGAATCCGGGAAGGGGAGGTTGCAGTCAGCCGAGATTGTGCCACTGCTCTCCAGCCTGGGCGATAGAGTGAGACTCTGTCTCAAATAAATAAATAAATAAATAAAATCAGCCTGTAAATTTCGATTAAAAATTTGTTAGGATTGGTTGGGATTGTTTTGGGTCTCTAGATCAATTTGGATAGAATTGACATCTTTACAGTGTTAAATTTCAAGAACATGGGATATCCCTTCACTTTATTAGGTCCCTTTAATTTGTAAAAGTATTTTTTGTTTGTTTAATAGCTTTCTACATAGAAGATTTTCCACTTTTTATTTCTAGGAATTTGATAATTTTTGATGGTTTCAGGAATGGTATTAAAAATTCATTTCCTAGCTTTATTGCTGGTGTATAGAAATACTGTTGGTTTTTGAACATTAACTTTTGTATCCCTCAGCTTTGATAAGCTAATTTTTTCTGCTAGCTTACTTGTAGATTGTTTTGGATTTTCTATTGTGTACAATCTGTGGAAAATGATAGGTTTTTTGGTCATTCCTAGCACTCATTTTTGTCTAGATTTCTACCTGTTCTCAGTGAAGAGATTTGTCTGAATTATATATAATCATTATTACTGGAAGCAGAAAGTCTTCCTAAATGAAAGATAAAAACTACACCCCATTCTCATTTCTGAATTATCTTTGAATTTAAACCCAAATCTCAAAGGTGCCTCAATCCCAGTGAAAGCTAATAGTATTTTTTGAGACAGTGTTATAAATGTTCCTAATGGATTTATAAGCAAATCTTATGAAATCTTTAAAATTTAATTTTTTTTGAGACAGCTTTTAATGTGTATCTCAAGGACTTAAAATATGAAAACTTATCAGTAGTTTAAAAAATTCTTCCAAGTAGTGAAGTCACTAGTGAAGCCATAAGGTGTCTCTGATGTGCTCATTTTTCTTTTCCTTTTTTTGAGACAGGGTCTTGCTTTGTCATCCAGGTTGGAGTGTGGTTGCTCATTGCAACCTCAGCCTTGAGCTCCTGGGCTCAAGAGATCCTCCTGCCTCAGCCTCCCGAGTAGCTGGGACTACAGGCACCCGCCACCACGCCCAGATAATTTTTTGTATTTTTTTGTAGAGACAGGGTTTCGCCATGTTGCCCAGGCTGGTCTTAAGCTCCTGGGCTTAAGCAGTCCTCCCACCTTGGCCTCCCAAAGTGCTGGGATTACAGGTGTGAGCCACCATGCCTGGCTCATTTCCTAGTCCTTGTTCTTATGAGCCTCCTACTGGAAGTACCCCAGGGAGCTCTCCGCATTTGCAGAGGGCATTGGCTTGCTTGGGTAATGCTCTGTGGTGCCAATAGAGATGCACTGCAGGAAGAACTCTGGAAACTTCGTTGGGAGAGAAGTGGCATATGAGCATCATTGTGAGCAAGTGTCAGGTAATGTTTTCCAGAGGAAAATACCAAATTGACTAGTTGTATGCCAGACACATCTGACAGTAATAACAGAGGCATACTCTGAATATGAACCTGTATAGCATATGTACCTGACAGCAGTAACTTACTTAAGCATACCCCGAGAATGACCCTGAGGTCTAAGAACAACTTGTGTTCATAGGGTACCGAACTAAGGAATCCAGCAGTGACCAACCAGCAGATTCATTCATTATCTATAAGGAACATCTGAGCCCCCAGGCCAGTCCTGTGGATCCTGGGCTTTGCCGGAAGATTGAGGATCTTTGTTTTGGGTTAAATGAAGGTTGCCAGGTGGAGGTTGGTGGGGGAGGGTGCTAAGTCAAAATGTTATATAAACTGCATGCTTTTTTACAAGTGGGATCAGTTCTTCTTTCTAGCCTGCTGCCACTGGACTGGATGGCCCTGCATGTAAGTTCCCTCAAAAACCCTACATCTTTTTCACTAGCTCTGGGTCTCTTCTTTGGCTTTTCAAACATGGTGCTGTCCCTATTGAAGTTAATAGGGGTTCAGGACAACATTAGTAATTTGATGAGTTGCAGCTGAGGGATCAGAGTATTGTCATAGGTTGTCCTGTAGCATTTTCATGCATGCTCCTTGTGAACTTGAGGAGTCTGTAAGCTGCTGTAGTCAAGGAGGTCAACAAATGCTAAGCAGCCTCAGTAAAGGGATTGCAACTTAAAACAGCCCACCATTGCAGGTTCATCTCCATGAAGGACCAGCAAGAGACAGTTACAATGAGCAAGGGCTCTGTTGACTATTTTGGGAATTAAGGGAGTGGGCAAGCAAAAGCTGTAATTGTAATTAGTGTTGTGGAAGGAGAATTATCCCCCACCTTTTTTTTTGTCTTTCACTGCGGTTTACATGTGATAGGTGTTTGATTAATGTCAGTTGTATATGTGAATTGTTATGAAGACTTTAGAAAACTTTAGAAACTAATGTTAAGTGATGATTGAAATGTGCTCAGATTAAAAAAATAATTTTAGTATCTTCAACCAGTCTAGCTGGTTAAATAATTTTATTATTCCTGTAGATTAAAAAATTTTAAATATCAAGTTTAGAGAAAAATCTTATTCTAATTTTGGAGTATGATTATATTTCAATTCAGTATGTAGTTTTCCAATTTGAAAAAAATAGCTATAGCTATAATTATAATCAGCAAATGAATGGGATCTGAGACTGATTTAAGTTAAAATTTGTGACCTTAAAGGAATTGATTCACAGTGTTCTGGATTCTTTTCAGAATGTGCGGATACTGTAAGTACAATTTTTCTTCATAGTAAGTGTAAATTAAATATAAACTCTATAGTAAACTCAAGCATTCTATAAGAAGCCACATAACGTGCTATTTCTTTCTTTTCCCAGTGGTGTTTTAGTGAATCATTAGTTGTATGTTTCTTTCTTGAGTTGGAGCTGAAGAAATCCTTCCCACTGGAAATATGAGTTCTATACCATTTTGTGGGTAGGGATCCAGCGGTGGGCCTTTAGTAAGCGTAAGCACTGGCTTTTGCATTTATACTTGTTTTTATAGAATAACACCATCTTGTAAAATGATTTGTTCCCAGAGTTTTTCTAGATACGGTAATTTTAAACACACCTTATGAATGTTCTTTTAAAATAAGTTATAAAGTGAATTATTTTGTAAAACAAGAGTTCTTTTATTAGCATGAATATCTCCTAATCTTCCCTCACCCCCAGTACTACTAGCTACTTCTAGGGTTGGGTTTTCAGATACAATCAATTTTCTTAGTCTTACGTAGTGCTTTGGAGATTAGTGCTCAGATCTCGTATTGAAGTATGGTTCTTACTCATGGCAGATAATTTCTGTCTTTTCACTTTTGAGTTGTTTTTATACCCTTGAATATAGTAGGCTAACTATAGAATACCTAATGTCACAATCATGAAAGAAATAGTTGGTAATTTATAAAAGCTGTACGAAAATGTATATTAGACTTTTATGGTTTTTAAGGTCAAAAAGAAACTGAAGACTCTTTAGAAAAGGTCACAAAAAATCATTGAATAGGGCTGGGCGTGGTGGCTAACGCCTATAATTGCAGCACTTTGGGAGGCTGAGGCGGGCAGATCATTGGAGGTCAGGAGTTACAGACCAGCCTGGCCAACATGGTGAAACCCCGTGTCTACTAAAAATACAAAAATTAGCCAGGCGTGGTGGCACACACCTGTAGTCCCAGCTACTTGCCAGGCTGAGGTAGGAGAATTGCTTGAACCTGGGAGGCAGAGGTTGCAGTGAGCTGAGATGCTGCCACTGCACTCCAGCCTGGGCGACAGAGTGAGACTCTGTCTCAAAAAAAAAAAAAAAAAAAAAAAAAAATAGCGGGGTGCAGTGGCTCATGCCTGTAATCCCAGCACTTTGGGAGGCCGAGGCGGGTGGATCACCTGAGTTCGGGAGTTCGAGACCAGCCTGACCAACATGGAGAAACCCCATCTCTACTAAAAATGCAAAATTAGCTGGGCGTGGTGGTGCATGCCTGTAATTTCAGCTACTCGGGAGGCTGAGGCAGGAGAATCGCTTGAACCCAGGAGGCGGAGGTTGCAATGAGCCGAGATCGTGCCATTGCACTCCAGCCTGGGCAATGAGAGCAAAACTCTGTCTCAAAAAAAAAAAAAAAAAATTTCATTGAATCAGACCTACCAGTGTCTAGTTCAGGATTTGAATGCTTAGTATATATTCATTCCTTTTGGGGGAAAAGATATTTCTAATGACTACTTCATATGTTTTGTGTTTTTATAATTTTCTAGTTAGAATTCACGGGCTTATTTCAAAGAAGACTTCTTTAAAATTACCAATTTTTAGTCCATTTGTCTTTTCTCTTAGCAAATCCCCAAATGACAAATTGATTAAAAGAACACTTAGAATAAATACTGTAAGTTGTATTATTTAATATGTATTTTTATGTGCCACATGTAGAGAAATGATTAAAGACAAAAGTAATGAAGCAGACTTTTTAAAGAATCACTTGACAGAAAGCAGAGAACATTTCTTACATATAGAAGTAAATGGGCTGGGTGTGGTGGCTCACGCTTGTAATCCCAGCACTTTGGGAGGCCGATGCAGGCGGATCACCTGAGGTCAGGAGTTAAAGACCAGCCTGGCCAACATGGTGAAATCCTGTCTCTACTAAAATACAAAAATTAGCTGGGCATGATGGTGGGTGCCTGTAATCCCAGCTACTTGGGAGGCTGAGACGGGAGAAGCGCTTGAACCCAGGAGATGGTGGTTGCAGTGAGCTGAGATCGCACAGCTGCACTCCAGCCTGGGTGGCTGAGTGAGACTCCGTCTCAAAAAAAAAAAGAAGAAAAGAAAAAAAAAAAAAAGAAGAAAAGAAAAAAAAAAAAAAGAAGTAAATGGATGAGGTGAACCTCATTATCTTAGGAACATTTTAGCTTAATAGTAACAGGAAAATAGCTTTCAGAATGGGTTTAATCAGAATAATTAAACCCATTCTGTCAGTACTGCTGGATTACAGATTAATTGCTGAATTTTGAGTACATTACTGAGAATTTGGTCAGAGAAATAGAACCACTGTGAGTATTATGGGTAAGGAACTTATATGGTAATCAGACTGTACACAATTATAAGAGGTGCTGGGGATGGGAATATCTATCTGAAAAAGGAAAGACCTGAAAAAATCACTAATAGATCCTCCTGAGGTACTGGTACAGGTTGATAAATGAGAGCTTACTGGGAAAATTTTAAGAAGCCAAATGTGTACAGTCACCAAAGTAGGCATGCAGAAAGGCTTTTTTCTGGAGAGTTCTGTGGAAGGCTGTTTCCTCCGTGTAGCTGCTGCCTCTGTGGGTCCACAGCCAAGCATTTGTTGTTGGGTCTTGCTCTACTGTTGGTCAGATCAGAAGAAGAGCTGGACACAGAGGGGACAAGAGGAGAGCAGGGACAAGCTGGAAGCTGCCACACACCTCTGCATTTGTCGTCACCCTGTGTGACCTTCATGAAGATCTTGTAAGAATTTGGCCATCTTGAACTTGGTGTACTGTGCAGGAAAGGGAATTCTGGGAAACACAGTTCCCGGCTTGATCAAGTTCACAAGAGACTGATCCACTACATTGAGCTTCTCATTTTGAGCATCTCAAGTCTTTTTTTTTATGTGTGGTTAAAAATTTTTATTTTTTATTTTTATTTTTTGTGGGTACATAGTAGGTATATATATTTATGGGGTACATGAGATCTTTTGATACAGGTATACAATGCATAATAATCATATCAGGGTAAATGGAGTATTCATTACCTCAAGCATTTATCCTTTCTTTGTGTTACAAACAATCCAGTTATACTCTTTTAGTTATTTTTAATTTTAATTTAGTTTTATTAATTTTTTTTGAGACAGGGTCTTGTTCTGTTGCCCAGGCGGGAGTGCAGTGGTGCAATCACAGCTCACTGCAGCCTTGACTTCCAGGGCTCAAGCCATACTCCCACTTCAGCCTCCTGAGTGGCTGGGACTACAGGCTTGCATTGCCACACCCAGCTAATGTTTGTAATTTTTGTAGAGACGAGGTCTCCTTATGTTGTCCAGGCTGGTGCCTTAACTCCTCAGCTCAAGCAATCCCCTACCTTGGTCTCCCAAGCAATCCCCTACCTTAGCTGGGATTACAGGTATGATCCACTGTGCCCAGCCTAGTTATTTTATTTTTATCTTATTTTGTTTCAGTTTATGTATTTTATTTATTTTATTTTTTATTGTTTTTTTGAGGCGGAGTCTCACTCTGCCACCCAGGCTGGAGTGCAGTGGCATGACCTCAGCTCACTGCAACCAGCTCTTCCCGGGTTGAAGCAATCCTCCAGGCTCAGCCTCCCAAGTAGCTGGGATTACAGGTGGGCACCACCACGCCTTGCTAATTTTTGCATTTTTAGTAGAGACAGGAGTCTCACCATGTTGGCCAGGCTGGTCTCGATCTCCTGACCTCAAGTGATCCACCCACTTTGGCCTCCGAAAGTTCTGGGATTACAGGCATGAGGCTCTGTGCCTGGCTGCTGCCTAGTTATTTTAAAATGTACAATAAATTATTGTTGACTATAGTCACCCCGTTGTGCTATCAATTATTCATTCTGTCTAACTATATTTTTGAACCCATTCAGTGTCTCTTTTGGTCTCATCTCATCAGTAGATGATAGCAATGTTAAAATACTTTGAGCCTCAAGATTTTCATTTCCTGATGGTATTTACTGAGGAATTTAAAATGCTGTACTTTGGATAGCTTTTGTTCTTTTACTTATTAACACCATGGCCTTTCCCTAGTGTATTTTACCATACAGTGCATCTGTATCTTATTTTCTGACTTTTCTCATTGTTGTTAAAGTTTTACAATCCCAGTAAATGAATTCCAGGCCAGATAATATCATTTCAGTTTTGGAGAGGAAAACGAGTACAAACTTTAAGTAGAAGTAACTTTTACATAGTCTTTGGTGGATTTAGGTTAAAAATACCCAAGCATGCCATAAGACATTGTGCTGTCCTTCTGAAACGATAATATTCCACTCTAGCAATAATGAATAAAAGGGGATGACCTTTTTCAGGAGATCTAAATTTGTGTACTTCTAGGCTCTTTGAAATACAGAGCATCAAAATTTTGTTGGCTAGGTTGATATATTCAGCCAGCAAAATTAAGTGGTTTGCTGTTCTCTGATTCTGCGACACATCGTTTGTGTTCTGGGTCTATACCTTCTGTCTTCTGCAGTGCAAGTATAACATACATGCTAGATAGTTTCTGATTTTTTTTTTTTTAAATGTGGATATCTGACGGAGTAGGGGATTTTAGGGCATGATAAGATATAGAAAATGCTGAAAATAGTTTTCATTTATTTCCTTCCTGCAGTCCATAATGGGGTGTTCATTTGCCTCTTTCCCATTTAATTTTTCCTCTCTAGGGTTGGAGAATCTCTTCTAATTTTTTTTTTTTTTTTTTGAGACAGGATCTTGCTCTGTCACCCAGGCTGGAGTGCAGTGGCGTGATCTCGGCTCACTGCAACCTCTGTCTCCTGGATGCAAGCCACTTTCCTGCCTCAGCCTCCTGAGTAGCTGGGACTACAGGCACATGCCACCACGCCTGGCTAATTTTTGTATTTTTAGTAGAGAGAGGGGGGTTTCACAATGTTGGACAGGCTGATCTCGAGCTCCTGACTTGAAGTGATCCATCCGCCTCGGCCTCCCAAAGTGCTGGAATTACAGGTGTGAGCCACTGTGCCCGGCCCTCTTCTAATTTCTTTTAAGAGCATTCACTGATAATAACTGAAGTATCCTGGAGAGTTACATGAACCTCTTAGATGTAGTCATAGAATATTTAATATATTTTGTTGGCTTCTAGTATCTGTTCACTTTTAGAATAGTACAGTATTTTTTTTTTCCAGTAGGTGCTCGTCACCCAGGTAAACACTACATTTTCCAGTCTCCGTTAAAGCCAGGTGTGGTAGAGGATTAAATCTTGTCCAGTAGGATATGAATGAAGATGTTAGGTACATCTTGGGTGTTTTGCCTAAAAGGAGTGGAGTTTTGGCCTCCCTGTCCTCCACTTTTCCCCCTTCTCTGTGGCTGAGATATGGGGAAATTGGTGAGAGTTGAGTTAGATATCTCAGACTGTGATATGGACAGTGCTGGAACCACTTACCTGGACTTTTACATGAAAGATAAAAATGAACTTCTCTCTCTTTTTTTTTTTTTTTTGGAGACTCAGTCTTGCTCCATCACCCAGGCTAGAGTGCAGTGGCGCCGATTTCGGCTCACTGCAACCTATGCCTCCCGGATTCAAGCAATTCTTGTGGCATTTTTTAAAGACCTGGGGGTGGGGAGAGGGGATGGTGTATGAAAAGTAGGCCATCAGGGGAACTTCGGTTCTTTTTTTTTTTTTTGAGACGGAGTTTTGCTCTTGTCACAGCTCACTGCAACCTCTGCCTCCTGGGTTCAAGTGATTCTCCTGCCTCAGCCTCCTGAGTAGCTGGGATTACAGGCACGTGCCACCACACCAGGGTAATTTTTGTATTTTTGGTAGAGATGGGGTTTCACTGTGTTGGCCAGGCTGGTCTCTAACTCCTGACCACAGTTGATCCACCCGCACCATCCCAAAGTGCTAGGATGACAGGCCTGAGCCACCGTGCCTGGCCCTGGGAACTTTGGTCTAATGAAATAAAATTTCTGCAAATTAAAGTGTTCGTTTTTGTTACCTTGATAGCATTAGTCTAGACTTTCTTCATTTTTACAAGACCGTGAGGAGATTATTCATGGTATAGTATGGTATCAGAAAAATTGTAAGGGTATGGTATGTGTTGATTATTTCCCCGAAAACCATCCTATTTTCATCTCTGTTGCCTCTACCTTTATTAAGGTACATAAGTCCCCAAGTTTTATAAGTCCCCAAGTTTCTACCTCCTCGGAACCATTTTCCCTCATCCTCAACAATCCTTTCTGATATAGAAGTTTATCACTTGTGGTATGACTGTTCTCCTTAAAACCTTCAATAATTTCTAATGCCTGAGGACCAAAGTAAACACAGTTTATAACAAACAATAATCAAACACACCTTGTAGCAATCAGTATAACAATGCCCTTTTACAGCAGATTAAATTATTGAAGTGACTTGTTCAAAGTAGCAGAGGAAGATAAAAGCATAAGCGTGTTTTGCTGTACAGAATTGTGAAAATGGAATCCCCGTTCCTAGGGACCTTAACTTTTAGTAGTGGAAAAGCAACTTAGGCAGGCAAATAATTCAGAGATTTGGTATTGTTTAGTCCAAAGTTAGTGTTTGAATGAATATAAGGTAGTGAATGAAATTTGGAGAATCTGTTGTTCAAACTTTTAAAAAGTTAAATAGTATTACCTTAAATATAGGAACACATTTTCTCATTTTGTATTCTTTGAATTTTTATTTATTTTAAACTTTGTAATTATTTTTTGTTTTTTGGTTTTTTTTTTTTTGAGACAGAGGCTCACTCTGTTGCCCAGGCTGGAGTGCAGTGGCAATCTCAGCTCACTGCAACCGCTACCTCCTGGGTTCAAGCAATTCTCTCCTGCCTCAGCCTCCTGAGTAGCTAGGATTACAGGCACGCACCACCACACCTGGCTAATTTTTGTATTTTTAGTAGAGACGGGGTTTCACCATGTTGGCCAGGCTGGCCTCAAACTCCTGACCTCACGTGATCCGCCCACCTTGGCCTCCCAAAGTGCTGGGATTATAGGCGTGAGCCACCACACCTGGCTTAAACTTTGTAATTTTTATTTCTTTTCTTTTCTTTTTTTCTTCTTTGTTTTTTTGAGACAGTGTCTTGCTCAGTTGCCCAGGCTGGAGTGTAGTGGCACAATCACGGCTCACTGCATCCTTGACCTTTTGGGCACAAGCGATCCTCCCACCTCAGCCTCCTGAGTAGCTGGGACCACAGGCATGCCCACCATGCTTGGCTAATTTTTAAAAATTTTTCTGTAGACTCAGGGTCTCCCTGTGTGGTCCAGGCTGGCCTCAAACTCCTGGGCTCAAGCCATCCTCCTGCCTCTGCTTCCCAAAGTTCTGGGATTACAGGCATGAGCCACTGTACCTGGCCTGAACTTTGTAATTTTGTAAGAACATTTTAAGAAAATGCTAATTGGAAAATTATCATCTCTACTCTTTTTCCTGTCAAATATTATATACATCATTTATAATTTATTTTAGCCTTCTAATACTTAGTATTAATACAGTGAGAACTGGTGGTGGTACTTCAGTGTTCCAAACTCAGTCTACTGCTTTTCTTGGAAAAGATGATGAAAATAACTACTTTAATGTTTGTGGTTATTGCTCTTTTCTAGTATCTGAATTTTAAAAATACATTGTATAGAGTTATGTTTACTCATATAACAAATTTTAGATTTTGTTCTTACAATGTATTTCCAAAACAAGTAACATTACTATTCCTATTTCTTAGTAACTTGTGTAACTCAAGATCAGAAAATTTATATTGATCAGACCTTGAAATCAGGGTTAAGCATTCACATTTGAACAAAGGATAGGTTTCTTGAGTATTTTCTCTGTAGTTCATTCCTTATGTATTTCTTACTGTGCTCATCCAAATTTTCTCATTTCTTTGGTTCAACTTTCAGTACTTTGTGAGCTCTCTCATTAGGTGCAATATGTTTATAATTTTTATCCCTTCCTGTTGGATTGACTCTTAATGTCCTTCTTTATCTTTTTTTAATTTTTGAGATGGGGGGTTTCACTGTGTTGCCCAGGCTGGAGTGCAGTGGTGTGATCTCATTGCACTGCAACCTTCGCCTCCTGGGCTCAGGCAGTCCTCCTGCCTCAGCCTCCCAAGTAGCTAAGATCATAGGCATGCACCACGATGCCTGGCTACTTTTTTGTATTTTTGATAGAGACAGGTTTTCACCATGTTGCTCAGGCTGGTCTCGACCTCCTGGGCTCAAGTGATTCACCTGCCTTGGCCTCCCAAAGTGCTGGGATTACAGGTGTCAGCCACTATACCCAGCATCCCTCTTTACCTTTAGTAATTGATTTTTGATTACCAATTACTGACTATTGGTTATTGATAGTGATTATTAATAAAGTCCACATTCAGATTTTTTTAGTTTTTTACCTTATACTTTTAAAAGTCTTAACATCTAGTTTGTTTGATTTTAATATAGCCATTCCAGCTCTCTTATGCATTTATATCTTTATCCTTTCAATTTCCACTTATTTATAGCTGAATGTAAAATACGCCTCGCATAGACAACATATAGTTGAATCTTTTTTTTTTTGAGACGGAGTCTCGCTCTGTCGCCATGCTGGAGTGCAGTGGTACAATCTCAGCTCACTGCAACCTCTGCCTCCCGGGTTCAAGCGATTCTCCTGCTGCCCCAGCCTCCTGAGTAGCTGGGACTACAGGCATGTGCCACCACGCCCAGCTAATTTTTGTATTTTTAGTAGAGATGGAGTTTCACCATGTTGGCCAGGATGGTTTCGATCTCTTGACCTCGTGATCCGTCCACCCTGGCCTCCCAAAGTGCTGGGATTACAGGCGTGAGCCACTGCACCTGGCCCTGAATCTTGTTTTTTAATTTTAATTTTTATTATTATTTTTTGAGACGGAGTCTCGCTCTGTCACCGAGGCTGGAGCACAGTGTTGTGAGCCGGATTCAAGAGATTCTCCTGTGTCAGCCTCCCGAGTAGCTGAGACTGCAGGCACGTGCCACCACGCCTGGCTAATTTTTGTATTTTTAGTAGAGATGGTGTTTTGCCATGTTGGCCAACCTGGTCTTGAACTCCTGACTTCAAGTGATCTGTCCACCTTGGCCTCCCAAAGTGCTGGGATTACAGACATGAGCCACTGCACCTGGCTGAATCTTTTTAAAATCCAGTCTGACAATCTTTGCATTTTGATTGGATTGTTTAATCCTTTCACATTTAATATAGTTATTGATATGTTTGGATTTACATCTATTATTTTGCTGTTTGTTTACTGTATTTTTCATTTTGTTGTTTTGTTTTTCTGTTTCTCCTTTACTGTTTTATTTTGTATTAAGGGAAGAATTTCAAGTGTAACATTTTAATTTCTTTAATGATTTTTTTTTAGTTTTTTTGGAGTTATTTTCTTAGTGTTGCTCTAGGACTTACCACATACATGCTTATCAGAATCTACTTCAGATGTATGCTAACTTAACTCCAGTAAGATATAGAAACCGTTCCTTCCATGTAGCTCTATTCTCTCTTCCTTTTTGTGATGTTATTATACATGTCTTATTTATGTTAAAACCTGAGATATGTTGTTAAAATGATAACTTTATATAATTTCATATTTTAAAGAAGCTGGGAGAATAAAGGAGAGGAAGTATATATTTGTAGTTTGTTATATTAACTTTCTTATTTACCATTTCTGGTTTCCTTAATTTTTGAAGAAATTTGAGTTACCATCTGGTATCATTTCCTTACTCCAGTATAGCTTTGTTCCCACCCACCTCCTTTGTGCTTTAGTGGCCCTTTAACAAAAATTCGTGTGGAGTCATGTTACTGTCTAGTGTCACTTGTTTTCAGTATGTAAAACTTCCTTTAGTATTTTTTGTAAGTTGGATCTTCTAGCAATGAATTCTCTCAAGTTTTCATTTATCTGGGAATGTCTTTATTTTGCCATCATTTTTGAAACATAGTTTTGTTGGATATGAAATTCTTGGTTGACAAGTTTTTTTTTTTCCTTTTCTTTCATCGCTTTGAATGTGTCATCTTACTGCCTTCCAGTCTCCATCGTTTGTTTCTTTTCTTTCCTTTTTTTTTTTTTTTTTTGAGATGGAGTCTCACTCACTTTGTCGCCCAGGTTGGAGTGCAGTGGTGCTATGTCAGCTCACTGCAGCCTCTGCCTCCCGGGTTCAAGTGATTTTCCTGCCTCAGCCTCCCAAGTAGCTGGGATAACAGGCATGCACCACCACACCTGGCTAATTTTTGTAATCTTAGTAGAGATGGGGTTTCACCATGTTGGCTAGGCTGGTCTCAAACTCCTGACCTCAAGTGATCTGCCCACCTCGGCCTCCCAAAGTGTTGGGAGTACAGGTGTGAGCCACCGTGCCTGGCCAATCTCCGTTGTTTCTAATCAGAAAGTCAGCTATTAATTTTATTGAGGATTCTTCTTATGTGATAAGTTGTTTTTCTCTTGTTGCTTTCTTTTTTTTTTTTTTTCTTAAATATATATTTTGTTGTTGTTGTTGTTTTTGAGATGGAGTCTGGCTCTGTTGCCCAGGCTGGAGTGCAGTGGTGTCATCTTGGCTCACTGCAACCTCTCCCTCTCGGGTTCAAGTGATTCTCCTGCCTCAGCCTCCCGAGTAGAGTAGCTGGGGCTACAGGTGTGCACCACCATGCCCCGCCAATTTTTGTATTTTTAGTAGAGACGGGGTTTCACTATGTTGGCCAGGCTGGTCTTGAACTCCTGACCTCAAGTGATCTGCCTGCCTTGGCCTCCCAAAGTGCTGGTATTACAGGCATGAGCCACCACACCTGGCCTTAAATGTATTTTTTGATATAGAGATGGGGTCTTGCTGTGTTGACCAGGCTGGTCTTGAACTCCTGGCCTGAAGCAATCCTCCTATCTTGGCCTCCCAAAGTGTTAGGATTATAGGTGTAAGACACCGTGCCTGGCCTCTCCTGCTGCTTTCAAGACTTTCTATGCCTTTCAGCATTTTGACTATGATGTTTCTGGGTGTGGATCTCTTTGTGTTTATTGTATTTGGAGTTTGTTGAGTTTCTTGGATATGTAGTTAAATGTTTTTCATCACATTTGAGAAGTTCTCAGCCACTATTTCTTTTTTTTTTTTTTTTTTTTTTTGAGATGGAGTCTCACACTCTCGCCCAGGCTGGAGTGCAGTGGCACGATCTCCGCTCACTGCAAGCTCCGCCTCCCAAGTTCACGCCATTCTCCTGCGTCAGCCTCCCTAGTAGTTGGGACTACAGGCACCCGCCACCATGCCTGGCTAATTTTTTGTATTTTTAGTAGAGACGGGGTTTCACTGTGTTAGCCAGGATGGTCTCGATCTCTTGACCTTGTGTTCCGCCCACCTCGGCCTCCCAAAGTGCTGGGATTACAGACGTGAGCCACCACGCCCGGCCAGCCACTATTTCTTAAGTATTTTTTTCTGTTCTTTCTTCTCCTCTGGTATTCCCATTACATGTATGTTGTTGTGTATTAGTCCAGGCTCTCCAGAGAAACAACCAAAAGGGGATGATGAGATAGATAGATATGTTTAGTGGTATCCCATTTTTCTCTGAGGTTCTGTTCATTTTTCATTTTTTTCTGTGTTCTTCAGATTGCATAATCTCTATCAATCAGTCTTCAAGTTCACTGATTCTTCTGCCAGCTGAAATCTATTCATCTCCTCTAGTGAGTTTTTAAAAATAAGCTTCATAATTTAGAATAGGTTTTGGTTTACAGAAACATTGCAAAGATAGTGGAGAGTTTCCATGTACCCCACATGTAGTTTTCCCTATTATTAACATCTTATATTGGTATGATACATTCATTCTAATTAATAAACCATATTGTTAGTGATTATTGATTACTGATATTCAAAGTTCATACTTTATTCAAATTTCCTGTTTTAATCTAATGTCTTTTTTTTTCTGCTCTAGGATCTCATGTAGGATATCACATTACATTTAGTTGTCATATCTTCTTAGACTCCTCTTGGCTGTTACAGATTCTCAGACTTTCTGTGTTTTTGATGAACAGTTTTGAGTAATACTGCTTAGGTGTTTTGTGGAGTATCCCTCAGTTGGGATTTGTCTGATGTTTTCCTTGTGATTAGACTGGTGTTGCAGGTTTTTGGGAGGAAGACCACGTAAGTAAAGTGTCATTTTCATCACATCGTATCAAAGGGACATACTATCAACATGCTTATCACTATTGATGTTAATTAACCTTGATCACCTGGCTGAGGCGGTGTTTGTCAGGTTTCTGCATTGTAAAACTACTCTTTTTCTCCCTTTCCATAATGTCCTCTTTGGAAGAAAGTTACTATGTGCAGCCCACATTTAAGGACTATGGAGTTATGTTCCACCTTATTGAAGATGGGGTATTTACATAAATTATTTAGAATTCTTCTGCACAGGGGATTTGTCAACTCTGACTCTCTCATTTACTTATTTAAAAAATCATTATGGACTCATGGATTTCTTTTTAATACTTTGGTTAATAATCCAAATGTAGTACTACTTTATTTTGTTGCTAAAATTGTCCCTGCTTTGGCTACTGGGGGCCCCTTCAGTTAACTAGTGTGATTTGACATAGCACACTTCTTCTTCCTTCTTCCTTTCTTCTTTCTTCTTCTTCCTCTTCCTCTTCTTTCTTCCTTTTTTTTTTTTTTTTTGGAGAGGAAGTCTCGTTCTATCCCCTAGGCTGGAGTGCGGTGGCGTGATCTCCGCTCACTGCAACCTCCACCTCCTGGGTTCAAGCGATTCTCCTGTCTCAGCCTCTTGAGTAGCTTGGATTACAGGTGTGTGCCACCACGCCTGGCTAAATTTTTGTATTTTTAATAGAGATGGGGTTTCACCATGTTGGCCAGGCTGGTCTCCAACTCCTGACCTCAGATGATCCACCCGCCTCGGCCTCCCAAAGTGTTGGGATGACAGGCGTGAGCCACTGCGCCTGGCCTTCTTTTTTCTTTCTCTCTTTCTCCTCCTCCTCCTCCTTCTCTCTCTCTCTTTTTTTTTAAACCTACTTCTTTATTTTCTGGCACTAGAATATGCTCCAGGCTCATCTTGTACATTTTTATGCCCCAGTCCTAGTTTCAGCCATTTCACCAAAGAGTCCTGGTTTCTTTCTTTCTTTCTTTCTTTCTTTCTTTCTTTCTTTCTTTCTTTCTTTTGAGGCAGGGCGTCACTCTCACCCAGGCTGGAGTGCAGTTGCATGATCGCGGCTCACCACAGCCTTGACCTCCTAGGCTCAGGTGATCCTCCCACCTCAGCCTCCAGAGTAACTGGGGCTACAGGTGCGGGCCACCACACCTGGCTAATTTTTGTATTTTTTTTTTTTTTTTGTAGAGAAGGGGTTTTACCATGTTGCCCAGGCTGGTCTCGAACTCTTGGGCTCAAGTGATCTGCCCGGCCTGTCTCCCAAAGTGCTAGGATTACAGACATGAGCCACTGTGCCCGACTCCTGGTTTATTTTTATCACAGAATGGTATTAGAAAGCAGGATCTAGGTGCTAGGTGGGTGCTAATGAATCTTTCATTTTGGTTATTTACTTTCCTATTCCAGAATTTCCATTTGGTTCCATTTTCAGTATTCTCAGCCTTCCTTGCCTGGGGTAGAGGTGCTGCCCTATAAATGAGGCTAGGTGGAGGTAGCTCTGCTTGACCGGAATAGTTCCTGCAACATGAAACAGAGGCTGCGAGGGGTGGCAGGGGATGTGAAATTCTGGTAACCTACTGCTCCTGGGGAGAAACTTTCGTCTTGGCTACACTCACTGGGCATAGAGCTGGGGGTGAGGGAGAGGGAATGGGCATGTAAGGAAGTGAGTCCTGGTTCAAATTTTTCCAACTTGGTCTTTTTACCAAGATTCAGTAGATTTTCTTGACTAAATATTGCTGCGTTTGCCCCATGTCCTTAGGGCAATTTCTGCAGACTGTAAATAGTTTCTTCTCTTTCCTTCTTTTTTTGTATCCTTTGTACCAGTTAAGGTTGTTTTGCTGAGGAGAGGGTCCAGGGTCCACATGGACCACCTCACACTGCCATTCTGGAAGTGCTTTTCTTTGGTTTAATTTTGTTGGAATAAAGTATTACTTATGGAAACAGCATTAGGTAAATATATTTCACGTATTCTAAATAGTAATCTTCATTGCCCCATCTTGTTTTCTATATCCTTTGATACTAATTTATAACAACAGTTCTTTAGAATTTAGACACTAACTCACCTCTTCTCTTTGTATTTTATCTTTTGAGAATGAAGCTTCATTTTATTTTTCATAGCCCTGGCAGACTACTTCCATTTATAGTCCTGTAACCATCCCTTTTGTGTGTGTATTGTTTCTGTGATGTCTTTCATGAAACTTCTTAGGGCTAAAGGTAATTGAAGCACATTTGCTTTTCCTCCCACTCAAATGTTTTTATTTCCTTCAAACAAATACCTTAGCAATTCTGCATCTAGATGTTCTTCAATTTGTCAGTTCTTGTTTTTTTTTTTTTTTCTTGGCACAACAGAAGATGTTCTATTTCATACAGTTAATGAAAGGTATCTTTACTTACGTAACTATAAATGATCAATAATGATGATAGTGCAATGCAATTTCAGAAGTTGTTCTAGATTTAGCATAGTTCTAAATTGTTGAGGCCGAGTAGAAAAATTTTCAGTGATATTGTTCAACTTGATAAAGTAACATTACTTTGCAGATAATATAATTGTCATCAGAACTGGCAAGACTAAAATTGTTTGCTTTAAAATATTTTATTTTCCTTAATAAAAATATTGCTTTAAAAATGTTAATGACATTTCATGAATCTATTCTTTTGGGCATTGACATAAATTACTGGTCTCATTTGGGGAATCCATTTAAATGTAGGCTCTTTGAGATGATATAATAAATCCCTCTTTCTAAAGTTATTGGCCTTCTTATTACATCATCTATTGTGTTTCATTAGTGTTATCTTTTAATTAGTAATAATCTCTATTATGTGGCTTCTATGCATCAGAGGCTTTATATAATCTTGAATCCTCTTCATTAGCCTATAAGTAGGTGGTATCAGTTCTTCTTAATGAATGAGAAAATAGGCTTGAAGGGACTACATAACTTGCTCATGGTCACATAATTAGTGAGGGATGACACCCAGATGTGTCAGTATTCTCAAAAGACTAGAAAGAAGGGTCCAGGTAGAGGAAGGGTTTGTGGCAAAAGCAGTGCATGGACTGCTTGTTCATCATCTTTTTTTTTTTGAGATGGAGTCTCGCTCTGTTGCCCAGGCTGGAGTGCAGTGGCACAATTTTGGCTCACTGCAACCTCTGCCTCCCGGGTTCAAGCAATTCTCTGCCTCAGCCTCCCAAGTAGCTGGGATTACAGGCACCCAACACCACACCTGGCTAATTTTTTTTTTGCAATTTTAGTAGAGACGGGGTTTCACCATGTTGGCCTGGCTGGTCTTGAACTCCTGACCTCGTGATCCACCCGCCTCGGCCTCTCAAAGTGTTGGGATTACAGGTGTGAGCCACCTCACCTGGCCTCATCATCTTAATTGGTCTTGGATTGTTGAAATAAGTTTTCATCTTCTAAGGAGGACATATCAAAATCTAGAAACTAAAAAGTTAAAAAAAATTTTTATGTTAGCCTAAACAATTGAAAATAGCAGATAACAAACAATATTTAAATTTGAAATGTCTGTGGGTTTCTATATTGAATCCTGTGTCTATGATTATATAAACTAGGAGTTACTTCAAGGAAAATGATGACACCACATTGAGAAGTAGGCTCCTTAGTCACCAGGAGGCTATCTGATTTTCCCACTTACTCTATTGTGAATGGAGAAGAATCCTTTGGTCAAGCCAGAGCATAGCTCCTCCTCAGCTGATTAGGAGACCTGGAGATGAGATCTGTTTCCTCTTTGCTATAATGAATGTGTAGGGTTTATTCTCTCTATCAGATTCTGGATTCCCTGAAAACAAAGATGGTGGTTTGTATTTCAATGCACTTTACATGTCATTTGCATGAAATGAGAAGCGCAAGTAACTAACTAGTTGGTATTGTGGAACTATAAAATAGAATGCAGTATTGTTTACAAGTTCATTCTCTGTTAGATACTGTTATAAATATGCATAATCAATTCTTTTTTTTTGGGGGGGGGACAGTCTCGCCCTGTCGCCCAGGCTGAAGTGCAGTGGTGGCGCGATCTCGGCTCGCTGTAACCTCTGCCTCCTGGGTTCAAGTGATTCTCCTGCCTCAGCCTCCTGAGTAGCTGGGATTATAGGAGTGTACCACCATGCCCAGCGAATTTTTGTATTTTTAGTAGAGATGGGGTTTCACAATATTGGCCAGGCTGGTCTCGAATTCCTGACCTCAAGTGATCCACCTATCTTGGTCTCCCAAGGTGCTGGGATTACAGGCATGAGCCACCACCACTCCTGGCTGCATAATCAATTCTTAATTATTTATGAATTGTTAGAATGGTTTATCCCAAGCCCATTTCTTTCTCTGTATCTTTTTTTTGTTTGTTTTTGACACAGGATCTCAAAAATCATCACTAGATGGTAAATCTGTAGGGAATTATTATTTTGAGTCAGGATCTTCCTCTGTCATCCCGGCTAGAATGCGGGGGTGGTGGGGGGCAGGATCTCTCCTCACAGCAGCCTCTGTCTTTCAGACTCAAGCGATCCTTCTACCTCAGCCTCCTGAGTAGCTGGGACCACAGGGACATACCACCATGCCCGGCTGACTTTGTAATTTTTAGTAGAGCCAGGGTCTCGCCATGTTGCCCATAATAAATAACAACTAAGACCTCATAGTTGTCAGTCATGTAATATTATTTTCCATTTGCTCCATCTCTATTCCCAGTTTCAGTTAGTAGAGTCCTGATATACCCAGTAGTCAAGGCAGAATTTTTTTTTCTTTTTTTTTTTTAATATAATTTTTGATTTTACAAACCCTGGCCTACAGGTCACAGCAGAAATTTTAGCATCATTTTAGACTTTTCCATTTCTCATTCATCAACTATTTTTAAATTGTCGCTGTGTCTTTTGATTACATCTCTTAAATATCTCAACTTTATCTGCCTTTCTTTGTTCCCACTGTTGCTGCTTTAGTTTAAATTTCATCATTTTGTGCCTGGCCTCTATAAATCAGTAGCTTTCTGACTAGTGTCTGCCCTAACTCTCTTCCTGCCTCCATGGTGATTTTTCTGAAGTATAACACTGGTAAAATGCTCAACTTAAACCTTCTCTTGATTTCTTGTTGTCTATGGCAGTAGCCTTCAAACTTCTTGTAAGGCAGTTAGACCCCTTCTTCAAATATAGGGTGTCAACAAAATTTCAACAAATTGAGTCTCAGAGATCTGATTGGGTTTTATTAACGATTCATGGACCAGGTAGCATCCAGTCTACGAAACAGAAAGAGCTCTAATGACCTAGACTTAGTGGGTACATTTTGTATGCACAAAAAAGTGGAGGAAAGCAGGACCAAGGATCAAATAGTGGGTTGGTCATTTCAAGGTTACTTTCCTTATAGGGAATCTTGGCTTAAGGGAATTTAGCTATCATCTTTCTCCTGATTTCTTAGGTGGTCAGATTTTACAAGTAAATAAGTTAGGTTTTGGTTTGGTAACTTGGAACCTTAGCCTGAGTGACTCCATTTGGGCCTGCTGTTCTTTCTTTAACTAAGGCAAATACAATGTTTAAAATAGATTTTTTTTAAAAAGAGAGAGCGCAACACTATTGTCTGATTGAAGCAGGACAGGAATGTAGGAACTCTGCTTTTGCTTCTACCTTTCTCAAAAAGCCCCTTGAGCCATATAGGGCAAAGTTTGAAAACCACCATCCTGAAGCAGAACCTAGACTTCTTAGCATGGTATAGAAGCCTTTTATGATTTTGTCCATGCCTTTTTTCGTGTTATTCCTGGACTTTTGCCCTGGATTTCAGATATGCTGCATTACTTGCATTCACCGAACACTCATTTTTTTTGCCTATATTTTTGCACAAACTTTTCATAGAATGCCTTTACCCATTTTGTCTATCAGCTAAACTTCTGTTCTTGTCTCAAGTATTAATTCAGATATCACCTCTTCAATGAAGCTTTCTCTGATTTTCCAAGTCAAAGTTAATCTTTTTTTTCTGCTTTTCTAGTATCTCTTCACATTGGAAAGCAGGAAGACTTTGTTATATGTGATTCAGCACTAGTAGCTTGAACTTACAACCTGTTATATGACTTACAATATTTGCATTTAAAATGCCTGAACCAAACTTTTGCCAACATTTAATTGTCTATTTTTTGCTTTCTCATGAAAGAAAATGTCAGATGTTTTGCTTAAAAAGCGGTCAAGCACAATGGCATATAGCCTTAACTTGGTTATGAAATTGGGCAATTAAATCTTTTCATTTTAGGTAAAGTCCTTTATATTCTGTGGTATTGTAGATGGCATTATTAAAGTACTGAAGTTTCCTTTTGTTATCTATTTTAAAGGATTGAATATGTACTATGATTATCATGTATTGTGACTCGCATAAAGAGTAGCAAATTTATGACATGATTGGTTCCCTTCAATCAAGGCACCTTGTTGAAACTCTTTTGAGGAAATTTTTCATTCAGATTTATCTTTAATGCAGCTTCCAAATAAGTGCTTGATGAATATTTTATTTAATGAGTAAATTGTGAATTACCTTGTGGTCGAAGATATTGTCTCCTTATTCACTACTTTATTCTCTCCTCCTTCTCCATATTCCACTTAGCTACATCTTTCTCCTCATTCCTAAAAAAAAAAAAATCTCTAAATATCTTGGTGCATAAGAAAAGAAGAAAGACCAGTGAATTTTCTTGTTTCTTGCCTGCTTTAAGAGGTGGAATTGACTGTAGATAAGAATTGTGGTTAGGCTAAATATTGCATATATGAACAGCAAGCATGCCATAATAGATGCTTAATAAATGTTTGTTGAATTTGAGTAGGGTAGATCTTAGGCTCTCAGTGCTTTAAATGATTACTGAGATTTGAGGATTTCTTCACTTTGCCATTGAATAAACTTAAGGCTTAGAGAGGTAGAAGTGGCTTTGCAGATTTCTGGTGAATAGGAATTTTTCAATAATTAGAACGATCTGAAATTGGAGTGAGCTGTTTTGTTTTGTTTAGACAGGATCTTCCTCTGTCACCGGAGTGCACTAGTGATCATAGCTTACTGCAGGCTTGAACTCCTAAGCTCAAGCTATCCTTCTGTGTCAACCTCCCAAGTAGCTGGGACTACAGGCATGGACCAGCACACACGGCTAATTTTTGAAATTTTTTGTAGAGACAAAGCCTCGCTGTGTTGCCCAGGCTTGTCTTGAACTCCAGGCCTTAAACAGCCCTCCTGCCATGGCCTCCCAAAGTGCTGGGTTTAGAGGCATGAGCCGCTGTGCCTGGCTGTGAGCTGTTTTTGTAGGCACTAAGTTTCATATCACACCTGGCACGGTGGCTCATTCCTGTAATCCCAGCACTTTGGGAGGCTGAGGCGGGAGGATCACTTGAGGTCAGGAGTTCAAGACCAGCCTGGCCAACATGGTGAAACACTGTCTGTAGTAAAAATACAAAAATTAGCTGGGCGTGATGGCGTGTGCCTGTAATCCCAGCTACTTGGGAGGCTGAGGCAGGAGAATCTCTTGAACCCGGGAGGCGGAGGTTGCAATGAGCCTAGATCCCCCTACTGCACTCCAGCCTGGGCGACAGAGTGAGACTCCGTCTCGGGGGAAGAAAAAAAATCACTTCCTAGCTAGACCAATGTGAAAAAATTATTTGTTTGAGCTCTTGTTTTGATATTAACATGATGTAGCTAAGTGGTATTTTTCTGCTAATTGACCTTTTGAAATTCAAATACTACTTAATTCTATTATGGAACAGTAGAGGAAATGGGGATTCTGGCCAGAGAAAACAAGGAAAAAGTACCTCTTGAAGGTACTTGACAGTGAAATGATGAAACCTAAAATGTTGAGATGAATTGCAACAAAACTTTGATATTTAATAATGCATTTGAAGGGAGGCCCTGTTCTGTTGATGAGGCAGACCATCAAGAGCAGTGTAGACGTTGCCAACTCATAATGGCAAGCTAAGAGTTCAGGATTTTCAACTGAATTTATTAAATCTGGATATTCAAAATTTTTGTCATTTTGCCATATATTGGGGGTGTCTTAATTAAAGGGATTTTATGTAGTTCAAAATAAATGTTACAATTGTTGTATTATACTAGTACTATGAAGATGACTATGATAAGAGTGTCTTTTGTATGCTAATTGGGTGACTCCTGGCAGAACCTCCTAGATAGCTTCTGATGGGGGCTGGTCAACCAGAAAGAAGAAGGCACTATTAGAGATTTAGGACTTTCATCTTCACCCCAGACTTTCTGGGAGGGGAAAAGGGAAGGAGAATGAGCTCAATCACCAATGGCTAGTGCTTTAATCAGTCATGCCTACATAATGAAACCTTCCTAAATGATGGTGCCCTGGAGCCTTGTGGGTTGGTGAACACACTGTAAAGCAAAACAAAATTCTAAGCCGCCCAGCCAACTGAATGAAACCCTCCTCTCAGCCAAGGGCACTCTAACCTGAATGCTAGTTCAGGCCATGATAGGAAAGACATGCCTCATTATACCTTTGTCCCTTTGGAATTCAGGCATGGCTAACCAGCATTAATGTTAAAACAGACTCTTTGTAGCAGTAAGATACCAACATGATACATAAAATGTATCACACTTTGTAGCAGTAAGATACCAACATGATTGCAGGCCCTGAAAGAAATAGAAGTATTTTACCCTGAAATATATTTCTCTATTTTGAAATGGCCCTGGCAAAGCTGTCTCTCATGGGGAAAAAAATCTACATTCTATAGATAATCCCCTTCCCTTTCCAGGTCTTTTTCCTGGTCCAGGAGAGAATACTGTCTGGCACCTTTTTAAGTCTGTTTTTTTTGGGAACAAAGTCTCCGCTCTGTCACCCAGGCTGGAATGCAGTGGCATGATCTTGGCTCACTGCAACCTCCGCCTCCCAGGTTCAAGCAATTCTCGTGGTATTTTTTAAAGACCTGGGGTGGGGACAGGGGATTCTCCTGCCTCAGCCTCCCGAGTAGCTGGGATTACAGGCATGCGCCACCACGCCCGGCAAGTTTTTGTATTTTTAGTAGAGACGGGGTTTCTCCATGTTGGCCACGCTGGTCTTGTACTCCTGACCTCAAGTGATCCTCCCGCCTCAGCCTCCCAAAGTGCTGGGATTACAAGCAGGAGCCACTGCACAGACTGCCTTCTTAAGTCTGATAAGAAACATTTACAATCTGTTCCATAGGAAGCCTCTGCATAATAAGAACCTTGGTCTCCACAACCCCTTATCTTAACCCAAATCATAGAAGGGAGATTCTATTGATTCCAGGTCTTTAGGTAAACTCAACCAATTGCCAATCAGGAAATCTCTGAATCCACTTATGACCTGGAAGCACCCCCCTCCCCACCTTTGAGTTATTCTACCTTTCTGGACCAAACCAATGTACATCTTACATGTATTGATTGATGTCTTATGTCTCCCTGAAATGTACAAAACCAAGCTGTAGGGGGCCAGGCGTGGTGGCCTTATACCTGCAATCCCAGCACTTTGGGAGGCTGAGGCGGGAGGATCACTGGAGTCCAGGAATTGGAGACCAGCTGGGCAACATGGTGAGACCTCTTCTCTACCCCCAACTCTCCCTCAAAATAATAGTAATTAAAACCAAGCTGTAGCCTGACCACCTTGGGCACATATATATTCTCAGCATCTCCTGGGGCTGTATCACAGTTCGTGGTCTTCATATTTCGCTCAGAATAAATCTCTTAAAATATTTTAGAGTTTGACTCTGTCAAAATCATCGAGGTGCTGGGAGGCTGGTGTGCTCTGAGAAGGCACGGAAGGCCTGTGCTGGCTCCCCAACCCCTCATACCTTGCCCTGTGCATCTCTTCCATTTGGCTGTTCCTGAGTTGTATCCTTTATAAGAAGCTGGTAGTAAATGTAAGTAATGCATTTCCTTGAGTTCTGTGAGTCACGCTAGCAAATTATCAAACTTGAGGAGAGTGAGTTGTGGGAACCCCCAAATTTGTAGCCAAGTTGGATAGAAGTATGAATAGCCTGGGGACCTGGGACTTGTGACAGGAATCCGAAGTGAGGGCAGTTTTGTGAGACTGAGTCCTTAAACCTGTGGATTGAATTGAAGGATACTCAGTTGGTGTCAGAGAATCAGAATTGGTGTTGGAAAAGATACCACGCATTTGCTGTCTGGGGAAAAAAAAAAAGCCCTCAGGTAGGCACATGAATCTTCAGCTTACAAATGGAAACGTACCAAAGCTTCAAGAGACTGCTGAGCTCATCATTAAGGTAGTATGCGGGAAAGCTATAACTCAAAAGTGCTCTTAACCATATCTTTTTAAAAAATTGTATCCTCTTTGAGGGAAAGAATCTATCTTTTCTTTTTTAAATTGTTATTATTTATTAGTCAGCTTCTCAGATCTCTTTGGAATTTAATTGAATGCTTTTATCAATTAATGGTCTTGATGAAATTGCTTGTATTTTTGACTATTATTTGTATGGCCAAAGTAATTTTACGTACCCTTCTGAAGTTAGCAGCACAAACAATTGAGGAAGTGCAAAGATTTTCGCTTGATTTTTCTTCAGTTTCTTCTATATTTTAAATAGGACACAAATATCTCTGTAAATAAAAATAACTTCCAATACATTTGGAAAACATCCCAGACTTCCTGTCCATGCCTCGCAAAGTTGCTGCTGTCTAGTCATTATTACTATGTTTTTTCCCTTTGACATAAGTGACCCTCACAGGAATAGCTTCATCACCAGCTGTTTGGCCAGTGGTATTCCACTTACTTTGTTTTTCCTGTTTCTCTGAAATATGCTGAAAGATAATCACTCCGTGCCTTCCCTTGTTTAGAATGAATTTACTCAATTGCTCTGGAAGCTTACCTTGGTAAATGATTTGGAACCGTAATGAAAAAAGAGGGTAGGCTTTATATATTTTATATTGGTGCCTTAGGAATTGACATTTATTTATTGAGGATTTTTGTGCTCATTTTCAATTTGAAAGGGTCCTAGTGTTTAGAATTAAATTGTGGGACTTGAAAGCTAAAAAGGAACTTGGAGATCGTCCAACTGAGGAGCCTTATTTTTTAAATGAGGAAACAAAAGTTGTCAAGATCAACCATAAATCTGATAGTTTGGCTTGGTGAAAGAAACCTAGGTTTCAGAAAATCTCTCATGTAGTTTGCAGTTTATAGCCACAAGGACCAGGAGTCTGAAGACTTGATAAGAGGGTCTGTTTTTCAAAATATTAACAAAGTTTAGCCTGGAAGCTCCCTTTGTGAATTTTCCATGTCATTGACAGTGTTTGAAATCTCGTCATGTCTTCAGGATCAATAACCTCTACCATGTACTTTTATACTTTTTAATTAGCGGATTTTCAAACTTTTAAAAACAGTAACTCCTTTTTTTCAATATAATCTTATATTGAACCACAGGATACAAAAAAGATACGTGATATTTAATTAAAATAGTTTTAAGCACAATTTTAATTTGTTGGATAATAAATTAATGATGACATAGCTAAAATTTATGAAATGCTGATTAGAGTACTGTACATACATATTTCACTTCTCTCTCTAGCTTAAAATATTTGAATGGGTGTACTGTAATTCATTTAACTAGGCCCTTGTTGATGTGTATTTAGACTGTTTCCATTCTTGTTTTTGCAAACAATGTTGCAGTGAATAATGTATGTATACATTATGTGGTGTGTGTGTATGTGTTTCTGGGGATAAATTCTGGAAATGTAATTGCTGTGTCATTAGAATATGTTTTTAGTTTTGAAGGATTTTATCAAATTGGTTTCCAATTTGATATATATTCCCACCAGCAGTGTATGAGCAAGCTTAATTCTCTCATGCTCTCATCAGCATGGTATGTTATTTTTGGTTTTTGCTAATGTAAAAAATTGTATCTCAGTGTGGTTTTAATCTTCTATTTGTATTATATGTAAATTTGAGTAACTTTTTTATGTTTAAGAGCCATTTGTGTTTCTTTTTCTCTGAACTATTTGTTCATATCACTTTGCCCATTTTAAAAATTGGGTTTCCGCCCCTCTTAATGAGCAGGAGTAGCCTTCTGTGTATTGAGTTTAACTTTGTGATATAAGTTGCAGATTCTTTTCCTCAGGTTTTCATTTCTATTTTTCCTGTAGTTTGTACCTTTTCCATTTTTATGGATATCTAAACTCAACCTTAACTTGACAAATGGAACCTTGGATTTCTATCCTTCCTTTAACCTCCTTCTCTTCTAGTCTTCCTCAGTGAAGAAACAGCACCTCTCATGTGTCTCTACTCATACATAGCCCAAGCCCAAAACCAAGAAGTTATCCTTGCCTCCTCTTTCCCTCCCTCCCTGTCTCTAATCCATCCTCAGTGGTATTGACTTCCTCTCCAACATGTCCCAAATCTATTCATTTCTCTTAATATCCACCAATTTAGTCCATCCTCCCCTTATCTTTCACCTGGGTGGCTGCCATGGCTTCCTAGCTGTTCTACCCCAAAACTGATGTCTCCCGTTCCAGGTACTGAGCCATTCTCTACTCTGTAGCTTATGTGATCTTTTCAAACTGCAAATAATCAGATTGTCATACCACTCCCTGAATCCACCCCTCCTATTCTTGTTCAAAACCCTCCTGTAAGTCCTTATGTCCCATGGCAAAGATTATGCTTCTTGAAATAGCCCAACCTGCTGTTTCTCCAGCCTCACCTTGTACTATGTTATTGACCCCCACCCCTCCCCACCTCACCTGTGGGTCTCTTGTGTCACCCTGTTCCCTCCTGACTTGGGGCTTTAGCATAAATTATTTTCTCCTGGAGCATCCCCCTTCTTCCATGAGTTTATGTTGAATTATTCTACAGGCCTCAGCTCACTAATTGCTTTCTCTAAGAGAGCCAACAACTCTTCCTAATAGGTGGGAAACCCCTGTCATAAGCCCTTCCAGCAACTTATATCTCTTTCATAGCACTAATATTTACTGTTTTATACTTACTGTGTGAGTCTTTGATTAAGCTCTATGAGATAGGGATCTTGTCTGTTTTCTTTACTGTTATGTCCCAGAATCTATCATAGTACCCGGTACATGGTTAGCTCTCAAAACATTGAATGATTGCTTAACTATAAACCCTTAGGTGTAGAGTTTACAGAATGTACTGTTTTGCCCTTTCTGGAAAATGGGACATTTGCTCTTGGCCAGTCTTTGTTCTCCTCTTCTTTTCCCTGTGATTTTCCCAAGACTACTAAATTTCAGCAATTCCATTTTGAAAGTCTTAAAGCATTTCAAACATGAAATTTATCCAGGTCAATGGTCTTGAATTCATTTAAAGCCTGTAGGTGTTCTTCAAGTCTTGGACTTCAGTTCCTTCCATTCCTTTTTCATGTGAAGTTTATTTTTCTTGGAGTTGAGGACAATAACTCAGACCACATTTTCTGACCCACATCAATCCAGCAAAATCTAGGTGGTCCCCAACTTCTGTAAGTTTATTTTAAATTCAGTTACTTAGAATTTGCAGTTCAGAAAATATTACCCCAAAGAAACCGTGTTAAAATTGATCTTTATATTTTCATGAAGATGTCTTCAAAATCCTTTTAACCAATAGGGTATCTGAAATAGTACAGTTTTAGTATGAACTCTGAGTTTCTCTGATCCTATTTTATTGAGGCAGGGTCTTGCTCATCACCCAGGCTAGAGTGCAGTGGCGTGATCATGGCTCTCTGCAGCTTCGACTTCCTGTGTTCAAATGATTCTCCCACCTCAGCCTCCTGAGTAGCTGGGAGTAGCTGGGACTCAGGCATGCACCACCACGCTTGGTTAATTTTTTGTAGATGCAGGGTTTTGCCATGTTGCCCAGGCTGGTCTCAAACTCCTGGAGTCAAGCGATTGGCCTGCCTCAGCGTCCCAAAGTGGTGGGATTACAGGCGTGAGCCAGCGCCCCTGGCTCTGATCCCATTTTAGCTCTGTTTTTCTTTTTCTTTCTTTCTTTTTTTTTGGGGACAAAGTCTTGCTCCGTCGCCCAGGCTGGAGTGCAATGGCAAGATCTTGGCTCACTGCAACCTCCGCCTCCTGGGTTCAAGTGATTCTCCTGCCTCAGCCTTCCAAGTAGCTGGGATTACAGGCATGTGCCACCATACCCCGTTAATTTTTTGTATTTCTTTTTTTTTTAGTAGAGATGGGGTTTTTGCCACGTTGGCCAGGCTGGTCTCTAATGCCTGACCTCAGGTGATCCACCCGCCTTGGCCTCCCATAGTGCTGGGATTACAGGCGTTAGCCACCCAGCCCAGCCTTAGCTCTGTTTTTCAATCTGAATCCAAAGACCCTCATATTAGGAAGGGCTGGGAGTTTAGGAGGATTGGCAGTGCTGGGAGAAGTATCAAGTAGCTGGTAGAAGATACATTGGGTTGATACTGGATTTCCTCCCTTGTGGAAGGATTCTGAAGGTCAAGGGTAGGGAGGCACATAACATATTTGGTAGTTTGAAATTTTTATGCTAGTAAATTGTGTATAACTCATGATAATCAAATATCTGTTTGATTTAATAAGGGGGGACTGAATTATAAAGGATGGATTGATAAATCAAGTTACTCTCCACTTTTGGGAGAATAAAGCAAAATGAAGATCCTATTAATTATGGGTCAGATGGTCCCATCTAGAAAGAAAACTAAGTAGGAGTGCTTCATCTCCTTGCTTGTATTCAGCATGGAGAAGTCTTTACAAAAGGGTAATTAATTAGGGTGTTTTTCACAAGGCCGTGCCTTCCATAGAAATGGTTTTCTTCTGTATGTGGATCTTGAGTTTTAAGATGCTTTCCAACCATTTGAACTCTCTTATTATAACAGAAGTTTAGTCATGTACCAAATGTATTCCTATGCAATTTTCAGTGACAAAATGGTTCTCTCATTTGGATGTGTAAAAACAATGCCAGGAACAAAAACAAAACTCATGATTCAACTGATTTTGTACTCTCTTTGGGAAGAAGAAAAGACCCGTTGAGATGAAGATTATAATTTCAGTAACAAAGAAAACATTCAAGGCCCAGGCAGCTCTTAAATTCAATACTAATAATCTATGAAATAAATTATAAGCCTACGTTTCTGTCAGTTCTTTAGATACCTGCTTGTTTGCTAATACAGAAACATTGCTTAATTTTACATGTATTTTCTTAGTGTGAGTCAAATCCAACCTAAAATGCATTTGGTTATTTGTTTACACAGTTAGTGACTGGTAATCAAAAACGCAAACAATTTTTGAGGGAGTTAGAATCTTCACTTTAGTAGGTACCTTAGAGGGCATCTAGTTTAGTACAGGATTCCTTTCTACCAGGGACAAACTGTTTACAGAGGCCCCTTCCTGCCTCTTGCGAGGTTCCTCCTTGTCTGTTCTGCTTCAGATATACAGGCCTTCTGTGTTCCTTGAATTTATCAAACTCTCTAAGACTCTTTGTACTGCCTTGAACACTCTTCTCATAGCCCTGGTGGCTTGGAATTTTTACATGGGACAGATTTCTCTGAAATACTGCCTTCTCAGACAACCTTCCCCAGATCTCCTACCTAAAGGACCTCTCCCCTTCCCAACTGCCATAACTCTATCATAAGACTCTGTTTTATTTCCTTATAATACTTGTCACTGTCTGAAATTATCATATTTATTGTCTATCTCCTTTAGCTCCATGAGAGCAGGAGCATGGTCCATGTTGTTCACCGCTATATCCTGAAGTATCTACAATAGTGGCTGTCCCATTGTAGGCATCTGACAAGTATGACAAAAATGAGAATGAATGAATAACCATTGATGATTGATCATTTTGTTAATGTTAAAACCAAACTCTGTAAAATATTTTAAAGAGGTTTATTCTGAGCTAATGTGAGTGACCATGGTCTGGGGAACAGTCTCAAGAGCCCTGACAAAATATGTCCTAGGCTATCAGATTGCAGTCTGCTTTTATATGTTTTAGGGAGAGAATTGTAGGTAAAATCATCAGTCAGTACTTGGAGGATGATGTACATTGGTTCAGCCAAGGTAGTGGGGGATCATAGGTGGATTAAAGGATTTTCTGATTCGCAGTTGGTTGAAAGAGTTAAGCTTTTTCTAAAGACTTGAAGTCAGTAGAAAGAAATGGTAAAGTTAAGATAAGGGGGTTGTGGAGGCCAAGGTTCTTGTTATGTAGTAAAGCCTCATAGGTAGCAGCTTTCAGGGAGAATAGATGGTAAATGTCTCTTTTCAGACCTTAAAGGTGTCAGGCTCTCAGTTAATGTCTCCTAGGTTGGGGGAAAGGCCCAGAAAGGGAAGGCTTGGCTGCACTATGGAGATTCTGTTGGCCCCGTGACAGTTATTTTAAAATATGTCAAAGAAATATATTTTGGGGTAAAATATTTTGATTGCCTTCAGGGTCTGCTATTTGTCATGTGATGCTATAACACAGTCAGATTGGAAAGTAAGCCACATTATACTTTATACTAGGTTAATCATCTCTGATGAGGCTTTATGGTTTGTAGGGCGTGACTTAACCCCTGCTTTGCCTGACCTTAGGTGTTGTTTATAATTTGTTATCTTATTGCCACAGTGTCTGGTTTGCCAGTCTTAGGATCGCCATCCAAAAAGAGGGAGTATAACGAGGTATGTCTGACCTCTCTTCCTGGCTGGGAATTCAGTTTTTCAGGTTTCTCTGGGGTGCCCTTGGCCAAGAAGGAGTTTGTTCAGTCAGCTGGGGGGTTTAGGATTTTTTTTTTTTTCTTTTTGAGATGGAGTCTTGCTCTGTTTTCCAGGCTGGAGTGCAGTGGCGCTATCTCGGCTTACTGTAACCTCTGCCTCCTGGGTTCAAGCAATTCTCCTGCCTCAGCCTCCCGAGTAGCTGGGATTGCAGACATACGCCACCACCCCCGGCTAATTTAGGATTTTATTTTTGGTTTACATGTTCCAATCACTACTGAGCTGAAATTTGTCTCCTTTTTGCTTCTACTACTGAACTTAGTTCTGTCCCCTGGAATAAATCACTGGCTCGATTCCATTTTTTCCAAAGTCTTCAGACATTTGGATGTCAGTCATCTCTCACTGAGGCCAAACTCACCTGGTTTCCTTACCAGTTCCTCATCTGGCATGGTTTTAGGTGAGTGGTCACTATCCAGGTTATCAGTTGTTGGCAATTTTTGGTTTTGTTGTTGTGATACCCAGCACTAAACATAGTGCATTATGTGGTGTCTTGAACTTCCGAGAGAGAGAACAGTTAAACTTTCTTGTTTAATGTGATACTGCAATGCTTTGTCTTTGATAAAAATTATTTTTTAATACCATATAAATGACGAAGGAACTATTTATATATGAAATCATTATCAGAAATATTCTGAGGTCTTAAAAGCTTGTTTTATAATGGAATATAACAACGTAGAAATACATTAAACATAAGTATATACTCTAATGAACAATTATAAGTGAATGTCTATTTAACCATCACTCAAGACATAGAAATAGTGCCCCAGGAACCCCTCCTGTGTTGTGTTGTGTTGTGTTGTCTTGTCTAGCCTTTCCCTTTCCCTTTCTCTTTCCCTTTCTTCCTTCCTTTCTTTCCTTTCTTTCTCTGTCACCCCGGCAGTGCACAGTGCACAGTGCACAATCACGGCTCACCGCAGCTGTGATCACCTAGGCTCAAGGAATCCTCCCACTTCAGCCTCCCAAGTAGCTGGGACTAGAGGTGTTCGCCACCAACGCCCAGCTAATTAAAAAAAAAAAAAAAAAGTTGTTGTAGAGACAAGGTCTCATTATGTTGCCCAGGCTGGTCTCAAACTCCTGGGTTTAAGTGATCCTTCCGCCTCAGCCTTCCAAAGTGCCGCCTCAGCCTTCCAAAATGCCGGGCTGCCATATGTCTTTTCTCAATCTCAGTCCCTCCTTAGAGGTAATTAATATCCTGATTTTTTTACAATAAACACTTCCTTGATCACTTTTTTATACAGTTACCACTTACATGTACATACTTAATATAGTTTATAGTTCAGCTTTGCCTGTTTTTAAACTGTATATAAAAGAAACAATGCTGTTGTATCAGTTTTCTGTTGCATAATAACTTACCACATGCTTAGCCATGTTAAGACACCATATATTATTAGCTCACAGTTCTGTAGGTTCCCAGCCTGATCTTTTTATTACTTGTGTTTTCTGTTTCATGAATTTTTGCTCTTACTCATTTCTTTCTTCACATTTTCATTGGGCTCATTTTGTGTTTCTTTTGTTTAGCCTCTTGAGTTTGATGCTTAGTTCATGTTTCCAGTTTTTAGTATTTTCTGATATATGCATATAAGATTCTCAATTTCCTCCTTAAGCATTGTTTTCTTTCTATAGATTTGTATTTTTGTTATTGTTAAGTGTATTATGTTTTCTTCCTTGATTGACATATGGATTATTTTGGGAGTGTATTTATTTCCAAACATAAGAATTATTTTCTAACTACTTCTTTTGTGATTGATCAACTTTAGTTGTGGAAAGAGACCATCCTTTTACTTCAGTCCTTGTAATTTATTTTATTTATTTATTTATTTTTGAGATGGAGTTTTGCTCTGTTGCTCAGGCTGGAGTGCAGTGGCGCCATTTGGCTCACTGCATCCTCTGTGATTCTCGTGCCTCAGCCTCCTGAGTAGCTGGGACTACAGGCACGTGGTCATCACACCTGGCTAAGTTTTGTGTTTTTAGTAGAGACAGGATTTCACCATGTTAACCAGGCTGGTCTCGAACTCCTGGCCTCAAGTAATCTGCCTACCTCAGCCTCCCAAAATACTGGGATTACAGGCCCGAGCCACTGTGCCCGGCCCTTGTAATTTATTTTGAATTGCTTTATGGCCTAGCATATGATCAGTTTTTGTGAATGTTGTATGTGTGCTTGGAGAGGAGAAAAAGATATTTTGCAGTTCTTTGCTATAGTTGATATGTTCATTTGGTCAAATTTTAAAAACATGTTCAATGTCTTCTTTATCCTAATATTTTTCTCTTTCATTTAGTTCTCTTTTTTTGTTATGCTCTCTATCTAGCATTCTAATTTATTTTTATAGTTTGATCTTTCACCTTTTGGACCTTTTAGTTCTGTCACAATGTTCAGTCTTTGTTTTTTTTTTTTTTTTTGAGATGGAGTCTCGCTCTGTCGCCGAGGCTAGAGTGCAGTGGCTCGATCTCGGCTCACTGTAAGCTCCGCCTCCCGGGTTCATGCCATTCTCCTGCCTCAGCCTCCCGAGTAGCTGGGACTACAGGCGCCCACCACAATGCCCGGCTAATTTTTTTGTATTTTTTCAGTAGAGACAGGGTTTCACCATGTTAACCAGGATGGTCTGGATCTCCTGACCTCGTGATCCACCCGCCTCGGCCTCGGCCTCCTAAAGTGCTGGGATTACAGGCGTGAGCCACTGCACCCGGCCAGTCTGGTTTTTATTGCATCAACCCTACCGTTGTTTTGTAGGCTATTGCTGATCATTTATAGGCTATCCCTGACCCAAAGTCTTTTGGGATCATTTTCTTTTTCAGTTGTTTCTATTGGTTCTTGTTCGTGGTATCTTACCTTGCGTGTTTGGCCATCTTTGATTATGTACTGCACATTGTAAATGAGAAACTATCTGTAGCAGTATTGTGAGGCCTGGTTGATGCCATCTTCCCTCAGAGCGTTGCTTTTTTTCTTTGTTTCACCCAGACAACTGGTGGCTTTAACAATCTGAATGTGGAACCACCTTAATCCAAAGTACATTTAAAGATTTTATCTAGATCGCCCAGATGACATAAACCTACAGTTCAAGTTTGTCCAAGGGCTGATTTATTTCTGTTTTTTCTTATCCTGGGAGTATATTCTGGGGTTTTGGCTTCAAGTGAGTGGTGATTTATCAAACTTTCTCCTTATTTATAAAAATTTTATTTTTAATGATTATAGCTACTTAATAGTTGTATATATTTATGGGATACATGTTATATTTTGATACAAGCATACAATATGTAATGATCAGGGTAATTGGGGTATCCATCATTTCAAGCATTTATCATTTCTTTGTGTTAGGAACCTCCCAATTCCACTCTTTTAGTTATTTTGAAATATACAATAAATTATTGCTAACAAACTTTCTCATTTTGAGACACCCTTGACTTTGAATTTTGTGTTCCTTGATCTCTAACGATTTCAAGAGCAAACCTGTTTTTCTCTCATTTTCTGGATCTTCAAATACCAGAAAAGCTAAAATAGTTTTGGGTGGTTTGGATTATCTCTCTGGATTCTATTCTTTTGCTTTGATTGCTTTGATTTTAGCCAGGTAATTCTTCACAATCTTGTTAAGTGTTTGGAGCTTTTAAGATGTTTCTGAAAAGTATTCCCTCTAGCATTTGTATTTGTCTGTAAAGGGACATTTCATCCAAGATATGTAGTTTGCCATCACCAGAACTAAAACGTTTTAGTTTTTATGCCTTAAAAAAAAAGATTAATCAGTTATATTCATATAAAATTGCAGCTAAATCCAATATGGCATAATTTTTTTCTTCAGTATGAATACTGGTATTTAAAAGACCATTCTTGACATCCAAGATAAGTATCCACTCACATCATTATTATTTTTTTTATTTGTTTTGAGACCGACTCTCCTTCTGTTGCCCAGGCTGGAGTGCAGTGACGTGATCTTGGCTCACTGCAACCATCACCTCCCAAGCTCAAAAAATTCTCGTGCCTTAGCCTCCTGTGTAGCTGGGACTACAGGCACCCACCATCACACCCGGCTAATTTTTTGGTATTTTATCTGGAGATGGGGTTTCACCATGTTGGCCAGGTTGGTCTCCAACTCCTGACCTTAAGCAGTCTGCCTGCCTCAGCCTCCCAAAGTGCTAGGATTACAGACGTGA